>NC_000014.9:42111713-42736713 GCF_000001405.40 Homo sapiens | reverse complement strand
GTGCTAAACTCAGGCAATTCAGAGATATAATTTACAGTCATTCTCTTCAAAGAGCTTATATTTGAAGATGAGAAGACAGACACATTGATAAGTACCAGAGAACATCTTACTTGCTTTGATGGAAATAAATCAAAGTGTATAGGGTAATATAAGTGGAGCACCCAACAGAGACGTGATAGTTCAGGTGGGTTTCCAGAAGAGATGATAGCTATGATGAATTGTGAAGAGTAAATGGAAATTAGCCAGGCAAAGTAAAAAGATTTACACAAAAAGCTAGCATGAATACATGCACCTTGAGACAGCAGAGGGCCTGATAATATATAAACATGTATTTCTGGATACTTCAAGGTAAAGTGGGAAAGGGTCAGTGATCAAGGATAAAGGTCAAGAGAGTGGAGTAGGATTATAAAGGTTCATTAGTTTTCTGTCGCTGCTGTAACAAATTATTCCAAATTTCACAGTGTAGACAACACAAATTTATTATCTCACAGTTCGGTAGGTCAGAAGTCTGGATTGGCTTGATTGGCTTCTCTGGTCTGGGTTTCATAAGGCCATCACCAAGGTTTTAGTCATCTGGGCTCTTATCAAGAAGCTCTGGGAAGAATCTGCTTCTAAGCTCATACTGGCTTCTTGGCAGAATACAGTTTATTGTGGTTGTAGGACTGAGGTCCTATTTCCTTCCACCTTTTTTTCTATATTGTTGCTGCATTCCTTCTCCTGCTTTCCATGAACCTTCCTGCAGCCAGGGATGATTGAGTTCCTTTCATGCCTTGAGTTTCTCTGACTTTCTCTGCTACCAAATCTCTAGGACTGACTCCATTTACATCTCTCCTCTGACTTCCTCTTCATTTTTTAAGGGCATGTGTGATTACACTGGGCCTATCATGATAAGCCAGGATAGTTTCCCTATTTTAAGATCAGTTGAATGGTAATCTAGTCCCTCCCCAGCAGTACCTAAGTTAGTGTTTAATTAAACAGACAAGATCTTAAGAGGTTATCTTTGAATTGTTACTGTGACAGAATTTTTATGTGAATTTTTTTAAATCAACTTTTTATTGTGAAGCATAATTGTTTGAGGACACAATTCTATGCATAGAAGTGACATTATTATTATTACACATTTTAGAAAGATCACACTAATAGCAGTGTATAGCTTGAAATATTACATTAGGGGAATCTGGATGGCTTCAGAGAGGGAAATTAAAATATTCATTTAGTAATTAAGTTTAGAGATAAGTAAACAATAAGGGCAATAAAACAGTAAGATTGAGGATGATTCAGAGGTAATAGAGCTGAATGACACTAAGGAAGTAAAATCTGTTATACTTTGCTCTTGATTGGCCATAAGAATAAATAGACTCAAGGACGACTTCCATCTCTGGTTTATGCAACTAGATCAATAGGATTGACATTTAACAAAGAGATAATATATTGAGAAGAACAGACTTGAGTAAGTAAATATTGTATTAGGTCTAGTGAAAATTTTTGTTTAGAAGTGTTGATTTTTGTGGAATAAGCAAACTTCTAATCAGTTATTAGATGTAATTAGGTTTGAACATAGAAAGTAAATTTAGATGGCTTGGAGATTGTTGAACAATCATCAATTGGTACTTCAGAAGAAGTACAACCATTGAGAATATAATTTAAAATTAGAATTTTCTGAAACATTAGTAGTGGGAAAAGAGGAAGTGAGTCAGAGGAAGAATGGACATAATAGAGAACAGGAAATTAAAAACAGGAGAGTAGTTAATAAAGTATGGTATAGTTTGGGGATATAGGAAATACTAGTCATTATATTTATGTTAACATACAAAATGATCAAGAATAATTTAAAGCAGATATGTTGAGAATAGAACACTTAATCATCTATTTGTGTTGATAAGAAGGAGGTTATATGAACATATATGTACATATATCCACAAGATACTTAACTCTGTATGTTGAGTTCTTTTCATTTTCCTTGTTTCAATTTAAAACAAAACATAAGCACTTGCATTAATTTCAAAATGTTGCAAAACAAAGGGGATATATGCATGTCCCAATGATGCAATTCTCTATAGAAGGTACTCATATATTTAAAGAATATTTGATAACATGAGACACGTTCATGAGCTATGCTCATAAACACCATAGGTACAAGACTTTTTAGAGTATAATATGAACTCTGTGAGACACATACAGCAAAAAGATAAACATCAAAATGTTTTTAAATTTACATTAATTTTTATTCTTAAAATGTATTATTTTAAAAAATAAAAATAATGACTAATTTTTTCCCAAAAGTGAGGAAAAATGTTTTTAATAAAAGGTAATAGGTGAAAAGAGAGAGAAATTAATGGTATAAGGATCCTGACAAAATAGGAGGAGATGGGATTCAGACGACAACTGCAGTTATTGCCATTCCACAGCAGTAACATCTGCTCTACTAAAACTGGAAGGAAGGCTATAAGGATGATTGATGATGCCAATAAGTTTGTAGGTGGAAGGCCTGGAAGCCATTATGTTCTCTATTAAGTAGGACTCAAGGTATTCTGCTGAGTGTAATGCAGAAAGTGGCCAGGGCAAGGGCTTTAAGAATATATCATAATGTTTAGAAATAGCTATTATGTGAGATGGGTGAAATAAGTGATTAGAGAAAGAGCACTAATTGTCCTCTTAGGGTTTTATAAGATATCAAGAACCATTATAAAGTGATAGTAATTAAGACAGTTTGAAATGGTAAAAAAAAAAAAAAAAAAAAGCCAAAGGTGGTACATACATAAAAGAGAGACCAGAAGCAAACCCAGACACATAAACACCATACATGAAAAAGGTGTCACTGTAAAATCCTTTCAATAAATATTATTTGCACAAGTAGTTATCTATAGTTTAAAAATAAAATTGTGTCAATTCTAGATATATTAAAGATTTAAATTTGAGAGAAAAACTGTAAAGAATTTTTAAGTTACTATAGAATATCTTCCTAATTTTTGATAGAAAATGATTTATTAATTTAATCGAAATGCAGCTAAAAATGTAGAAATAATAGAGTCTTACTCAACAGAAATCTAACTAAGTCCTATGTAAGCAGAATAGGAATTTCAAACATTTAGTATGTCTTGACTATCATATATGCCTATGTAATAAAGTATAGAATATTTACATCACAGCAGAACGCCCCCTTGGGCTCCTTGCTTACCAATTTTTGCTAACCAGTCTGACTAGCAATTTCTTATCTCAGTCACTCTCAACTAGTTTGGTGTTTCCTTGGACTTAACGTAAATTGAATTGTAGATTATGTAACCATTTGTGTTTGGCTTATTTTGTAGCAGCAGCTTATTTATTTATTTTTTATCTCTGGCTAATATCACATTGTACAAACACATCACAATTTGTTAATTCATTCTCTTGAACATTTTTCTGCAAGTCTTGGTGAACAAAAATCTCTACTGTTCTTGGGTAAATGACTGGAAATAGAACTATTGAGTCAATGGATACATTTTTGTATGTTTACTAGATAATGTTAAATAGTTTTCCAAAGTGTATAAAAGTTAATGTCCCACTGACAATATAAGAAAGATTCTTGCCAAAACCTGGTATTATTTGCTTTAAATTTTAGCCCTTCTGGTTAGCTTATAACTCTTTTCATTTGTTTTAAATTTGCATTTATCTTACAGCATTGTTGACTTGAACATTATGTGATTATTTGATATTCTTTTTGCTATGTATTTTTATAAGCTCTATGCAAACTATTTTTATACGGATTTGTTTGTGTTCTGTATATAATATGATACTAGATTCTTAAATGATACGCATATTGAAAGTATGTAGATTGTCTTTTTATTTTCTTAGCAGTGCTGTCCATTTCCCCAGTAGATCTTTTAACAATTTATCATGGTTATTGATCCCTGTCTGATAATTTCTAAATTAGGATAACTGCTAAATGTCCTTCTATGGACTGTTTTATTAAATGTAATGTATTTTTTTTTGTTTTCCTCGTGTCACTAATTTGGGGGCATTGAATATTAATTGCTTCACTGAACATATTTTATGTGTTGTAATTCTTCTCAAGTTGTGTTGGGCTTTTTCCAGAATGTGAAGAATAGTTATACTTTCCATGTCATCCTTTCAACGTCTTCTCATAGCATAGAGTTAGTCAAAGTTTAAGTTTTTATTTCTATTTTGAATATTATGAGAGGTGAATATCTTTGCTTCTTGCTTATTTGTTAAGAAATCTTATCCTATTTAGCTTTGATTAACAGCAATTTGCTAGATTTTTTTTAGGAATTCAAATATATATATGTACATTCTAAATAGTTGCTTATAGGAAAAGAATGTTATTTTTAGTAGTTCATACTGTTAAGTTTGTCCCTGGTTCTTTTCATACTTCATGTATAACCTGTACTCTGAATATTCTACTGGAAATGCAATGCAGTGTTATGTCTGTTCAGCCTAACTGACACACTAATGACTGGAGTTAGTTTTCTATATATGCAAAGATTAATGGCTCCCATTGGCAATCAAAAGTGGCATACTCATCAACAAATACAAAATAAATATGACAGGTCTCTATCCTAGGCATTATCTGACAGGAGGAAGAGAGAGTAATATTCATTGAAAGATCACATTCTTGTGCAATGCATTATTAACAGTCTTTTGGTATTCATCAACTAATTCTGTTCCTTGCAAGAAAAATGTCAGACATGCTTTCTAGTCATTTTATATAAAAAGAGAAAAAGTGGTTAATAGCAAGTAAATTCCACTAAGGTGCATAAGTATTTGGTAGTAAAGCTAGAGATGGGTTGGCTAATAATTCAAGATTCTTCTTAGCCTTGGTTTCAACAAGCTAACTTGGAGACACACTTGTCAATGAGATGCTTATCATAGGTGATGCAACTGAAATCTTTCTGGAAGATCAAGAAGAGTAGACATTAAAATCTAATATACTATCCGGTGTATCTGTACCAGAAGTCTGAACTTTCCCATTATCACATGTAAGCTATAACTGCAGTGGTGCCTTAAAGGGAGATACAAGAGATGCTCTACTTTTGCCACATCAGCTCATTTTGCCACATTAAAAGTTGAGAAGAACAAGAGACTCTGGCATTATTTCAAACCTGCCCTTCCTCAGTACTTCTGGAAAGAATCACATAGTTTCTTATCTACCCACCTGAGGTCTCATTAGGCTATTCAGGATATCCAGTAAAAAAAGGCTTTAAAAGTAAACCTAAAAGTATAAATGACGCCTAACTAAATGATTAGTTTTCTGAAACATCCATCATGGGGTGGTACATGTACATTTTGATATTTGTTGCTATTAATATTTTAATATAACAAGTGTGACAAGCTAAAAGGAAAGCCATTTTTCAATATTGTAAGTTTTCATATTCTTCATGTTTACTAATTTCCATTACTTGTTTCTTATTATCAGAATTATAAGAAATATAGGTTTTTGTTTTTGTATCAGGGATTGCATAGAAGCTATCACTAATATAATGTTTCCACATGTTTACATAACTAAAAACCTCTCGACAGTGGTTTCGCTTGTATTCTTCCAAATTTTGCTAGACTGCACTCTTAATCTAGTCATTAAAATGTGATCTTTAGGAATACTTATTTTATAACTGATGACAATTACTGTACTAAAGCTCAAAATACAAGCTATACAAGTTATATATATATATATATCTCCACACTAATAGATACTAGTATTATATATAATACATATATATTTATTGGTAGTTATATATGTATATGAGTACATATACATATATATGCCTATATACGTATATACATATATACATATAGCTACTAATTAGTTTATTAGAGCTTTTCAATCTTTCAGTGGTGGTATAGCATGTGATAATTTATACATACTTTCTGTGCTTAAGAACCATGATCTCTCCTGGCACTTTTCATTTTTAAAACTATTTTAAATGAGAGTCATTTTATTCTTTATGAACACTCTTTCAAAACAGAAGATTTCCAGGAGAGACATTACACATTAACCAATCACTGCAAAACAAAAACAAAATAATAATAACAACATCAATAAAAATGAGATCTGTTTACTTCTTCTCACCTCCTTCCTATCTCTCCTGACAGAGGAGAAATCCTAATATCATGGTCGCCACTTTAATATGCAGTGATGTAGTGGGGCCAATGAATATTAAAAGTTCATGTAAATATATTTGTCTTTCAGTTGTCTTTTATCTAAATGGCTTGTTGTTCTTTTTCCTTTTCACCTGTCCTTCCTCCTGCCCATCTGCCCACTTATGAGTTGATCTTCAACATTTCACAATGTTATTCCAAGTCATGCTGTGATTTAAATTGTGCTCATGAGGAGTGTATGGTGCCACTTGACTGTGAGCCCAAGTTGTCTGGACTAATCCGGCATACAGTACTGGTGTATCAGTCACTGAAGCACCTTTTGTTGTTCTTATCCTTTGTGTGTAGTGTAGAGATCTTATAGGAAAATAATTGGTCAACACATTTGGGGAGTTTTTTAATAGAAAACAATCACCCGACTTTTTCAGATTTTCCTCCTCAAGTTCACAAATGGATACCTCTGTTGGCAAAAAATACCCACATGCTTGCTTTTCTAGAAAATCTAAAAATTTTAAAAATTTGCTGTTATAGTGGATTTCAATCTAGATTAGGCTTGAAATTGGCAATGAATATGCCAATGTGCAAAAAAATTTGTAGTAGGCAGGGCAAGACACAGATATCCCTGTGTACTTTTACTAAATATGATGCAAATTCTACTAACAGACTTACCATGTTAATATAATCTCAGAACACATAAACATATGACTATAATCTCAGAACATATAAACAAGGCATTGCACTTGGCAGCAAAATTGTGTGCTTATTTACCCCATTACAAAATGCATTCCAGATCACGTAGTGAAGCATGATGAAAATAATGCCTAAGTGTCATGTGGTGGGTTTCGCACACTAAAATTGTGTATATAACTACAGTGGGTATTTTTAATGAATGAGTAATGAAGTTCTTATACATGCCTATATCATCTCCTCCAATAAACAGGAAAAATAAAAGTCTTTGTGAAAATATAATTTTTAAAGCAAGGAATAAACAGAAAAGTGAAAAAACACAATGTTTCTAACATATTATAGGTGTAAAAATAGAGTTAAAATAATAGCTTTAAGGAAAAAGAATGCTTTGCAGTTAAAATAGCAAGAATTGCAATGTAAATAAAAAATTAAGAATGACTCCACGCTAGAATTAGAAGTTAGAAAGAATTTCTTTAGGGTACTTATTTAGTCTTTGAGGCTAGTCATTTTTATCTCACATCACTCGTCTAAGTCTAGCAGTACCGAAATATTTTTTACACAATGTCCATGTTTAAACAGAGCTAGCAATGAGTATCTCTCTTTTTTTGCTGTATAACCTCTACTTTACTGATTTTAAAGATTAGGATAAGAAAGAGTGGTTATTTTTCCAATTATTTTAGGTCATGGTGGAGTCCTCGTGATTAGAGAAATTTAAAGGAGAGAAAAGAGAATATATTGAGTGAAAATTTTGAAGAAATCCCCAGAAGGGGATTACAATTAGGCAAGCAGTGGCATCCATTCAACTGCATAGAAAGAAAACCAACAATAAACATAATTATAGGAATTTTCTTTTCTTTTTCTTTTTTTTTTTTTTTTTTGAGACGAAGTCTTGCACTGTCACCCAGGCTGGAGTGCAGTGGCACGATATTGGCTCACTGAAACCTCTGCCTTCCAGGTTTAAGCGATTGTCCTGCCTCAGCCTCCCAAGTAGCTGGGATTACAGGCGCCCACCACCACGTCCGGCTAATTTTTTGTATTTTTAGTAGAGATGGGGTTTCACTGTGTTGGCCAGGCTGGTCTCGAATGCCTGACCTCATGATCCACCTGCCTCAGCCTCCCAAAGTGCTGGGATTACAGGCGTGAGCCACCGCGCCTGGCTGGAATTTTCTTTTACTGCAACAACTACACTCATGTGTAAATAAAATGTAAACATATTTGAAATATACATATAAGGGACACATTTTCAATAAACATATAAGTGATTTTAACCTCTAGGCTTTATAAAGTGTTAAACATTATTTTATTTCCTAAATCATTCATGTAGGTGGAGACTAGCAAGATTCACACCCAGGTAAAGGTAGCCAGTTGTTCTAGCACTGGCATCGGCTCAGCTTTAAAAATGAAATGCCAGTTTGCATCCCAGTTACAATTATACCTTTATTGTATAACTCATATCAAAATTTACTTGGGCCTGATGGAGATAAGTGGGGGTAGTGTCGGTGGAAGATTATAATTCATATATGTTTTTGGTTCCTCCAGCCATTAAAACTGCTACAGGAACTACCCCCTTAATCAGAATTTTATTATTATTATTATTATTATTATTATTATACTTTAAGTTTTAGGGTACATGTGCACAAAGTACAAGTTTGTTACATATGTATACATGTGCCATGTTGGTGTGCTGCACCCACTAACTTGTCATTTAGCGTTAGGTATATCTCCTAATGCTATCCCTCCCCCCTCCCCCCACCCCAAAACAGGCCCCGGTGTGTGATGATCCCTTCCTGTGTCCATGTGTTCTCATTGTTCAATTCCCACCTATGAGTGAGAACATGCGGTGTTTGGTTTTTTGTCCTTGTGATAGTTTGCTGAGAATGACGGTTTCCGGCTTCATCCATGTCCCTACAAAGGACATGAACTCACCATTTTTATGGCTGCATAGTATTCCATCGTGTATATGTGCCACATTTTCTTAATCCAGTCTATCATTATATTTTGAAGTAATTCGCAATCAACTTAAAATGTAGTAAAAAGTAACTTTTTTTTTCAAAATTAATACTCAATTAAGATCCAACTCAGAACTATGAGCTGACTCTCTTGGGACTGACTTATTTTTCTATTTTTGAAAGTGATCTAAAAAGAAGAATGAGGTTACTTACTGGGTTTAAAGATGATCAATTCTAGAGACTTAGGAAGGCAATAAAGAAAAAAAAGTCTACTTGAAATAAAGAGAAAGATTCTAGTGCTGATGTTTTATCAATGAGATTTTTTAGGTCCTCAAATTTCTTCTCTATTTTTTGTCCCATATCTGTGTTATCTGAGAAGAAAGCCCATTCTTCTTCATTCCCCTTGGCGTCCGTCACAATTACAAACCAAATGAGATCTATGCCAAAGGAGGACACCTCAACTCATGCTGACCCGGAACAACAATTAAAAACCCAAAGCTGCCTGCATTCCCCAGATGCTGCCATCCTCTACACCTTACTTCTACTCTTGTTTAATTCCTGACTGAACCTGAGTTCATTGCCTTGGGTTATAATTTTGCTATCTACTATGTGAAACAAAAGCTTTATGTCACATTTATTGTTGCCTGTGTGTAATTAATCAATATCTATAAATCAAATTCCTAGACGAAGACAGGGTCAAGGGGTACCTAGCATCTAGCAGAGAATGTTAGACGCCCAAAAAACTACTGCACCAAATAACTGCAATGAAGTAGGATGGATGGATGGATGGATGGAAGATGGATGGATGGATGGAAGAATGAAGGGAAGTAACAGAGAGAAGATGTATCTCCCTATACAAAGGAATGAAGGGATTTCATAGGGCTTTTGCTGGGAAGTAGATAGTAGAAACTATAAAAATTATTATTAAACAAGGCTAAATTGATAGTTTTCTTAATGTATAACTTCATTTAAGGTTTTTTAGTTCATATGATAAATAACTCTTACAGTATTTAAATATTGTTGTGTGCTATGTTTTTCAGAACTTACCTTTTAGCCTATTTATTAGTTCAACTCTTTCACATACAAAATTTAGGCAACTTAAGCATTGTTATCATTGAAAACTGTTTATAGGTGGAAATATCCATTTTAATTCACAACTGATTTATGTTAACTTTAGCAGGTCAGCTAGCAGAATAGGGTGAGACTAGAATAATGATATGAAAAGAAAAAAGTTAAATGGAATACGTTAACAAATATACATACACACATATAAATATATATGATATATGTATTATATAATTTCAGATGTTTACATATAAATATAAATGTAAGTACAATTCTGAGTTTATAAAATGTGAGTTTTGCTGCCTCTTTGCAAAGCAACCACACTGAAATCATATAGAAAATAGAAAAATCATGTTGTCAAAACTGATAAAGTTAGATTTTCATCTATTATACTTTATGTTGTTTTCAATATTGTTTCTGTATTTTTTTGTTTTTCATCTAGATAACTTCCAAGGCCTTCAGCATTTTGTTCCTAAAATATGACTGAAGGCAACAACAAATCAAAAAAATGCTTTTGGGAGGCCTGGTAGTTCATCTTTCTGTTTTGTGTTTTGGGAAGGAGAAATGCTCACCAGGATAATTTTTAAGGATAATATAAAATATTTGTTCTTTGTGATTTTCTTCCATTACTGGCTCATAGATACTAGTAAGTATGTGGTATGGTAAATCCAATGATCTTAGTCACCCCTTTTATCATCACCCCCCAACAAAAAACTAGTAAAAGACTTTATGACGGCATTATGTACTTCAGCATTTTAAAATAGATAAAACCGAAGAAGGAGGAGAAGGGCAAGAAAAAACAGCAAAATCATGTTTCCCAACCTTACACGTGTTTGTGTGTGACAGAACTGACTTTTTCTTTTTCTTTTTTGAGATGGAGTCTCGCTCTGTTGCCCAGGCTGGAGGGCAGTGGCCCGATCTCGGCTCACTGCAAGTTCCGCCTCCCGGGTTTGTGCCATTCTCCTGCCTCAGCCTCCCGAGTAGCTGGGACTACAGGCGCCCGCCACTGCGCCCAGCTAATTTTTTGTATTTTTAGTAGAGACGGGTTTTCACCGTGTTAGCCAGGATGGTCTCGATCTCCTGACCTCGTGATCCGCCCGCCTCGGCCTCCCAAAGTTCTGGGATTACAGGTGCGAGCCACCGCGCCCGGCCAGAACTGACTTTTTTTGACATCACAGAAACTATAATGTCTGAATTCAGTTTGACAGTTGATTTTCCCCAGGCATTCTACTTTTGCTTTCATCATATAGCATAAAGAAATGACAGCATAAATAAATCACAGCATTCAGCAACAAGTAAATGAAAAAAAAAGACTTGTAATAAAAATTTAAACAGAAACTGTCAAACAATTATTTGCAGTTGTATTTTTCTCAGTTTGACATGAATCAAAGTGTAAAACTATTTTTTCCTTTAATTTTGACTTCACGTTTGCTATGATGGCAGTTCTGATTTTGAAATCTAAATGAATATGGCTCCTTTGTTTTCAACTTTAAATCTGTTAGATGAGATAGTGATAGAGATAGAGAGAGAGAGATAGAGGTAGAGATAGAGAGATGAAACAGATAGAGACAGAGACAGAGATAGGGAAATGGTAAAGGTGGAGGCAGAACTTTCTCTGCTAAAGGATCTTTGACAACTCACATAAATGATTGACATTACATGGTTCTACGTTTTATTATTTTAGTGAAGAAGATAATTCGGGAAAGTACAAATTTTGGAAACGATTTTTGACGTTGTGGAATTCTATCTTTTCACTTTACTGCAAACAGTAAAGGAAAAGTGAATTGGAATAAAAAATATTATTTCTCTAAGACTGTGAAGACGTTAAAACTAGTGTTATGTTAATACCAGAGAATTCCTAGCAGTCCAGATCAAATAACACATATCATTTGCACATATTTTATCAAGCAATGGAAAAATGGTCAATTAATTATTATTCAATTATTAAATAGTGAAAACAAATCAATTTACATTAAAATTATCTTTTCAGATTTTACATATAGCTGATGTCACTGTCAGGAATATCTTTAAATGTTAAACATCTCAAACATCTAAAAATGGCCAATGTAATTTAGGATGAATAAATATAACAATTTTTAAATATGAATCTTAATGAAATAAAAGTATACATATATAGATGTTCAACTATATTTTTTCATTTTTCCTTTGGATTATTGTATAGCTCCTTTGCAACTATGTTTTACATTTCTTCCTAAACATGTATTTTTTAATGGTACTCAGAATATGCCTATATGCTTACTTGAGTGTAGACCTACTCCAACTACGTGGTTTACACCATATTTTACTGTATAATTGAGAGAGAAGACACTAAATTTTCTTAGATGAAATCTAGTAGAGAAACAATGAAAGGTGATGTGAAAAAGAGAGAAGCCAGTAGGAAGAAGGGCATTTGAAACATAATGTGGAATAGCATTAACAGTTAAATTATTGAAGACAAAATACACAGAAATTTTAAAGCATGAGAGGTGAGTTAAAAGCTAGATTTAAAATAATGAAAATCCTTAAAGAATAAACGAAGCTTGCAACATGGCCACCACAAAATTATCTTTCATGGGGATCACTGGAGAGTCAAATAGTTAAATAAAATCGTTAGAATGCCAGTTAAGAAGTAATTTTTTAACTGGCTGCTTTTAACACATTCCCCCTTTAAGCTTCCTTGCTTCTTTGTCCTTATTTTTTCAATATTGTCTGGAAATTTCACCATTATCATTTCAATTGCTTTCTCTAACTCTAATATTTTTTACCTTTCTAAATGGAATGGTATTTGCAGTAACGTATCATTTTTAAATTATAGTAGAAAACGTGGGTTTGTCAGAATCTTACAATGACTTTATACTTGTTTACTGTGTGTTATACACAGCAATTAATTTTGATTATAGAAAATATTAACATTCCTTTACCTAGAGAACACACAGACAATAATTAGTGAATATATTAACAAATAAATTAACATCAAAATACTTTTAGCAATATTTCTTTTAAAAATAATTATTAGAATTCCTTAAAATTTAAATAATTGTTGTTAGAAATCAGATGATTTTCTTTTCCTTACTCTACAATCTTCTATAAGGTAAATATTAAATTTTAATGAAAAGACATGGAGACTATAAAGGCTGTTTAAAATCACAAGTGTTTTAAACTCTCTATTGACATATAATTTATATTGTGTAGTTCTCATAGCTAAATATTATTTTATGCTAACATTTCATATAATATGATTTAGAACACCAAACCAGTACATTATGCTTTAATTGGTAAAATTCTCCATTTTTCTAAGTTAAACATATACTTTCATAATTCTGATCAATTTTCTTCTGAAAGTCAAGTACAGTATGTAAGGTAATAGTGAATTCATGAATGTTACTCAAGTTTAGTTATTATTGGGCTATGTCAAGATTTTACTCTACGTTAAGAACCAAACTTACAAATTTTCAAACCTTCTCATATATCTAATCTAAACTTGATCTTTCTTTAAGTTTTCTTGTGGTTTAATCACTAATAAGAAAACTGATCAGACAATAACATCTGGAAATTTCCAACGGTATAAATTTAAATGGAATTTAAGTTACACAAATATAATCTTATTGACCTCATGAAGTATTTTGAAAATAAATTGGGGGAAAACTGCCTTTCTCCTTGACATCTTCTCTCTACACTTACTTTTACTTTACATTTTGTTGTACCTCTTTGTTTTCCCTTTTTCTTTCCTATCCGCCTTCTTTTAATTTCCATTCATAATCTTGAAGGTCTCCCTAAAAACCAGGAAGAAAAAATCTGCCAAACCACAGAACTGTGTTATCTTATTTAATTATTTCTTTAGCATTTCTTAGGTAGGGGCAACATTGAAGGAATGGAGTCAGCAATAGCGTGCACATATTTTACTGCTGTTAAAAACTTTACATTTTAATATAACTTAAGGAGTATAATTGGATTGTTTTTAACTCAAAGGATAAATACTTGAAGGCATGTATACCTCATTCTCCATGATGTGCTTATTTCACATTGCATACCTGTATCAAAACATCTCATGTACTTCACAAATATATACACCTACTATATACCCACAAATATTAAAAATTTAAAAATCTCATTATTCAACATAAATTTGAACTTACTCTAGTTGTTTCTATAACTGCAGCATTTTGGAAACAATACTGAAAACCTGTATTTCCAATTGTTAAGAACATTGTTAGTGCTATTAGTTTCTGACAGTCTCCAATAATTGTTTCTCTGCTTTATGCCAAATACGGAACTGTCAGTGGCAGAATATTGTTTTATATGCATACATGAATGAAGTGCACACCACAAGACAGGTGACTCTAATAATGAAAAATCTTACACATCAATGAGTCCTACTAGAAACATTAATTTTGTTGCCTTTTATTTTAAAAATACTTTATAAGATTTGAAACAATATATTATTGGACAGAGGGCTGAAGGGTAGACAGTGCAAAGTAATAATGACCAAAAGATTGTGGGACAGTTTTTCTTGAAACTTTCATATTTATAGACTAACACATTTCATTTATTTAAACAATATCTATAATTAATCATTCTTCCTATTTCAGAGCCAATATGCTTGTTTAGGTCCTAATAATTGCTTATATAGACTTGTATACATTTACATGAACTGATCTCTCTTGTTTTAAATACCTACTTTTCAAGTATGTGAAGAATTCTGCCTAATGTATACATGAAGTGTGTGGATCAGAAGTTCAGTGACAATGACTATTTGTAAAACCTCTCATAGAAAACATGTGCCAGTAAGACTATGGAGACACTGTAAAAATAATTATTTCCCCGAAACATTATGATGTTTTCAAAAAGATCAAGGAAAACACATAGTAAGAAAACACTATGCGTGGTTTTCAAAATTTTCTTGTACCAAAAATAAACTCATATCAGCTTCTTATACCATGTCAGAACAGGATCTAGTTTGAGGCACTAAGAGGAATCAGACATCAGTTTGAAAAGAGCCCCTATCAGGGAAACATGAATTCTGCTAAAATTGAAGCAAGAGAAAACATCAAATTTATGGTGAATCTTGAGTGGAATAATGGTAATATCATTGATGTTTTAGGAAAAGTTTATGGGAACAATGTTCCAAAGAAATTAGCAGATTACAAATGGATAACTCATTTTAAGAAGGGATGAGACAATGCTAAAGATGAAGTCCCACAGGGGCAGACCATCCACATCAATTTGCAAAGAAAAAAAAATCATCTTGTTTGGCCCTCACTAAAGATGACTGACAATTAACAGCAAAAACAATAAACCATAGATACCATAGACATCTTAATTAGTTCAGCTTACACAATTCCAAATGAACAACTAAAATTGAGTAAACTTTTCACTCTATAAGTGCTAAAACTGTGGTGCCCAGATCAGCTGCAGAGCTTTCAATGGAAATTTTTAACAAGCGGATCAAGATCCTGAAGCATTTCTTTGAAAAATTGTAACAGGATATGAAACAAGGTTTTACCAGTACAATCATGAAGACAAAGCAATAGCTAACAAGAGGTGGAAGTGGTCCAGTCCAAGCAAAAGTGTACCAGTCAAGAACAAAGGTCATGGCAACAGTTTTGGGGAATGCTTAAGGCATTTTGCTTGTTGACTTTCTGGAAGGCCAATAAATGATAATATTTGCTTACTATGAAAGTGTTTTGAGAAAGTTAGGAAAAGCTTTAGGAGAAAAATGCTCAAGACACCATCACCAGAGAATCCTGAACCACGACCATGCTCCTGCTCACTCCTCTCATCCAAGAAATGCAATTTTGTGAGAGTTTCCAGGGGAAATCATTAGGCCTCTACCATGTAGTCCTGATTTGGCTCCTTCTGACATTTTTTAGATTTTCTAATCTTAAAAAATCTGTAAAGGACACCCATTTTCTTTCAGTTAATAAAATTAAAGGGCAGAATTTACATGGTTAAATTTTGAGGAACCTCAGTTCTTTAGAAATAGACTAAATGACTGGGATCCTGCCCTGCAAAAGTGTCTTTGTGGGCAGGCCAGGTCTCACTAACGCAGGCCTCCGTAACAACTGTTTCAGCACCCACTGAGTGCGTAAGTTAAATATTAAAAGTTGATAGACCCAATGCCCTTATACAAAGGCTGGGATGTAACAAAAGCCCACCAAGAGTTTTGCCTTGGCCTTTCCTGGGTCTTAAAGCATGACAAAATGATGAAGGAATTCTTAACAGGACCCATTTAGGATTAAGCAAGTTTCATTGGGGGTCTGAAGAAACTCCCCAGGCCTCCAAAAACAAGTTTGCTGGGGGTCTGAAGGAACTCCCAAATCTTCGTGATTTAGCAGGAGACAAGATAAAGGTAATCACCCCAGCATCTGGATCCATTTAGATTAAGTAAATTTACTGAGGCTCCAGAGGAAGGTCTTCAAGACTCAGGCCTTTTTCCACATACTAGAAGAAGTTAATCACTTATGTCTTTAGATGAATGCACACTTACATGTAGAAACATAGCTTAGAAGGTATATAAGCTCTGGAAAACTGTAATTTTGAGTTGGTCTCGTGATAATTTCTAGGCCTTCTCCTTGTAACCAGTTGCAGAAAATAAAAACTCTTCCTCCCTAGTTCATCTGCATCTCGTTATTGGGCTGCGAGAAGTAGCAGCCCGACCTGTTTGATTTGGGAACATCTTGACCTTGATGGAACTTAGGCTGAGAAATAAAGTTTATGTTTTTTATTTTTATCTTTTAAATCCATCTTTCCACAAGCTTTCTGAGGACCCTCATAAAATATTTTTATAACATATTATAAAACATATATAAATATAAATTCACAAATATAAATGTCGCCATATATATAACTATGTCTAAGTTATATCTAAGTGTTATACACGCACAGACACACACACACAATAATATGAAGGAAAATATATAAACTTTTATTATAATTTCAACATTTTGGCTACTCACATTATACCAATTCCACCTTTTATCATAGAAAATGAATATATTTCTCTGGTAATATGTTATTCTATTTAAAACTAAATCCAACTTGACATTTTTATACACAAACCTTTCAGGTATTTATGGGATGTGCTGATCTCATTATATCTGGGGCAGCTGCCACTGAACAGCAGCAAATGTATATGGAGCCCTGACTGCTAAGCAGGAAATTCTGCCAGTCTAAATGTACTGTACCTGATGTCCATAAGCCACCATCTGGACAGCAAGGGCATGTCTCCAGATTCTTGATATTGCAGATATTAATAGCCTTGTGAACTATAAAATTACTAGGCAGCAGAAAAAAATAGCCCATGGGAATAGGGGCAGTTGGCAACAATTTCCACCAAAGCATGCTTATGGAATAAGTCCCTATGTTCAAATAACTTCTGAATCTGAGCCAAGAACTGCCTCTTCCTTTTGCCAGCTAAACACTCGCTTTTCAGTCTCCTCACCTGCTTCATTCCCCCTGGGAGCTATACATGCAGTACTCACCAGCTGCCCAGCTGGAGATGGTTCTATTGTGACACAGAGAAAAGCTGGACTGAGAAAGCAGTAAATATGAACAACCAGGTAAGTCACTGTAGATGTAAATAGAGGCTTCTTTACCATGTATTTATCTTTTACACTCTTCTAGAAAGTAATAAATGGATACAATGAATGTGAGCGAGAATTCTTTATGACAGAACTGATTTTTCAAGAGCTTTATTGTACACATTAAAAAATAAGCTGAAAGATAATTAAAATAATATAATTAACCTCTACATACAGTAAGCATTCATTAACTATATATAGTTGGTAAATACAAAGACTAACATTGATCAGCTTTTTAAAGAGTGTTCGTGTCTCTTCCAGCTGCTAGATGTTTATTCCTTTGTCTTGTTTTCTCTTCCATTTTTAAAAGATTGCTTAAAAACCACAAACTCTTTCTTCTCAGCAGCTCTCTATGTTCTATGCTCTTGCTATGTCAAATGTAGTTCATGGATTAGCAGCAACAGCATCTACTACAAACTGTTTGGAAAATGCAAAATCTCTGGCCCAACCCTACACCTACTAAATCAAAACCTGCATTTCAACAAGATGCCCATGTGATTCCTATGTATGTTAAGTGTTGATTAGTACTGTTCTGTGGCGGTGATTCTCAAGACTAGGTTCGTATTAGAATCACCTGAGGAGTTTAAAAACTGCTAATGCCTAGGACACACTGGCAGATTCTGAATTTTTGTCTAGGAAAGTGCCTCGAAGTCAATATTTTTTTCAAAAGCCCCGCAGGTGGTTCTAACTCACATTTAAGAAGCAAAGTTACCAATGGATTCCTAAAATGTACTTTGAAAGGCTTAAATTTAAGCATATATTAGGAAACCTAGTTCATACAGAATTGTGAAAATAATGTCTTTACCTAGAGTATAATTGGAATAAGGAATTGATATTGGTGGAAGAAAATAGCTTTTGTAAACTACAGAAATATTGTATAAAAAGATAAGTTTAAGTCACTATAAATAGTGATACATATTAAAAATCAACCATGCTATAAGACCTGAATTCTGAGATATTCATATTACTGAATTGATAATAATTTCATATCTTGTTAAAAACTGTAAAAATAAATACATTTCTTAAACAAAACTTATATGATGGTGAGGATTTCTTAAACAATCTTTAGTAAAACATTCTAACAGAAAAGTAAAACATTGTTATGGTTTCTCACTTACCAGTTACCATGTGAGACTATTGAATTTGGGCTTATAAAAAATGGTATCACTCAGCATAACATCCTCTAGATTCACTCATGTGCATTACACTCAGTGAAATAAGCCAGACACAGAAAGACAAATACTGCATGATCTCACTTACATGTGGAATCTAAAATAGTCAAACACATAGAAGCATAGAATGGAATGGCAATTGCCAGAAGCAAGAACCAGAGGGAAATGAGGAGACATTGGTCAGATGGTACAAAGTTCCAGTTATGCAAGTTGAATGAGTTCTGGAGAGCTAATGTATGACATCAAGACCATGGTTACCAATGATGTATTCAAAACTTGAAATTTGATAAGACACTGGATCTTAAGTATTTTCACCACAACAACAAAAGAAAGGAAGAGAGAAAAATAAAGAAAATGGCAGCTGTGTGATGTGATGGGTATTGTTAATTTGCTTGATTGAGCTGACCATTTCAAAATTTGCATATTTATCAAAATATTAAGTTGTACACTTTAAGAATATACAGTTTCTATTTGTTAATTTTACCTCAATAGTGCTGGGAACATTTAAAAACAGATTTTAAAAGTTAGATCACTCACTTTACTAGGAAATAGAAAAATATATATTAAAAGTAGAATTGATTTCCAAGAATCCACTGGACTCCATTCTAAACAAATAATAAGAATAATCTAATCATTCAAATCCTAAAGACAAATGTACAGAAATTAGATATTGCAAGACAAAATGTAAAACGGTGCCATCATTTCAATCATTTTATTTTATCTTGTAAAATCCTAGGTACTTTTATAGAAAATATGAGATAATTACTGAAATGCATTATTTTAAATTCTTACAAAGCAGAAAATACAGATGGTCTCTGAATTATCATGGTTTGATTTATAACTTTTCACATTACAATGGTGAGAAAGTGATATGCATTCAGTAGAAACTGTACTTTAAATTTTGAATTTTGATCTTTCCCAAGGCTAACAATATGTGGTATGATATTCTGTCATGGTACTGGGCGGCAATAGCAGCAAAGGATCCCAGTTAAACATGCAATCAGGAGGACAAATAACCAATACTCTACAGTGTCCTGTGTGCCAATATGTTTCTGATACTGTGTTTTGAGTTCATATATTGCACCATGTCTACAAGTGTTCATTTGTGTCTTCTGCTTCTGGTGAAAAGAAAACGAAGGCAATTAATCTTGATATAAATCTCAACATAATTGCCCAACATGAAGGCAACAAGCTAAGGGCCATTGCATAAGTTAGGACTTTTACAATCCACAATCTTGACTATATTGTCCTTTAAATACATAGAATTTACAATATTTTCAATTTAAACTGTGTTTATCAGGATGTAATCCTGTCATAAGTTGGGAAACATCTGTATTTGTCAGAGGTGGCACTATTGATATCAAAATTGTCATTTTTTGAATAATTCCTAAAGCAGTACAAAGACAATAGGAATAACACAATGTTAGCATAAATATGATAGGAAATATTTATGTCTTTTGTAAAGGAAATTTAAAAACAGATATTTCCAAAAAAAGGTTTACATGTATACAGGTAGTGTTAATAGAAGAACATTTAAAAAATTAAAATGAAATTGCAAAATAAAATTCCATATACCATTTTGGGTTTAAGTAATAAAGTATTATTCCAAGAACACAGTGAAAGTGACCTTTTATGTCAAGTATGCTATTTAAATCTACATCATAACACCTTTCACATTTTTTGAACTCACAATCTTATTAATTGATATTTTATGATGAGAAATAATGATTATCAAAATGTTATATAGATGCAATTAGGCACAAAATAGATAACTTATTTCTATAAACTTCTAATGCAAATATGATTATATTATTAATGCTGTGACTTTTTATATAGTACACATAAAATGTGTTTAAGCTATAAAGAATGTCTGTCAAGAAACAGGTTTCTTGCTATGTAATTTGCTAAATAAATATATTTTCTTTATTAAATATTCAGTCTTTAACAGCACATTGTTTTCTTGAAAACCTCAGCTTTTGGCAGTTACTAATATAGTAATGAGTAGAAAATTAGAAAAGAGTGTTAATGAATTTAATGCTTGGAAGAGCCAACTTTTAGCAAATTGGTAATAAAGCTTTGTTAAGGCACTGAATCTATCTCGAGATAATTTAACTCACTTGAAAATATTGTGTTGCTTATTGAGAAAATATCCTTCCCAGGCAATACAGCTGCTTAGAACACAATTCTGTTCAATTAGAAGAAAAACAACAAAATTATCATCAAAAAAAATATAGATATAAAGTATTTGTTCATGCACTCAAAAATAATTTTTGTAAAAGTACTATGTGTCAACAAGTATGGTCTTGGGAACTTGATAAATAAAAACACAACAAGGCATAAATCCTGAAGAGTTAATATTCTCCCAGAGAATTCAAAAAATTGCAAAACAAATAAACTAATTTTAGAAGATAAGTGCTACAAAGAAATTAAGATTTATGATAGTGCTAAATGCTACCTATGCACTTTCATAGATTGATTTATGGTGTATCGTTGAATATTTGGTAAAAATTTTTGTTGATTCCAGTGTTAGACTATTACAAATAAATTTGTTAATATTTGTGCTCATATTTTTTCTGGGAACATATATTTTTATTTCTTTTGGCTAAAAAACTAGGAGTGGATGGCTGAGTCATACAATGAACATTTGAGGAATCAAATGGCTGAGTCATATGATTAACATTTAAGGAATCAAAAAACATTTTCCAGAGTAGCATTATTTTATATTCTCAACAGCAATGTACGAACATTCTAGTTGCTCCACATCTTCACCATCATTTGATATTTCTTGTGTTTCCAATTTTACCCATTTTGGGAAGGATGTGGAAAAAAAGGAATCCTTACACACTGTTGATGAGAAGGTAAATTAATACATCCATTGGAAAGTAATATGGAGATTCCTCAAACAATTTAAAAAAGAACTATCACATGACTGAGAAATCCCACTAGTGAGTATATATCTAAAAGAAGTGAAATCAGTGTGTTTGAAGATATGGCTTCATTCTCATGTTTATTACAGCACTATTCAAAACAGGCAAGATATGGAATCAACCTGTGTCTATCAACATATGAGTGAATAAAGAAAATGTGTTATATATACACAATGGAATACTATTCAGTCACAAAAACAAATAATGAAATCCTATCACTTGCAACAACATGGCTGAAACTGGAGGACATTATGTTAAGTGAAATAAGCCAGAAACAGAAAGAAAAATACCTCATGATCTTGCTTGTGGTCACTTGAGCCTGGGGAGGGGGAAGGAAAGAAAGAATAAGAAGAGAGTGGCTAAAGCATACAAAGTTATAGGTAGAAGAAAATATAAATTATGGTGCTGTATTGCACAACATGGTAACTATAGTTAATAAAGATATATTTTATATTTCAAAATAGCTAGAAGATAGGATTCAGAATGTCCTCACTAAAAAGAAATTATAAATGTTTGGAGGTGACGGATTTGCTAATTACCATTATTTTATCATTACACAATATACACACATATTGAAACATCACACAGTACCCCACAAATGTGTGCAATTATTATGTGTCAATAAAAAATGAAACAAAAATAAAATAAAAAGTTAGCCAGTCTAGTAGGTTGGTACTAACATCTCATGGTGGATTTAATTTGTATTTTCCTGATGATTAATGAATAAGATTGAAAACGTTTTTGTTTATTGACCATTTGTTTATCTTTTTTTGTGGAGTGGGAAGCAGTGTTTATTTCTTACTAATGGATTACAAGATTGATTTATAAATCCTGAAGATAAGGCTTTGATCAAACATATGCACTATGAATATTTTCTGCCATTTTGATTCTTCGCTTTTTATTTTCTTAATATTATCATTTTTTAGGAACAAAAAGTTTACATTTTCACTAACTCTAATGTATCAATATTTTATTTAATGGCTTATCCTTTTTGTGCCACATCTAAAAAAGGCTGCCCAAATTTGGTTCTACATGCTGTAAGAGTTTTATAGTCTTAACTTTCATAATTTTACCTATGATTCATTTGAGTTAATTTTTGGGTGTGGTATGAGGTAGCCATTTATATTCCATATTTCTAAAGGATATCCATTTCCAGCACTATTTGTTCAAAAGACTTTGCTGTACCCGTTTAATTGTCCTGGCATTTTCTTTGAAAATCAGTTTTGTAGGTGTCTTAATGATTGTTTCTACATTGAACATATTGTTAAATCAGCACTGATTTTACATATTGTTTCTACTGATCAATATACCTATCATTTAATCAATATCAAAGAGTCTTTTTTTAACCTTTATTTTAGGTTCAGGGGTACATGTGGAGATTTGTTATCCAGGTAAACCGCGTGTCATAGAGGTTTGGTGTACAGATTTTATTTTGCCACCTGGTAATAAGCATAGAACCTGATTGGTATTTTTTCTGATACTCTCCCTCTTTCTACCCTCCACCCTCAACTACACCGCAGTGTCTCTAGTTCTCTTCTTAGTGTCCATGTGTTCTCATTGTTTAGCTTCCACTTCTAAGTGAGAACATGCAGTATTGGTTTTCTGTTTTTGAATTAATTTGCTTAGGGTAATGGCCGCCAGCTCCATCCATGTTGCTGCAAAAGACGTAATCTTTTTCTTTTTTATTGCGCATAGTATTCCATGGTGAAAATATACCACATTTTCTTTATCCAGTCTACCATTGATGGGCATTGATTCCATGTTTTTTTCTGTTGTGAATCACACTCTTTATTGGTGCAGCTTTACAATAAGTCTTGAATTTAGCTAGTGTAAAACCTCCAGCTTTGTTTTTTAGAGTATTTATTTGATTATTCTATGTCATTTTTATTTCCATATGCCTTTTGAAGTGTATAGAAATGCCTTTTGTAAATTTGATTGGGGCTATGGTGAATCTACAGATAAATTTTAGGAAAAATGATTGCTTTTAAAATCTTTGAACATAGTATACCTCCTAATTTATTTAGGTCTGTAAATATATAATATTCAAGGAATTGACAGAGTCCATAGAAGGTTTATTTCATATTATAGCTTTATATAAAAACTGTTGTGGAGCTAAGAATTAAGAAAATTCGCTTTTAACGGTAAGTTCAAACAAAAAGTTAACTATTCTTGCTAATGTACCTTTAAATATATTTTCCATGGTCACAAATTAGAAACCTGAGCTTGTGGGAAGAGCTGGAAAAAAAACCCACAGTTTTAATATGAGAAACTGAAAATAACATTACTCAATAAAACTTGTAAGTAAAGTTGTATAAAAGCATTATATGTCAAATTACATCTATCAGAGAAGTTAACAAATACAACTTTTGTTTTAAGGAGTATACTTTCAAAAATTGTATAAGCCAAGTCTAAAGACAAAACTTCAAATAAGGATTGTGTGAGTTGATGTAATTATATATGAAAGGAATATTAATAAAGAGAAACTTTAAACTATATATTGTTTTTAAAGGGAAGATACAGTTCTTTCAGAGAAAGAGCATTAATATGGTTTGGCTTTGTCCCCACCCAAATCT
Source organism: Homo sapiens (assembly GCF_000001405.40). Classification (NCBI taxonomy): domain Eukaryota; kingdom Metazoa; phylum Chordata; class Mammalia; order Primates; family Hominidae; genus Homo; species Homo sapiens. The sequence continues at coordinate 42,712,673 of NC_000014.9, read as the reverse complement.
CATCTTGAATTGCAATCCCCATAATCCCCACATGTCCTGGGAGAGATCCGGTGAGAGATAACTGAATCATGGGGGTGATTTCCCCCATGCTGTTCTTGTGATAATGAGTGAGTTCTCATGAGATCTGATCGTTGTGTAAGCATCTGCCATTTCCCCTGCTGGCCCTCATTCTCTCTTGCAGCCCTGTGAAAAGGTGCCTTCTACCGTGATTGTAAGTTTCCTGAGGCTTCTCCAGCCATGCTGAACTGTGAGTCAATTAACCCTCTTATCTTTATGAATTACCCAGTCTCCGGTGTTTCTTCATAGCTGTGTGAGAATGACCTAATACAAACAGGCACGGTCATTTAGGCATGTTAGAGTACCAAAACATTATCTTTATCCTGCAGGGTCAACTCAAGGTGATTACTGATAAGTTATCTCTATAATTATAATTAATTATAACATATATTACAAATATTATCTTTATTTCAGTTTTATTTTGGCATCATTTTATTTTAGTGATAGATAAAATTTTGCAAAATACTTCATAGGTTTACTTATTTTAAACCTTCAATTTTGAATTTTCCTCACCAATGTTCTTTTTAAGCTATCTATGCATTACTGTCATTTGTATTATGTTATTAGAATTATTATGTATCAGATATTATTCTTTGAAAGAAAAACATCAACTTTTCCAATGCTGAACAGCAGAGTACTGTTGTACATCTCTGGAGAAAAGAGGAGGTCATTATAATAGAGAGAGATACAGAATGGAACAAAGAGATACCAATATTGAAAACTTTCCATTGTATTTTGTGAAAAAGCCCTGGTCTATTTATTTGCTATGTTTAAGGTCTAAAAACTATTTTAGAGGAAGAAATAACAAAAATCTGAAGACTTCTTTATGATAGAAGGTTTTGGTGTCAGAAGTGGACTGTAGAGCCTGCTTTATAGCACAAGATAAAAGACTGTGGGCTTTGGGCATTGAAGACAGACTCCTTCCCCGTCCCCGCCACGCCTCCCCCACCCCAATTTAACCAGTATTGAAGTGTTCTGGAAACTTATCTCATTAGGAAGTTTCACATTTTTATTTTACATTCAACTTTATTTATTGAATATCTTGCATTCTTATGAGTGCATATGTGTTAGGCCATTCTTACATGCTATAAAAAATATCTGAGACTGAGTAATTTATAATGAAAAGAGATTGGCTCACTATTCTGCAGGCTGTATAGGAAGGATGGTACTGGCATCTGCTCAGCTTCTGGGGAGGCCTAAGGGAGTGTTTCCTCATGGGGAAGTCCAAAAAGGATCAGGATAGTCACACAGCAAGAGTGGGTGCAAGAAGTAGAATCGGGCAAAGGTGGTGCCTGAACAACCAGATCTCACAATAACTCATTGACTATCTCAAGGAAAACACGAAACCATGAGGGATCCTCTCCAATGACCTAGAAACCTCCCACTAGGCCTCACTTTTAACACTGGGGATTACAATTCAACATGCCATTTGGCAGGGACAACATTCAAACTATATCAGCTAGTTTCCTGATTCTAATACTAAAGGGGTAGCTGTCATGTTAATTGTTTTCAGTCCTTACTTTTTCCCTCTATAGGACAGGTTCTTAGCCAATCAGACCTCTTAGATTACTGAAAAAAATATGACATTGGTGGCTCTGGCACTGGTCTTTGGGAATCATATCAATGCTACAGTTTGATATGCTTGTGAAATCATAATCTTTGTGTAGATTTAAAAGTTTGTTTCATTTTTCTACCTCAGTGACATTTGCCCAATTACAAAGAGCTCATTCTACTACCAGCAGGGCGCTTAAAAAAATAACTGAGTCTGAATTCCTTAACAGAAATTGTACTCCATGGTGTTTATAATACAGAATTAGTTCAGCTCACCTACTTCTTTTAAAATTAAGACAAAACAGCAAAGATTCTTTAAAATATTATTTACTATTGATATATGTAGCTTAAACAATTCATTCACATTATGTGCTGGGAAAATTGATTTAAATTTTGCTTATTCTATTAAAAACTATAAAATACAAATTTATTTAAAATTCAATTTTGATATATATTTGGCATTCAATATTCACAGGTTCTGCATTCAAGGATTCAACCAGCTGCAGATAAGAAATATTTGGAAAAAAAATAACAATACAAAAAAATCACAAATAAAAATATAGTACAACAACTATTTACTTAGCATTTACATTCTACTAGATAATACAAGTAATTTAGAGATTATTTAAAGTATATGGGAGGAGGCATGTAGGTTATATTCAAATACTTTGCCATTTTATACAAGGGATTTGACAGTCCACAGATTTCGATATCTGCAGGGGTTTGGAGAAGGGTAGTTCTGGAACAAATCCCTCATGGATACTAAAGGATGACTGTAAAATGAATCACATAACCACGGCTTTTCCAAAAATTGAACTGGATTAAATGTAAGAAGAGACAGAATTACAGCGATTACGTTGAAATAGAGATTATTTGAGTGTCACTTTAAAGTAAACATCAGCAGAAATTAGTGGCTAATGAGTCAGAATAGCTAAAAGAAAAAAATATTTAATAACTAAAGCATGAACAAGTAAGATATCATTGGGGCTCCTGATACTAATTATTGTTTTCAGAAATAGTCCCAATTTGTGAGAGTGTGAAATTTATTTTGGTGTGATAAATTAATTAGAAATAGGGAAATTTTGTCTTAAGTGGTTATTTTCTTTATATATGCTCAAATATAAAATTAGGAATCAAATCAGAGACATATGTCAAAAATGTGGCATGCCTTTTGCATTTGTTTCATTTTTTAAGGAAAGAAAGCATATGTATATAAAATAAAAGTTTTAAATTGTATTTAGCTGCATATTCAATAGCTCGCACAGCAAGAATGCATGTTTGAGAAGTGAGCTTCAATATTCTCCTTGTAAGTAAACTTATTCTAGCACCCTGCATTCATATATCAATATAGTTTTGTTGTTCTTTGTCTGTGAGCCTCTTGTGAAATGATAAAATGTGTATTTCTCTTTGGTGAAGAGACCAAGGGAGAACATTTAACAAAGTAAAAATAATTCTTGCCAGGACACAATTGGAGGAATGATTGCTAATATATATGTATGTGTATATATATATATATATATATATATGTGTGTGTGTGTATATATATGTGTGTGTGTGTGTGTGTATATATATATATATATATATATATATATATATATATATATATATATATATATATATATATAGGTTTTTAGCCAGATAATAGTTCAATAAAAGCTGGAGATGGAATGTCTTTAATGTGTTTAAAATTATTACACAATGATGACTTAAATAAATAGAGTATATGCTATGAAAATTATGAAGGAATCTACCAAGCATTAAAAAACTCACTGAGTAACAGGTGAAACTTTTGTAAAAGTTGAAAAAGAATTCGTCATGTAATATGAGCATGTACACATCATGAAAATTTGAACTACTATGACTGGGATTTTAGAAAAAGGAATTAAAATCTTAGACTTCTCCATGACATTTCAGGCAGAGAACAGGCCACCAAAGAAAACAGTATTTTGAGTAAATGTTAATTTGAATATGTTAAGAAAGATGTTTCTCTCAATAAAGACAAAACATAAGGGGATTGACATTAACTGACCATGGTTCAGAATTATTTCCAGCAGATCTAAGCAGGCTTATAGACAAAAAGGGTAAGGCTGGTATAAACATTCAAATCAATGAAAATAGCCTTGTAGAATTTAATGGCTCCTTTATCATATATTAATACAAAGAGGGAAAGTGAATGTCAGAATTTAATTTGGCAAATGACATCTTCAGCAGTTATGGTCTATTAATTAAATAGAACATGTGTGAAATTATATTGGCCTTGAATTTATACTCTGTAATTTCTGTAATTTTAAAGAGTGTTATATTCATAAAAAATGCCTAAAAGTCATTGTTCTTTAAGGTAGAATCCATGATATGTTTGTCATCCTTTACTGGTTCTTCTACGTGGTCAGAAAGTCAAAAAAAGGCACGCTGTGCCAGCTATGAGAAATCACTGGTGTTATTTGGCTATTTCATGGTAACACTCATTCAAACCATTGATTATTTTATATTTTATCCTATTAATCTTCACATTTTCAGATATAAAATTATGGTTAAAATTATTAAAATAATTTTACAATGTCCATTGTTGATTATATTTATAATCTTTCAATGTTTTGAAATGTTATCTTAATTTCTGTTTATAGACATATTAAGTGTATGTTATGATTTATTGTTTAATTTAATAAAGGGGGATTAGAAATATGTGATTTGGGGTATTTATGATTTCTAGAAATATCATAGGGTCATGAGTTCAATGGGTTCATGGGTGAAAAGAAAGATAAGAAACATTTGGAATGCTTAAATTTTAGGAGATTAGATTAACAGAATCATGAGACATGGCTAAGTAAAGCAAGAAAATAAACAAAGAAATAAGCAAACTAGGAAGCCAGCCAGCTGTCGGAAGAATAGTATACAAAATTTAATGGACAATTATGCCATAAAAATATATTATATAATGGCCGGGCACGGTGGCTCATGCCTGTAATCCCAGCACTTTGGGAGGCCGAGGTGGGTGGATCACGAGGTCAAGAGATCGAGACCATCCTGGCTAACACGGTGAAACCCTGTCTCTACTAAATATACAAAAAATTAGCCTGGCATGATGGCGGGTGCCTGCAGTCCCAGCTACTCAGGAGGCTGAGGCAGGAGAATGATGTGAACCCGGGAGGCAGAGCTTACAGTGAGCAGAGATCACGCTGCTGCACTCCAGCCTGGGTGACAAAGCAAGAGCAAGACTCCGTCTCAAAAAAAAAAAAAAAAAAAAAAAAAAAAATATATATATATTATATATAACATTTTTATAAAAAGCAAAACCTTACATTTTTGATCATAATTTGATATCATCTCTGTGTATAGAGAAAGTATACTTATTATAATTTAAATGCTTCTTCTGAGCATCTGGAAGTAAAATTAAAATTATCAACTAAAATTATAAAATGTATGTGCACCTAAAGGTAGAAGAAACAAAGTGTTGATCTGAAAATAAAAATTTGGCATTATTGTCAGCATTTAGTGTTAATTTTGAAACTTGGATTTCATTTGAGTTCATATACAAATTTTTTGAAATGGCATATTCAGTCAAGTCCAACATTCTTACCTGCAGCTTTACATGTCAAATATTCCCAAATGCCAGTTAAAGAGAGAGAGAGAGAGAGAGAGAGAGAGAGAGAGAGAGAGAGAGACTGTCTTCTGACTTAAGATACCATGAACAAGATTCTTGATATCACAGATGGCAGAATCAACTCAATGACCAGTGTCTCCATGTCACTGAGGGATGAAGCTAAGCAACATTTATTTGGTATTTCTGACATGGAAGTGTGACTCCTCATGTATCAAATGTGTAAATTCAGATAGAGTTTTCAAAATAAAATATTGGTAGTTTCAAGAATGACAAAAATTTTCTTACATGCTGTCTTTTTAAAAAGCTTAGGTACACAAATTTACTGTGAAAAACCAGAGACTCTTTTTTTTTTTTTTTTTTGGCAGAAAGCAATACATTTTAAGATAAGTGCATTCTGAAGTGTCCCAGTAGTTACGAGCTTAATTCTTCTAGAATATATAACATATTCATATTAAAGATATTAAAATAATTATGAGATAACTATATGCAACCTATGTGTGGTTACAATTTTAAAAGTCGTTCATTTTGGATACAAACAACATAATGTAATAACTAATGTGTAAACATAACTAAGGCAGGGAGAGATCAACCAAAATACTATGAACAGGTTTCTGTCAATGCTCATTCTCATTAGTATTCACAAAGAGAACCTTATTAGAAACCATCGTCTCTTGTTTAACGGTATACATTTATTCATGGATATTCTCAAATAAGTCAATTTATATTTTCCAAATATCTATAATAAAATATGTATATATTTTCAGTATTAAGTTGCTACTCATCTTGAAAGACGGGTGTATTCCTCAAAATTAGTATTTTTGCAACTCTTGTAAGAGTCACATTAACATCCCTTCCTTAGGAATTCTGAGGTTTCCACTCTAGCTAACAGAAGTTATAATTATATTTTGCTGCTAGGCTGTTTGGGAAAATCTTTGAAGGGGGATTTAGAACTGACAGCACTCAGAGCAAAGAGATTAATACTCTAGATGAATTAAGGGTGAGAAAAAAAATAATGGATACTGCAGAAGTTGCCCTTACAGGCATATCAAAAGTGGTGACTTTAAGTTGTACTAGGTACAAGTTATCCAAATGTTTTGTTCTGCAAAATAAAATGGGGAAATTTGAACTCTTCTGGGAGTAGGCTAGAAAATGAATTGTTATAGCCTAGGGAAAATTAGAGAGAAAAAACCTGTAGTCTTGGTGGAAAAAGGGCTCAAAATTACAGTGAGAAGTTTGGGGGTATGCTTGTTAAAGAGGAAATCCAGACTGTAAAAATAAGTCTGAGGAAAATGGCCACTGTCTCTTTATTCAGTTGTAAAACATAGCCTGCATTGCTTTATGCTGTAATCTCTAATTATTTCAACAACCCATGCTAAACAATACAGTATTTTATTACGTTGCTTTGGCTAAACTGAAAAACAAACAAACAAACAAAAGCCTGTATTTCGTGCTTACAGCAACATGGGTTAAAGAAAGAAGGTTGAAGAAACCGGAGGTAAGATGAAGAATTCAGCAGACATGAAGCAAAAGTACCTGAGAAAAATATAACCTTCCAAAGATCTCAAAATAATTGACATTCTCACAAGTTTTCCCCTAGCATGTGAAATGGAAGCTCTTGTCATTATTGCACCCCACCCCAACCCCCCGGGATAGTGTGTTTTGATACTGTGAGGAAGAGGAACTTCAGAAGGGTGGAAGTTTGGAGCATTCCTGGAGGGGTTGACACTTAGATTAGGTATCTGAAAGGAGGAAGATAAGGAATATCATCTGATATGATTGAAGCTACTATAGTTGTTATTCAGAGAAATAGGAATGTCATTCACTATTTATCTTCCTCTCTTTTCACTTTCCTCTGTTCCAGATTATCTCTCTCTCTTTTTTTTTAACTATTGTCTCAGTTTTTGCCTCTCTTTTTCTCTAAACTCTGTTTTTCTAGCTTCCACTGCCTCTCTCTCCCCATGCCCCTGTGTCCTCCTATTCACACTGTGTTTGGGTGCACATGTGCTTCCTCTGTCCATAGACTTTGTTATCTGCATCTCTGCAAATTTTCTCTTCTTTAATGTATGGACCAAATTTTAGTTTCCTTTCCCTTCTGATCTCAATTTGGGCATAGTTTTGATTTGCCATGGATCCAAATGTCACCTCAATAATATGTAAACTGACACACTTTTTAAGTATCTTAATTATCTCTCTCTCTCTCTCACACACACACACACACACACACACACACACACTTGACTAAATCAGCTGGAGTTTGTCTTCATCTCTGGTTTTATCAAGTGTAGGCCAAAAGGCAAGATCACCTGTTCAAACATTGCCACCCAGATTCTATCCCTTTGGAGCAGTCGTGGATGGGGAAATGTCACTTATAAAAATAATGTAATTGAAGAATAAGCAGTGGCTAGTATTTTGAGTACAGTCCATGATCATTTTGAATTAAAATTGTTGAGTGTAGTTTCAGAAGCCCAAAATTATTGGATTTGGACACTTTTTCTGGACAGTCTGAGTTGACATAAAGTCTGAAGAAATTGCCTGTGAACTTGAGAACACAGAAAAAAAAAAAAAGTAGTGCTAATTTCCCATTTGATTGTCAATCAAATTGATAATTGTTCCTGAGGGTGACTTGACCAGAAAACAACAACAACAAAAAAAAACAGACTACAAAATATTGCACAAGTTTATAATAAAAAACCTGCATTATTTCCCTATCTACCATGGCCCCTCTTCTAATTAGTACTGAATCTGAGATCATCAGGAGAAGGAACTAGGCCAGAATGCAAGTGTTTCTGGATCACTAACACTTCAATATGCTGATGGTAATCTTATAAATGTGAAAATAAAAATTGTTCATCAGGAAAAGTCGTAGAATCCTTGCTTCATTGGAATATTTATTATATTCTTAGATTATTGTACAATATAATAGCACCCATATTGCCAAATTATAGATTGGTGCAAAAGTAATTATAGTTTTGCCATTTAATTGCAAAAACTACATTACTTTTGTACCAACCTAATACCTGTGCATATGAAAATCATGAAATCAATTTTCCCTAATTCTGTTTGAAAACCACATTGTTTTGTTCCCAGTGTAACTAAAATTATTGTACAGAGGTAGGGTGAATTAAAAGGGCACTATTGGGATCAGATGAACATAAGCAGAATCCAACAAATTTCAATAAGACTTTGAAATATGTAGAGGGAATTATTAATTAATGTGCTAGCAGAAGCAGTCCTACTCTCAGACTCTACAAGAATAATGGATGACCATGCCATCATCTACCCTACTACCAGCCGCCTACCCACTTGACCTCCCTCACCTTTGCTCATATGCCAACTGAAACGATAGGAAGAACATCTGGGCGTCTTGCCTACCCAAAGCCTCCAGAGCTTTTGCTGCTGTTCTGAGTTTAATCTTTATTTAACCTTTGTTTTAATGATAAAAGATTGTCTTTCTGTCAGCAGTTCTTCACATATGGTGCACTTTTGTCCCAGTTTCCACTTTAAACTCTTAAGGATCAGAAAGCACGACTTAGCCAACCTATGTGATTTTTAAATTTATTTTCTTCCTCAGATTCTAGTATAGCTTACTCTATTAACCTTAAATATGGGATTGTTGGGTGAGATTCTTCCTGTGCATAATATCCTTCCTTTGAATAAGTTCAGCACCACAGGAAGCTGCATTAACTTCTAGCATATCAGCATGTCTTTTATCAAATTGTACTTCACAGGTTGTAAATGTTTCTACTTTAAAAAATGCTGACTTGGATTATTTCAGAAAACTTAAGCGCAGAAAACTCTGACTCAGTGTTACAGTTAAACCTTCACTCTATTTAATAACATATATTTTTTAAAAGCATGAAAGAGAAACAAAACATTTCTGGTGCATGTACTATAAAGTTTAGATATTAGATACACTTCTATAAACCTAAATGTTGCAGAAGCTAAAGAAAATGCTAACTGGGGAAAAATAAGGTGTCAACTTTGCAAATTACATTTGCAGATACCAGGGTTTTTTAGGTATTCTTCAGTGAAATATGAACACATGCCGGGTTTTGCAGCTCCTGTGAAGAAATAAAATTTCTATTTTTAAGTGTTTAAGGAAACTGAAGATAGTAAAGACAAAAAGAAGTTTCCAAAAAGTAAAAAAAAAAAAAAAAAAAATCTGTACGAAGTTGTACATCATTGTACATAGTATGTTTTTTCTCATTATGCTAACAGCCAGAATATCAGCTGAAGAAATAAACAGCAATAGGGAATATTTACCTTGGTTAGAGCTCATACTTGATCAGCAATGATAAGATCTTCTGAGAAAATAATTACTTCATGCCAGATAACTCACAAGTGTCAGGCTGCTTAGCTCCTAGACATAAGAGCCATAACCTCAATTGACTAACGTCAGCTCACATTATCACCATCAGTTAAACAGCAGCTATTTCCAAATTCATGCATATTAACAAAGTTAGACGGAAAAAAAGTCTCTCATTGGAATTTCCATAACAGTAATAAAAACGCATAAGACTCTCCATAGAAAGCTTGTAAGTAGGAAAAACACATGAGTAGGAGGTGATATCATCATAGAAATGTCAACTGGGATAAAAATGATGAACAATTTCAGTCCAATATACCCTCCTCAGGATGTAAAAGTCATCTCAAAAACACTTCTCTGATACACCTCATTTATTTTTGATCCATATTATTCCCTTCTCATTCTTCCAGAACAGAACCACCAAAGCTCTTACCTGTAGTTCAGTACCTATTTTAGCTCTTCATAAAACTGCTACTTATCCTTTCTTCCCAGAAGTTTAGACATTGACTCTCAAACAATTTTTCCAGTACTCTACTCTTTTATCTTCAGAATTTTATTTTTAATAAGTAATTTCTCTCTGATTCAGCTACTAATTCTGCAAAACCATGTATTCCATCTTCTTCATTAATAAATGGCCATGCCAACCTAATCCCTCAAAAATGGTTAGTAATTTAAATAGCTACAATATTGGATAGAAAATTAGAAAAAGGAATCGAAAATTCTGAGAGCTGGTAGAGCTATGGCTTTTTGATTGCTTGCTGGGAGTAAATTTGCTGTGATAATTGGCCTGATTTTTTTCCAGGGGATTCTTATGTTATGTGCCCCAGTCTATATTTTTGGCTTTTGTGATTTTAATTACTGGAATATGAGTGAGGAGTTGTTTTGGCTTTTCCAAAGTGTTACAGGCATAAGAAACACTATTAAATTAACCTTGGAGCACCAAAAATTGAAGACCAGATGCCTAATCCTGCCCCCATCTAAAAAAAATCTGGCACTGAATAACCTTTTCAGAACACAGATGTCACCCTGAGGAAAAAGAGAAATGGGATCTAAAATTGCACTGAATTAAGTTTTCAAGTGTTTTGAAATTTAATTGTTTTCAAATGAGATGCTTTGAAACCCTTATCAATTAAAAGGAAGTATCATCTGTAGCATACTTACATTTTCAAATTTTTACATTCTGTCTATATTGACAACAGAAAATATTATTTTGTAATCACTATATTTTCCTTGCTTTAAAAATTATGTTAGATTTTTTATATTGATTTTTACAACAAAAATTCGTTTTGGGTATTAAGTCATATTTTTATTTATTTAAGTATTACTTTCCTCTGGATATCAAGTACATAGACTTCAAACTGACTGCGTTGATATTTATGACTTCCAGATTTGTTTCAAAGTAAATTGTACCCTATGCTATTCATGTCTCTTAAAGGCTCATCATTTTCTTGCTCGGTTCTAGGTCACACTTTTCTTTGGTGGTGAATACCTTTTCATTATTTCCAAAGACATGATATTCTTTATGGGTAACATGATGCTAGTTAAAGTAATACAGTATATGCATTTATACATGTAAATACATTTATATCTATTTCTATGTCAATCTCTCTTTCTTGAGTTTACACTGATAATTCAAATCCCGATTCAATCTACAGAATTTATTCTAGCCTACTCTGTTTATTTGTAACTCCTTTCTCTGAAGGTGAGAAACCTGGCTCCCATTATCATTTATATATTTATTTATTTTCTCAATTCTAGAAAAGGTACAAAATAATTTTTAACATTTCTAACACATACTTCTATAAAAACAAATTATGCATCAGAATCCCACATTTGTGTACAGAATTGTTGTTAGTCTTAGAGTGTATATATGTACACATATATATAAGTATATGTATAAGTATATATGTATACATGCATGTATATGTATGAGACAGAGTCTGAGCTCTTTGAGACAAGGGTCTGGCTCTTTCACCCAGGCTGGAGTGCAATGGCACAACCTCAGCTCACTGCAACCTCCGCATCCCAGGCTCAAACCATTCTCCTACCTCAGTTTCCCAAGTAGCAGGAATACAGGTATGCACCAACACCCCAGGCTAATTTTTGTATTTTTGTTGGAGAGAGGGTTTCACAATATTTTCCAGGCTGGTCTCAAATTCCTGGGCTCAAGCCATCACCTCGGCCTCCGAATGTATGGGGATTACAGGCATGAGCCACCGTGCCTGGCCCAAGAATTGTTTATGCTTTTCTTCCCCATCCTTTTTTAATTGCAATTATGCTATTTATTCAATTTTTTTCAATATGTTGTTCATTTGTTAATTTATATCAATGTGAGTCCTGTTATAGGGTGAATGGTGTGACCCCTCCAAATGTATATGTTGAAGCTCTAATTCTCAGCACCTAAGAATTTGATTGTATTTGGAGATAGGGCCTTTAAAGAGATTTTAAAGTTAAATTTAGATCAGTAAGGTCGGCCCTAATTAAATTTGACTGGTGTCTTTATAAGAAGGTAAAATTTGGACACACATAAAGGTACCAAGGAAGCATCTGTACACAGAAAAGCCCATATGAGGACATTGTGAGAAGGCAGCTGTCTGCAAGCCAAAGAAAGAGACCTCTGGAAAAACCAAGCCCACTAGCATCTCAATCTTGTACTTCCAGCTTCCAGAACTATAAGAAAATAAGTTTCTGTGTTTAGGCCACCCAGTCTGTGATATTTTGTTGTAGCAGCCCTGGCAAACTAAGACAGACTTCACAACTTGCTGAGTTTCAATTGTTTCTTTATATTTTAAATTTTAAGTATGTGAAATATTTACATTATTCTAAAAAGCATAACTATACAATAATGCACTTTTTAAATATCATTCTCCATCATCTCTTTTACTTTATTTCTTTTTCCAATCATGCTACCACTTCTACACATAAGACCAACAATCTTATTAGTTTTTGTTTCTTTCTTCTCCTTACTCTATTTTCTTCTTCCTTCCTTTCTTCTTTCCTTTCCTTCTTTTTTCATCTCCAAAAAATAAAAAAGAAAACATAAATACTGTATATTTTCTTCTTCTTCTTTCTTACACAAAAGGTCTCGTACTATATGCAATGTTTGCACATTGCTTTTCTATATTTGATAATATACCTCAAAAATCATCATATTAGTTCAGAAAGATAGATTGTCTAAATTGTTTTTTAACAGATTTCACTACTCTACTTTGTATGACTATTCAGGTTGTTTCTAGTACTTTGCAATTACAAATGACATGCCAGTGAGTAACTTTGTGTGCATGTATTTTCATATTAAAAATATATCTCCACAGTAAATTCCTAGAAGTAGGATTCCTAAGTCAAAAGGCAGTTGCAAATGTTTTCTTAGATACTGCCAAATTTCTCTTCAGAAAGATAATCGTCATTTCCATCAGCAATGTGTGAGAGTGCCTGCTTCTCCAAAAGAATGAGACATTCTAATCTGATTTTTGTTAGTTTAATGGATGAGAAAAGATTACTTTTAAAAATATTATTTAATTGTCTATAATTATTTCCATCTATACATTATTTGTCTTTCCAGAACTACAGCATAATGATGTTGTACCACATAGCTTATTTATTGTCAGTCAACTTATTCTTCATAGGTTTTAGCTTAGCAATTTTGTTTAATGTTTTGAAAGGTTTCATAAATTTTCTAACCCAGGTCTTTCAATATTTTTTTAAATTTCAAAATTTATATATTAATTTATATGATTTGTCTTACCTAACAGATATTTTCTCTCATAGCATCTCGCTTATCTTTTATCATTTTTTTAATATTGCTGGAGAAGCCAATTATTTTTTAACTTCTGTTACCAGAATCATATTCTGGTTCTTACATAAATCATTCAGTTTATCTTAGTTTTTCTCTTTTATTCTATTTACTTTCAAACGTAATTAATTTAGATTAGATTAATATAGATAGCTTATGTAAGTTTTTTCTGTTATTATAGGTACTTGTCCCCAAAACCCTTTTCTCTTAATTTGAGTAGCTCTGTATATATGGATGAATTAACATACATAATAGAATAGATATTGATACTCATCCCACTGGAACTTGGGGATCATGTCTCAGGTCTGGCTTTCTGAACCTATAGAAGCTACCCTGCAAAGGGCTTCCTGCTTTTTTTCTTAGACCTTCTCTTTGCCTAGAAATTCTTTTGCTTATGTTGGAGACGTGGCATCAAGTATTGTCACAAAATGTACAAAAAAGCCACACATGGCCGGGCGCGGTAGCTCTCGCCTATAATTCCAGCACTTTGGGAGGTCTAGGAGGGCGGATCACCTGAGGTCAGGAGGTCGAGACCAGCCTGGCCAACATGTAGTGAAACCTCGTCTCTACTGAAACATATAAAAATTAGCTGGGCGTGGTGGGCGCCTGTAGTCCAAGCTACTCTGGAGGCTGAGGTGAGAGAATGGCGTGAACCCGGGAGGTGGAGCTTGCAGTGAGCTGAGATCCCGTCACTGTACTCCAGTCTGGGCGACCTAGCAAGACTCCGTATCAAAAAAAAAAAAAAAAAAAAAAAGAGAGACGGAGTCTTGCTCTGCCGCCCAGGCTGGGGTGCAGTGGCACGATCTCAGCTCACTGCAAGCTCCAACTCCGGGGTTCATGCTATTCTCCTGCCTCAGCCTCCCGCGTAGCTGGGACTACAGGCGCCCGCCACCACGCCCGGCTAATTTTTTTGTATTTTTACTAGAGACGGGGTTTCACCGTGTTAGCCAGGATGGTCTCGATCTCCTGACCTCGTGATCCACCCGCCTCAGCCTCCCAAAGTACTGGGATTACAGGCGTGAGCCACCGCGCCCGGTCCATTTTTGTTATAACACTCATTTTGAAATACTGAAGCCAAGTAGGTAGATTAAAGAGAGAAATAAATCTATTTTAAGAGGCTTTTAAAATTAAAAAAAAAAAATACTCATAGGTAAGTATAAGCTGTTTGGTTGAGGATTTTTGGCCCATCACATACCTTCATGTTGCTCTAAGGATTTTAGTTACCTCTTGAACTTAGTGATTTCAAGGATACATTATTAAATGATAAGCCCTAATGTGATCAAACTGCACCCGTCTTAAAGGAAATAATGATGTAAAAGATATGTAAGTGAGGTGTCTACAAGTAACTCCACTCATTCTCATCTAGGAAACTGCTTTATTATTTATTGCCATGGCCATATTAATTTCTGAATTGTTTATGGGAATTATTCAATTTAATGCTCTCTCACTCTGGCCTCAGTTAATTGAGCAAAGAATGAATGTCTAGCTAAATATATCCAGAAGATGTGATGTGAGAGATCACTATTTAAGACAAACAGTTATGATCGGGAAACCAATCAGATTCCATTCCAGGGATTTTCCACTCTTCGACACAGGGAAAGAAAAATAATTAGCTAGCCAAGAATTATATATATGGAGGTAGAAGCGGGACTATTATTCAGGAACATTATTTGCCTATTTCTAAAAGACAAATTATTAAGGTTTTACTTGATATACTAGAATTGTGGTTGGGCTATTAGAATTACTGTGGTAACCTGGAAAAAAATTGTCTGATGTTTGTTTCTGTCTTTACTTCTCAAAGCAATTTCAGAGAAAGTACCTTGTAATTGTGATGACACGAATATGACTCTGTTTCTCAAAACTTAAGGCATCTTTAGTACCACTATTTAATCTAAAGAAAACAATTTACCATTTGCTTCATTCTGAGGAAAAAAAAAGTTTATGCCAATGCAAATTTGCCATCTATACCATTGAAACTCAGTGGAATGCAAAGTTTATTTTGCAATATGAGAAATACAATCTCAATTATTTCCCTTTGTAATCTTCAAAAATACAGGGAAAGTAATTTTATCTTTATGATAGATAACGTCCCTTTGAATACCTGTGCATACAATAACGTGTGTTGTTGTTGTTGTTTTAATTTTTTAAGCACACTTAAGTTTCACACATAGATATACATGTTCACTTGGGGTGAGAAATATTATTGAAAATTTTAAAATGATTTCTGGAACTTTCAGAAACATATTGTATATTTTAATATGATTTAAGCTTGGCTACTATCTGAAAGAAGTCCCCAGCTACATAAGACCTATTTTTCAAATAAAAAATAAAATTAATAAATTTAGAAAACACTCTATTGCACGGTGGTGGCAAAATACTCTTTTCTTTCCAATAGTATGAAGAAAGAGCTGTGTACTTCCAAAATTCACATGTGGCAGCATTATCATGGTTGGCTTCAACCTAGCAGCAAAATAATCTGACAGGGTCATTTAAAGAAAGGCCTGGAAATGGATGATATGACAGCAATTTGCTAAATTTCAAATAGCAACATGATTATTGGTCTGGAAAAAAGTGCTAATAAGGTGGCCTGCTATCTGACTCTGTGCCTTATTTTCAGTGATCTGTGGTTGAATTCATCATAAGCCTCATAAAATGATGAACATGATGGTACATTTATGAATAAAATGACTAAAAAGTCAAAATTAGACCCATTAAGCCAAGTGACTTTAGAGGATAAAGTGCTAAATCAAATGAAAGTATCTTATTTGGATTCAAAAAATAGGATTAAGCGGGACTGAAACTGTCATGTGAAAGAATGAGGCTGAGCCCAAGAATATAATAGGCACTAATCCTTGTTTGGTAAAAATCAAGGACACTTACATGTGTGTAGATTTTGCTATGATGCTAAGATAGAGTATAAATTAAACCTGACTTTCACAAATGTGCAATAAAAAGCATAAGAAAGTAAGATAATAAGAAAAAGATATTAATAATAGGAGTTAAAGTTACCATCACATTGACTATTCTGGTTGAATAAATACAATAATTTAATAGAATGTCAAAAATAACTCCTTA
This sequence comes from Homo sapiens, assembly GCF_000001405.40. NCBI lineage: Eukaryota > Metazoa > Chordata > Mammalia > Primates > Hominidae > Homo > Homo sapiens. The sequence continues at coordinate 42,696,290 of NC_000014.9, read as the reverse complement.
CAGGTTTTAGCTGAATTTAAAACAAAAATGTCAGTATCATAGCTTGATGCTTGTTATTTTTAATATCTGTGAAACTTTGCATAAAGTAGAAACTTATCTTTCGGCTTTGACTTTAATTTTAAGTAGTGTCAATAAAGCTTTTAAAAATTAAATATGATTTAAAATTTTATTACAAAAAGGAACATGTTTTCTATGCATATGAAAAGAAAAAATAAAAACAAATTTGAGTAAACACCACAGCAAAATAAAATGCTTTTTCTTCTTAAAATTTAAAAATACACATAAAATACTTAATTATTACAGTAGAATATTTCTCCTCTCTCTATGTATATGTACACATATTACATTTTTTTCCAAGTTACCTATTGTATTTCAAAGCAAGTAGGTTATTATAAGCAGTTTAAGTTAAAAACCCAAGATCTTACTCTTTAATTGGTGTTCTTTATTCTACTTTTCTATTCTTGTTTATTGCTTTGCAAACTGTACATTTTGGATTTTGTCATTTTTCTAAGTTTAGAATGGATATTTCAATAAATGCTAACAGATTTAATTAATATTATACTACTATATAAAATAAATATATACAATATTTTTATACAGCAAAATATATATTACTCTAGTAATTTTTCCCTGGCATATTTTTCTATACATAAGCATTAGGTTTATTCTCTAAGTTTTGGTTTTTTTGCTAGGCAAATAGAGTGAGATCCCTCAAATAAATGCATATCATTAATATCTCCCCAAACTCTCCACATATTTTGAAATATTAGGGTGAACTCAAGTCAACCTTAAGATTGAATTCCTGTTGCATTAAAATTTAAAATATTTTAGAATTTTATGTTTCAAGAAAACAAAGAAAGATTTTGTTAAATAGACAATACAAGGTTGAATTTTTGAGCATTAAAAGGTGGTAGACTGAGGAGACATTTTAAAACACATATGTTAAAAATCATATTCATAATGAGAACACATGGACACAGGAAGGGGAACATCACACTCTGGGGACTGTTGTGGGGTGGGGGGAGGGGGGAGGGATAGCATTGGGAGATATACCTAATGCTAGATGACGAGTTAGTGGGTGCAGCACACCAGCATGTCACATGTATACATAGGTAACTAACCTGCACATTGTGCACATGTACCCTAAAACTTAAAGTATAATAAAAAAAATCATGTTCATATAAGAAGAAAAATGAAGCTGCTGGAAACCGTGATAATACAGGGACATTAATAATACAAATAAGGTTAAAATCACCACAAGTATATTGACTAGACATGCACAATATAGAAATAGTAGTAGATTTGGTACTAAAGAATATTGCTATATTCCTTATTTGAGAGTTAAAGAAGTAAAGACTGAAAAGTACATCTTAGACATAAAGTTGTTCTTTCTGAGTCTTAAGATTAAACACACTCTCAGAAAAAAACATAAGTGTCAAGGTAAGGACTGAACTGAAAGCTTGATATCTATAAGGGATGGGAAAACAGAATTATTTCAACATATAAGAATTGTTTTTCAATTCAAAGTGGAGAAGCAATAATATTTTTATAAGCCCAAATTGTTGGAGGCATTTTAGCTTCAAAATTACTAAAAGCCAAAGGAATTATTCAAAATTGGAAACTGGGAATAACTATAAAGGTGATTTAAATTGCGAGCCAGAGGAAACTAGCTAATGAGACTACTAATAACTTTTCTCACAGTCTAGACCAGTGGTTTTCAAACTAGGGCATACATGAGAACACACAAAGGGCTTTAAAACACATGTAACTGGGGCTTGACCCCAGAATTTCTGATTCAGAGGCCTGAATGAGGCCTCAGGATTTGCATTTCTGACAGGTCCTCAGGTGGTACTGATGCACCTGCTTTGGAGAACATCATTTGAGAATCTCTAGTCTATATCTTGGTCAGATCACTTGAGGAAATATTTAACAACAAGAGCAGGCATACTTAACCAGGGAGGGTAATCATACTTGTTCTAGGTGAAAAAGGAAAAGAAAGATCCATACTCCTATGTTGCTGCTATCCCCACAGGTACACACATACACAGACACACACAATCTTAAGATGTAAGAAATTAGGTCTACTCATCCAAATGTGGACCAGTGACTGTTATTCACTTTGGAGAATCAGCTAAAATAGCTGATTTGAGATCCAGTTCTTTCCCAATAATCTAGGCTGGGGGACAGGGGCACTCCTCTAAAAAGCAGCTGGCCACCTGGTCTACACGCTTTGCAAACATGGTAATTACTAGCTTTCCTGGAAAATAGACTAATGATATTAAAGGTAAGCCCATATCTTAAGAACTTTTTAGTGAAAGGTTCTTAATTCAGAATTGCTTATGTTAAACAAGCCTACAATGTATGAACTTATAGAACTGGATCCATGGAAAATACAGTAAAATAGGTGATCATCTAGGGGATGATATAAAAATGTTTTATTACCTAAATTTTCCTTCTTCTGTGAGTGATATGAGACCTTATTAGAGACTATGTATATTACCTTGGGTCTCCAATGTGGAAATAAGAACTTAAGAAAACATGTATTTCCCAACTCCTTCCTTTCCACATTATAGATCTTACTCACTATGAGGCTTCACTAATAATTTCAAATATACACATGAAAAGACATGTGTGTTAGTATAAGTGTGTAAGTGTGTTAGATCTGTGATTTGTGTAATTATATTCAATAGTGCAGTTCTTTGTTTTAGCTTACTCACCAACAAAATAATCCACTCATCCGGGTGAGTATAATAAGAGGTTAGAAAAGATAAATAATCTAATTTAAAATGGGAAGAGGATTTGAATAGACATTTCTCCAAAAAGATATACAAGTGTGTAATGAGCACATGAAAAGATACTCATCGTTGTTATCGTTAGCGAAATGCAAAGCAAAACCATAATGAGGTACTATTTTACACCCATTTGAAAAGTATAATGGAATCACAAAGACAGACAATAACAAGTGTTGGTGAAACTGTGGAGAAATTGGAAACATTTACATTCACCGATGGAAATGTAAAAATGTTATAGCCACTTTGAAAAACAGTTATGACCCTGCATTACTACTTATAGGTATACGCCCCAGGTTAAACCAAATCTCCACACACTTATACATACATAAGGAAAAAGCAATGCAACTACTTATACATAAATGTTCATAGCAACAGTATTCATAGTAGTCAAAGAGTTTAAACAACTGAAATGTTTCTATGACTGTATAGTATTACATATTATATAGGTATCACATTTTCTTTATCCAATCCACCATTGATGGGAACCTATGTTAATTCCATGTCTTTGCTGTTGTGAATAGTGTGTGAGGATGCAAAGTATTGTTTCCGGGTATCTGGGTGTTTCTAGGTGTTACCAGAATAGATTAACATTTGAGTCAGAGGACTGGGAGAGGAAGACCCATCCTCAGGAAGAGTCACCGACACTGTGGGTTGGCGCCATCTAATTGGCTGTCAGCGTGGCGAGAAAAAGCAGGCAGAAAAAGGCAGAAGCTGACTCTCTGAGTCTTCCAGCTTTCATGTTTCTCCCGTACTGAATGCTTCCTACCCTGGAACATCAGACTCCAAGTTCTTCAGCTTTTGAACTCTTGGAGTTACACCAGTGGTTTGCCAGGGGCTCTCAGGCCTTCAGCCACAGACTGAAAGCTGCACTGTCAGTTTCCCTAATTTTGAGGTTTTGGGACTTGGACTGGCTTCTTTGCTCCTCAGCTTGCAGATGGCCTATCGTGGAACTTCACCTTGTGATAGTGTGAGTCAATTCTTCTTAATAAACTCCCCTTTATACATACATATATCCTATTGGTTCTGTCCCTCTAGAGAACCCTGCCTAATACAGCCTAGTAATGGGATTGCTGGGTTAAATGGCTGTTCTAGTTTAAGTTCCTTGAGAAATCTCCAAATTGCTTACCACAGTGGCTGGACTAATTTACATTCTCACCAACATTGTATAAGCCTTCCCTTTTCTCTGCAGCCTCACCAGCATCTGTTCTGACTTTTAAATAATAGCCATCCTGACTGGTGTGAACTGACATCTCATTGCAGTTTTAATTTGCATTTCTATTAAGATTAGTGACGTTGAGCATTTTTTCAGAAGTTTGTTAGCCATTTGTATGTCTTTTTTTGAGAAGTGTCTGTTCATGTCCTTTGCCCATTTTTAGTGGGGTTATTTGATTTTTATTTGTTGATTAGTTTTACTTCCTTTTAGATTCTGGATATTAGACCTTTGTCAGATGCCTAGTTTGTAAATATTTTCTTCCAGTCTGTAGGGGGTCTGTTGATGGAAATTCTGTTGATAATTTCTTTAGTTTTGCAGAAGTTCTTTCATTTAATTAGGTCTCATTTTTGTTTGGTTGCAATTGCTTTTGAGGACTTAACCATAAATTCTTTGTCAAGGCTGATGTTCAGATTGGTGTTTCCTAGGCTGTCTTCCAGGATTTTCATAGCTTGGGGTTTTACATTTAAATCTTTAATTCATTGTGAGTTAATTTTTTCATATGATGAAAGATAAAAGTCTAGTTTCATTCTTCTGTATATATGCAGACAGTTGTCCAAGTACTATTAATATTTATCGAATAGAGTCCTTTTCCCATTGCTTATTTCTGTACATTTATTGAGTATTGTTTTAGATCTTGTGACTTAGAACTGAGAGCAAATTGAGGATACTTCCACCTACCCGTGGGGACAGTTGAGTGCTAAATAGCACACTCAGCCATGAAAGAAGATTGAGGCCTGTTTTACAAATCAATAGTGCAATAAAGAGAATTATTTAAAAATCAGTAGACAAACACACATTATATTTTTAATACACTGACCCCAGCCAGCAGTCAGCTTAGCTTAACAGGGTTTTTCTACCTCGTGAAGATCTCCATATCTCACCAATCAAATAAGTTACTTCATTAATATGAAGGAATAAATAAAAGGCCTAAAGGATACTGTCAATTGTTTGCATTGATAATGTACGTTCTTGAGTCTGAAGCAAAGTTTTCTCATTGAAAAATAAGGCTGGAGGTTAAAGATACTGGTTATCTCTAATATATTGTACCAGCATGTTACTTTTAGAAGAGTCATCTTTCTGTTTTTCTGTTATATTTCAACCTATAAATTGTTTGAGGAATGGAGGAACATTGGTATATTGATCTTAGTATAAATAAAGTGTAGCATTTTGTATGTTAAATTGGTGTTTTCCTAGCAATATATCTGCAGCATCTCAATGTCCATGAAACTATCATGATTTATAATGAACTAAGGCCAAAACATCAGTGGAATACCATGCCCAGTAAACCATTTTAATACTCAGCAATTGACTCTATAAGGTTCCTGCTGTTGTAGCAAGATTGCCTATCAACAGCTCTATATCCTCTTCCCCATACAAACTCCCTGCTTACTCATTTCATAGCCCTATCATACTTGGCCAACGCCATAAAACACTGGTGGAAAATGAGGATGCTTATTATAATATAGAATGTTGATTAAGAGTTCTTAATCTCTATTTCTTTATAATCTTTAACAAAGACTTCTCTCCCTATCACAGCTGTTTTTATGATTACACATATCAGCCTCTGGCAAGTTGCCATCACATGGCCTCAACTGCAAGTGGACTGAGAAACGTGAAAGAGTACGTGAATATTTAATGTTATTGTTTCTGCTACAGGCTTCTAGAGGTGGAGTCATAACATGGATACGTGTTTCCTGACTGTTTTCTCTCAGGGAGACTATGACTTGGAATTTTTCTGCTTGCATTCACTTTGCTGAAGTCTGACAGGTATAACCAATCCAATCTATAATTCTTAGATTTTTAATCACTTAAATTATCATATGTTTTTTCATAGAATCTCTTCCTAGGGCTTTTCTTGCAATGCATATGAGCATTACAGAGATCAAAGAATCCATATTTTCAGCTATCCGATTCTGAACTTGAAGTTCCTATAGCTAACGTATTGGATATCTCCACCTGAAAGTCTGAAATATGTTTCAAACTCAGCATGCTCAAAAATAATTAAAGCATTCTCTTGGCCTCACATCTATCCCGTTCTTTCTATTTTTCATCTTACTTAATGGTATTGCCAGTTCTCTAGTTATTCAAGCAACAAACCTAAACATTATTGTTATTTCTTCAATTTTTTTCTCTCTGCACTTCTCCCATTAAATCAATGACCAAGGCCAGCTGATTCTATCTTACTCTATCTCCATCAACTTTCCACCATTCCCACTGCCTCAATCCTAGTTATGTCAATAGAGTCTCTTTCTGTGGTTACTATAGCAGCTTCTTAATTAATCTCCAATCCATTCCTCATGCTACAATTACAGTAACCTTAATGTAAGACAAATATGATCATATCAGTTTCTAATTTCATGACATAGACTCCCAATGCCCTTAAATAAATGTCAAAATACTTAGCATTTACAAAGTGCCTAAAGGCCTGCTTGTCCATCTCCAGCCTCATATCACATACATTTTAGTCATGACTCATCTTCTATCATTTTTCTCAACATTGGTCAGTCTAATTCCTATTCATTCTTCAAGTCTCACCCTCCCTCTCATTTTCCCCAGAAAGCGTTACTTCATTTCTTCATGGAAGGTTAAGTATTTTGTCTATGTATTTCTGTAATCATTCTATCATGGATCTAAGGCATACTTAATTATAATTGGCTACTCTAATTCTTGCCTTGCTCATTATTCTTGAGATTGAATATTATTTCATTTTAACCAAATTTTCAGTTCAATTTAATGTGAATTCTCAAATTAATTTTATTATTTAATTTTAATTTATTTTGAGCCTATACTTTCTTTAATTTGAAATTCTATAGCATACTATTCTTGTTTGTTAAACTGCTAGCTATATTATATTGAACAGCTGCAGTATATACACTGTTGAACAGATTCTCTTACTTACATAGGTCTGCAATTTTAAGTAACAAATATCTTTGAAAAAGTGAGTATTAATATTAACTATTTCAAACATTCTCCACGAATTATTACTTTAAAAATAGCTACAATTTACTCGCAAAAATTAAAAATTAAAAAAATTGCTATGTCAAGATCAATAAAAATAAATGTATCTCATACAATCAATAACCCTGAAAAATAGACTCTACCTTTGTAGTGTTTATGCACAAGTGGAAACATAAAGCACAATATAAATTATTCTTTGAAGTTGCCTCCTTGAATGTATAACAATGGGAAAATTGTATTTTCTATAATAAAAGTGAAAATACAAATTATAATATAAAATATGGTCTATGTCCTCTGTAGTTTAATTATTGTAAACTTTAATATTTATGGTGCCATATACAGGTCCATTCCAATAGTTATTTTGATATAGTTTTTAAAAACATTTTAACATGAATAAATGCCAGATAAACTTTCTGAGATGTATGATGTTCATGACACTGTTTAGTTTTCAAAGGATACTCATTTTATTAATATAAAAATATTCAAAATTGAGAGATATCATTAGTTAAGTGTATACTTGCAAAGTATTAAAATCAAATAAACAAGAAATAGCTCATATATGTAGAAAGCTTGCACTCTTTGTACTTTCTTGTAAAGAGCTACTTCTCAGGTAGCTCTTTAAAATTTTCCTGTAGAATATACTAGAATAATTTTTTTAAAAAGAAAGTGTTATGAGGCATCCACTGTGATATGAGTGCAAATGTACTCAAAAGTTAGGGGAATCAACACTAGGTGATTGATACGGTTTGGCTGTGTCCACATCCATATCTCATCTTGAACTGTAGTTCCCATAATCCCCACATGTCATGGGAGGGACCCAGTGAAAGGTAAATGAATCATGGGAGCAGTTCTTTCCATGCTGTTCTCATGATAGTGAGTTCTCACAAGATCTGATGGTCTTATAAAGGGCCTCTCCTACCTTTTGCTCTGCACCCCTCTCTCCTCCCTCCACATGAAGAAGGATGTGTTTGCTTCTTCTTCTGACATGACTGTAAGTTTCCTGAGGCCTCCCTAGCCATGCAAAACTGTGAGTCAATTAAAACTCTTTCCTTTATAAATTACCCAGCCTCAAGCAGTTCTTCATACCAGTGTGAGCATTAATTAATATAGTAAATTGGTACTGGGTAGTGGGGCACTGCTATAAAGATACCTGAAAATGTGGAAGTGTCTTTGGAACTGGGTAACAGGCAGAGGCTTGAATAGTTTGGAGGGCTCAGAGAAGAAGGTAGGAAAATGTGGGAAACTTTTGAACTTCCTACAGACTTGTTGAATGGCTTTGACCAAAATGCTGGTAGTGATATGGACAATGAAGTCCAGGCTGAGTTGGTCTTAGATGAAGATGAGGAACTTTTTGGGAACTGTAGTAAAGGTCCCTCTTGCTATGCAAACAGCCTGACAGCATTTTGCCCCTGCCTTGGAGATCTGCGAAACTTTGAACTTTAGATAGAGACGATTTAGCGTATGTGGCAGAAGACATTTCTAAGCAGCAAAGTGTTCAAGAGGAAGCAGAGCATACAAGTTTTAAAAATTTGTAGCCTGATGATGCAGTAGAAAAAAATAAATAAAACCACTTTCTGGGGAGAAATTCAAACTGGCTACAGAAATTTGCATAAGTAACAGGAGATGAGTGCTAATCACCAAGATAATGGGAAAAATGTCTCCAGGGAATGCTAGAGAATGTCACAGCAGCCCCTCCCATCAGGCCCAGAGGCCAAGCAGAAAAAAAATGGTTTAGTGGGCTGGGCCCAGGGCCCCCCTGCCGTGTGCAGTCTAGGGACTTGGTGCCCTGTGTCCTAGCCACTCCAGATGTGGCTAAAAGGAGCCAAGTTACAGCTTGGGCCATAGCTTCAGAGTGTGCAAGCCCCAAGTCTTGGCATCTTCCACGTAGTGTTGATCCTGCAGGTGCACAGAAGTCAATAATTGGCCTAATGCTGTACCCCCATTGTATCTATGAAGTAACTAACTTGTTTTTGATTTTACTAGCTCATAGGCAGAAGGAACTTGCCTTCTCTCAGATGAGGCTTTGGACTTGGACTTTTGAGTTAATGCTGGCATGAGTTAAGCTTTTTGAAGACTGTTGGAAGGGCATGATTGTGTTTTGAAATGTGAGGACATGAGATGTGGAAGAGGCCAGGGGTGGAATGATATGGTTTGTCTGTGTCCCCACCCAAATTTCATATTGAACTGTAGTTCTTATAATCCCCATGTGTCATGGGACAGACCTGGTAGGAGGTAATTTAATCATAGGGATGGTTACCTCCATGCTGTTCTCATGATAGTGAGAGAATTCTCACAAAATCTGATGGTTTTATAAGGGACTTTTCCTCCACTTAGATATGCACTTCTCCTTACTGCCTTGTGAAGAAGGATGTGTTTGCTTCCCTTTCTGGCAAGAGTGTAAGTTTCCTGAGGCCTTCCCAGCCATGTAGAACTGTGAGTCAATTAAAACTCTTTCCTTTATAAATTACTGAGCATCAGGTATGTCCTTATAGCAATGTGAGAACAGACTAATACTGTGACGTTAAGGTATATTGAAAGTGGAATAATACTGCAATAGCAATAAAAGGCTTATACCCTGGGCAGGTTGATGCTTTCTCAGGCTGGGCTAGTAGCTCACGGCATGGACAGCTGGGAGTCAATAACAGTTTCATTGTGTATTACTAGGAGTAAAAGTTACTCTAAGAACACAAGCTCAGCATTTTATGGCAGGAATTTTACTTTTGATTCTGAAAGACCATTATTATTGTCAATTGATAAAAAAGAGTTCACAGCAATTGGTACCCTGGAAGACAGAAAAGAGAAGGAAAATGAGAAGAGTTATGAGATAAAAGTATTATTTCCAGAGACAGAATGATAGAGTTAGATATCTGCCTTGTGACCTTATAAAACTTTATTGTTACACTTGCAAGTTGGGATGAAAATAAGCATCCTAATATTCTTAGTATAGCATGGTGCTCCTTAATATCCAGAGAAAATGGGTTCAAATCCTGCCACAAGTCCTGCATGAAACCCAGTGCCCTCTCATTATTACACAACAATTCTCATTCAATTGCTATTTTCTATTCAATCTAGCTCTGATTTCCAGCTTTTGCTGAATTATAAGACTTCTGTGCACAGTGATCTAGTGCTGACCCAATTTGAGTGCAGAAAGTTCTCTTTACTTCCTCTGCTCTATGTCACAAATAATATCACTGAAAAGAAATATTGTTGGCTGTACATTTAAGAATAACTTATTACAGGTGCCGTATGTCAGTACTGTACAGAAAATAATTTTCAAATGACACCAGTTTCCCTGCTCTTAAAAAGGGCTCTTAACCCCCTTTATCAATCCAGGCACCAATCTCCCATCATATTATTTTATTTCTCTTCCTCTCCCCATGTTTCACTGTCTTTTCTCATTTTTAATATGTTACACCTCTGGTTTCCTGTTCACTTTGTAGTAGACAACTTTGCTAAGCATTTTAGAATGTTCTCAAATGCTATGTCCATGAATCCTTAGTTTCTATTCATAAGGGACTTTAAAAATATTTCCCTAACCAAAGAGAGTTACTTGACAAAAATAAACTTTAACTAGCTAAGTCAGAGTTTTTAATCCCAGTAAAAGTCCTCTTCCTAGTGGGCATACTTATTAACTTGGCTTTCTAACTGTAAGTGAATTAATTATAAGAAATTCTTCTCAATTCTGTTCATCTCTGTTCCATCAGTATTTCTCACAATACTTGGCATGCAAGTGGTGCTGAAAAAATGTTGAGACGATAGATGGAAGAATGACTGGTTAATTGAGTAATAAAATGGGCATTAATAAGTGTCCTTTGGGTTATCAAAGATGATCATTCAGTGGAAAAGATTAGGAGTACATTCTAGTTTCAGTCCTTCTCGGAATCAAAGAAAATGAGAATAGCGATTTTGCTAGTAATGTTACACATGTATCTTCAGCATTGATTGTAGTTTCCTGACAAAAACTTTTTGTGTAATAGAAAGAGTAATGTCACTGAGTGTGGAGATCCAGTTCAGTTTTTATGTTGACTATTTAATAGTCTATGTAGAACGTCTAAATTAACATATAGATACCAATACTAAAATAAACTGGGAACTTTATTTTGGAAGTTTTAGATAATTCTGGCATTTGTTGTAATCAACTGCAGGTCTCTGATGCCCTTTTGTTAGCATGAGTTAATTGCTGCTCAAACTTAGAGGACAATTTTAAACAAATTTGTACGCAGCTGCTTTTCTAAAATCAGATTTCTGCAAATATGCTTATGAATATTAATTTTGCTAAATTACAGGGCTTCTAGATTTTCTGTCCACACAAGTTTTACAAGCCTGCTTTACTCTTCCTTAATTAACCTTGATTTCCTATGCCTACAGTTTTTGTTTTTAAGCTGGACGCATGACTTCAGTTCCTCTTGGTCAACCTTACCCGATTGTTTCCCTGCCTACCTAGCCATTTCTTCCTGTACACCTTTTCTTATCCTCATTTGCTTTGCGAATCTAACCACTATTCCTACCTAATAATTCATTTGATCCACACACCTCTTCTTTCTCTTTAATCTCTATTTTACTCTTCCTCCCATTACTCTTTTAAATTCTTTTATATTTATTCTTGTCTACATTTAAATATTTTCCTTTCTCCTACTTACTTGCTTTTGGTGGATTTTTCCCCTTCACAAATAAACAACCAAATAATAGCAGTGCAGAAGTGTTGCTGCATATTTTATTTCATTGGAAATAAAGTTAGTTAATAAAGTATATACACTACTAGAGAAATTAAAAGAAAAAAGGAATCATTTAGTAGGCCTAATATAATCTATATTAAAATCTGCTTCTAAAAGCTTTTACGCAAAATTCTTACTTCACTGATTCCAAAGTAATGTGTATACAAAAGAAGTGCATATTATTAAAAGTTATACATTTAGCTTGACAATATGTAACATTTAGCAAAACGTGGATAACATACTCAACAAAAATTATGAAAGCCTTTAAATGATTATAATGAAACATATTTGGTTTACACAAAGTAGTTAATTTCAGGAAAATAAGTATAAGCATAAGATATATAATAAGGTAGTTGATAATGTCAGGAAAATAGAGCATAGTGCACTCGCTATTGATAAAAAATTAACAATAATACCATTTTACTTAAGAAATTTCTGGAATTCTTGGTATTTTATAAACAAGAGGTTTTAACATTTCTGTTTCATTAGGAAAATAAACAGACACAACTGATTTAGAACCATAGAAGTAAAGCAATTATGTTGTTAAAAATAGCTAACACTACATGAACTTGTCCAAGATGATAATACTTTAGGAGAAAAACATATTAAAATATCTTACATATTCTTGGAGATAGCTTTGATTTATGAGTAGTTTTATGAAACAGCCTTCTTCATGTCAACAACGCAAATGACAAGGCCTGTTTTACAAGGGTATTCTCAAGGAAATTGTAATTCACTGTCGTAGTTTTGTGCAATATTATTGCACAACACATATTTCAAGCAAAAATCATTATGGATGCTAAACAATACTACAATCAGCACTCTATCTAAAATTCCACTTAACTGATCATTTTCTCAGATGTATCTTTTTTTTTTTTTTTAACCAAAAACACTTTTGTTTTGGCATTTGTGGACAAAAAATGTTACTGCAACATTTAACAAACACTCAAGACACAGACTTAGAAATAGCAATATTTGTACCAAAGTATTTTTAACATTATATAGGCAGACTATCCTCGGCAGAAAACACACCCTTTTAGAGGTGTTCAGCATTACATGACCGTTAGACTATGACATTTTACTTACTATTAATGCCACATAAACAGTCAATTAGCTTTGGAGAGTTCTGTAATAATGTATGAAAATTATAGGAAATGAAAACATAAGCAAAGGGCTTTTCATTAATTATACAGCAAAGAATCTGATGTGTAAGATAATGTAGAATGGAAGCATAGCCGAGGAAAATTTACCCAAAGAGAAATTTAACACAGTATTTTATCTTATCTGTCTTTCATGACACTGAATGTTTTCAGAAAATGATTCTAACTTAAAACAAAACTGTTCAGGGGATCCAAAGGCTTACAATAGTTGGTTTCCCATTTTAAGAGGATCTTTGTACAAAGAAGGTAAAGCAGGAAAATAACTTCATTTTTACCAAGAAGTCTTAAAACCCTATCCACTGGGAATATAATTTGATCCCCCTATTGCCTGATGCATTTTATTTTCCTGATTAAAGTACATCAAGCTTTACTAATCAAAACTACTTCTTAATATGATTAAATGTAGAGTAGCATAGATTAATTTTATCATCATCTAATAGTGGTTCAAAGGGTTAAATGTTAAAATCCATTTAAAAATGGCCATTGCTTCAGGTAGTTTACTCTGCACTTTTACTTACTTTGACTTTTCAATATTGTAAACTTTACTTTACTTTTACAATTGTTTTCTAACAACTGTAACCATACAACTTATATTACCTTTCTAGGTTTAGAGACAAAGAAAACACCTTTGAAGAGGAGGGAGAGGATCAGGAAAAATAACTAATGGGTGCTAGGCTTAATAGCTGGATGATTAAATAATTTGTACAACAAACCCCCATGACACATTGACCTATGTAACAAACCTGCACATGTAGACCTGAACTTAAAATAAAAGTTAAAAAAAAGAAAAAAGAAAAGAAAATTTGCGGCCTGGCGCAGTGGCTCATGCCTGTAATCTCTGCACTTTGAGAGGCCGAGGCAGATAGATCACCTGAGTTTGGGAGTTTGAGACCAGCCTGGCCAACATAATGAAACCCCATCTCCACTAAAAATACAAAAAATTAGCTGGGCATGGTGGTGCACACCTGTAATCCCAGCTAATCAGGAAGCTGGGTCAGGAGAATAGCTTGAACCCGGGAGGCAGAGGTTGCAGTGAGCCAAGATCCCACCACTGCACACCAGGCTGGGCAACAAGAGCAAAACTCTGTCTCAAAAAAAAAAAAAAAAAAAGAAAGAAAGAAAAGAAAATTTGCTAGGAAAAAAATAAAATCAAAGACATTTTATAGTATTTATAAAGCCACATGCCAATGGAGCTCAATTCAAATCAGCTCATTTGAAAATAAAAATTTTCCTACAATAGTATCTTATTTAAGTCCATCATATTTCAATGTTTTTGTTAGTAGATATCATATTATTTTAACTATCACTACTTATGTGTCTACCATCATATTCCTAACTTACAAAAAGGAGTTCTATTTTAGCACCCTCTTCTTCAAAAAATATTATTTACATAAGTAGTAATAACGCATATTTAATAAAGGTGATTTAAATTCCCACCAAAAATTATAAAAATGACAACCTGCCTTGTTTTTGCCAGAAATACATTGAGATTAAAAGCCACTAGCTGATATTATCTTTCATTTTAAGTAAATTAATTCAGTAATTTCCACTTACACTACTTGTATTTAATCTCTTGGGCACAGCACATGCTGGTGATAGAAAAACAGTCTCTTTACATTTTGTGGACAAATTTCTTGGATTATGTATTTTAAAATGAAATTAAACTGGGTCAAATACTTGTTTCTAGTTGTTGTATTCTATTAATTTAATAGCCTAAGAAGTTGTGTTTATTTTTTAAGCCAAGAAACAACTTCACTATGCAGTGACTGTAAATAAATGAGGAAAGTAAATGAAGTATATTATATTTGGCTGTGAAGTCATTTATATTTTTATGACAACACAAAGCATCAAGTTAAACCTGTGCATCAGTGATTATTTTTTGGAGGAAGAATTTGGCAGAAACCCAAAGGAAAACTCAAATTATAATAGCTCTTGTCTGAGTTATAACAGTTTCTGTTCAACTGCAAGGCATTTAGTTAATTAGTTGTGATAGAATAAAATGGGAAATCAAATTATTTTATACTCAGAAGCTAGCCCCTATATACAGCCCAGTAGTGGATTTAACAGAGCATTACCAATGGGAGGTAGCCTATTAAATTGTCTCAACTAAACTTTGTTGCTTGCTTTATTTAATTTTAATACTATAAAATTTTCTAAACTCATACTTTGAGTTGCTATGCTTTTAAAACATATATATTATACTAAACATATTATTCTTTGTACATAATTTTATGTAAAGCATATATGACCATTTGTGTATTCCTAAGGCAGTAGGTGCCCTTTGAATATTCATGAGATAATGTCTTAGTTCTACAGGAAATAAAAATCATATACTTTGTAAACTATTTCTTCTAATGTAATCATTCTGAGAAGTATCTCTTCTCAGATGCTTGTAGCAATTATTGCCTTTAGCATTATTTTGATTCTTCCTGTCTTCTATTTTCATTTTATTACTCAAGTTTATAAATTATCTTATTCTATCAAACAAACCCAATTTAAAAGTGTGAAATTATTTACTGCACATAGTTTATTCAAAATATACCTGTGCCAGGATAGCTTGCTGAGTATATAGCACAAAAGTATGTAATTTCAGTGTATTTATGCATGGGATTTAGCTTCATCTCTTTTTATTTTAACTTCTATTTTAGATACGGGGGTACATGTGCAGATTTGTTACGTGGAAAAATTGTGTGATGCTGAGGTTTGGAGTACTAATCCCATCATTCTGGTGGTGAGTACAGTACCTGAGAGATAGATTTTTAACCCATTCCCTTACGCTCTAGTAGTCCACAGTGTCTATTGTTCCCATATCTGTGGCCAGGTATACTCAATGCTTAGTTTCCACTTATAAGTGAGAACATTCAGTATTAGGTTTTCTGTTTTTGTATTAATTTATTTATAATAATGAATATAATCTTTTTAATAATAAAACCTTTTCCTTTGCAGCAACATGGGTGGCTCAACCCACCCATGTTGCTGCAAAGGAAAAGATTTCATTCTTTATGGCTGTGTAGTATTCCTTGTTACATATATACAATATTTTATATATCTAATCTACCATTGATAAACAACTGAGTTGATTTTATTTCTTTGCCATTGTTAATAGCACAGTGATGAACACACAAGTGCATATGTCTTTTTGGTAGAATGATTTATTTTATTTGGATATATATCAAGTAAGGATTGCTGGGTCGAATAGTAGCTCTGTTTTCAGTTCTTTGAGAAATCTGCAGACTACTTTCCACAGTGTCTGGACTAATTTACATCCCCTCAATAGTGTATAAGTGCTTCCTTTACTCCGCGGCCTAGCCATCATTTGATGTTTTTGTATTGTTTTAATAATAGCCACTCTGACTGGTGTCAGATTGTATCTCATTGTGGTCTTAATTTGCACATCTCTGATGATTAGTGTTGTTGAGCATTTTCTCATGTGAGCCACTTGTATGTCTTCCTTTGAGAAGTATCTGTTCACACCCTTTGCCCATTTTTTTTAATGGAGTTATTTGTTTTTTGCTTATAGATTTAAGTACCCTATAGATTCTGGGTATTAAACCTTTGTAGGATGCAGAGTTTGAAAATTTGTTTTCCATTCTTTAGGGTGTCTGCTTACTCTGTTGATCGTTTCTTTTGCTGTACAGAAGCTCTTTTGTTTAATTAGATTCCACTTTTCCATTTTGTTTTGTTGCAGGTGCTTTTGGAGACTTAGACAAAATTATTTTGTCAAGGCCAGTGTTGGAAAGAGTATTCTGTAGGTTGTATTTCAAGATTTCTGTAGTTTGAGGTCTCACATTTAAACCTTTAATCCATTTTGAGTTAATTTCTATATATGGCCAGTCACAGTGACTCCCGCCTGCCTACACAGCACTGTGGAAGGCTGAGGTGTAAGGACCACTTGAGGCCAGAAGTTTTAGACCAGCCTGGGCAACTTAGAGAGACCCCATCTCTAGAAAAAATTAAGAATTAGCTGTGAGTGGTCGCATGCACCTGTAGTCCCAGCTACTTGGGTAGCTGTGGTGCAAGGATTGCTTGAACCTGGGAGGTGGAGGCAGCAGTGAGCCATGACCATGTCACTGCACTTCTGCCTTAGTGACAGAGCTAGACCATGTCTCTATAAAATAATAATAATTTTAAAAAGTGAAAGGTAGCGGCCCAGTGTAAACCTTCTACATATGGCTAGTCAGTTATCCCAGAATCATTTATTGAATAGAAAGATTTTCCACCTTGCTTGATTTTGTTGGTCTTGTCGAAGATCAGATGGTTTTAGGTGTGTGGCTTATTTCTGAGTTTTTTATTCTGTTCCATTGGCCTATGTGTCTGTTTTTTTTTTTTTTTTTTACCAATATCAAGCTGTTTGGGTTACTGTGGCTTTATTGTATAGGTTGACATCAGGTAGTGTGATGTCTCCAACTTCATTCTTTTTGCTTAGGACTTCTTTATCTTCATCTTTGAAAACCAAATCCCCACAATGATAGTGACTTGCAGTTGGTATATTTAGTTAGAAAGAAATTCATTATGTGATGAGTATTTATTTCCATGTTGGAATAAGAAACTTTTTTACTGTGTTTTATAAACACAAAACTAAGTTGCCACAACTCTTAAATATGTAATTTACTAATATTTTTTCCTAAAATATTATTATGCTCATCATTACCTCCAGGGTTATTTAGTTTAATTAACAAGGTGATGTAAAACTATAGAGAAAATTCTGGACCACAATAATTCATATCAAACCAACAACCTGTTTGATTCAGATTTGTAAAAGAGAATTCCATCAATTCCTATTAGCCCAAGCTTGGCAAAACTGCTTCTATTAGTCTAGAATGTTATTTATTGGATTATATATTCATTTTATTAAAGAATGGAGGTTAATTTTATTTTACAAGCAGGACAATTTAGTTTTAATAATCGAAGAGTAAGATCTTCAGTTTCTGAATTTTGGGTCTAAACTATATTAGTCCATGAAACCATATAAGTAATCATTTTACAAGGGTGATGATATCTTCTCTGGAATAAAAATAACAGAAGAAAATTAAAAATGATAAAGCTTAGCCTAAGAATAGGTTATGTTTTCCAATCAACTAAATCTATACTCCAATTACTCTGATTTATATTGGGATAAAAGTCCTTCAAACTATGCATACAGATTCACTGTTCTGTTTAATTGATTCTATAAACAGATTTTTTTAGGAAGAGGTTTGTGATCTGATAGTTAATAAACATTAATATATATCTCAAGAGATTAATATTTCAAGATATGCTCCTTATCAGACCTCAAAGAAAGCATAGCTGTAGTGAGTAGTGAGTAAAATGATTCTTTTTTGATGAATAGAAAAAGAGAAACAAAATTTATCTTCATAATTCTAAAATTATTTTAACACTATTATTTTATTGGATGTCTTATAAATATATATCCATGTATTAAACATGTATTAAATGTACATGTTTTTTAAAATTAATGAAGTACTAGCTTTGTATTTATTACTGTATTTAGTGGTAGCTACTAGTGGTTTTATGAGACCACATTAAAGTCCAGACTTCATATCAAAATCCAGCTAATTTTTATCCTCTAAATTACTTCCTCTTAACACTAAAATTCTACTATTTTACAACTAGTTGCCTTCTATAGTATAAAGCAGAAGAATCTAATATAAAATTATGTATAAATCCATTAACTGCTCCTTGGGGAGATAGCAGCTTCTTAAATTTAGCAGCATCTGTGTTATTTTAATTTTCAACAGGTCATTCATGACAATTATTTTTTATACTTTAAATAATTTATGGTTTTATATCTATTGTAATTCCATTTAACCCATGGAAGAGAGGGAAAGAGGGGAACTAGTACTACATTGTAGTTTTAGCAAACAAATACGAAATGATAGATTATTTCCTTTAAAGTGTCTAGAGAATATATTTGAAGCAAACACTTAAGACAAATGTCAGCATTCCACCAAATGCCTCTGGTCTATCATTTAAAATTGTCCCATTGTCTTCATCTTTAAAACCTTAAAAAAAAAAAAGCAAATAAACTGTAAAACAAAAAAGTCCTAAGACACAAACCTATATTAAAATACTGCTATTTGGCCGGGCCTGGTCAAATAGCCTGTCATCCTAGTACTTTGGGAGGCCCGGGTGGAAGGATCGTTTGAGCCCAGCAGTTCGAGATCAGACTGGGCAATACTGAGAAAACATGTCTCTACAAAAAAAAAATACAAAAATTATCTAGGTGTGATGATGGGAACCTGTGGACCCAGCTACTCAGGAAGCTGAGGTGGGAGAATCACTTGAGCCAAGCTGAGGTGGGAGAATCACTTGTGTCTGGGAGGATCACTCCAGCCTTGGCAACAGAGGGAGACCCTATCTCAAATAAATAAATAAATACAATAAAACAACAACAAAACACCTGCTATTTATCTATTTATTTAGTATTTAATTTTTATTTAGTGTTTAATTTTAATTTTTGAGTACACAGTAGGTGTATATATTTATGAGGTACCTGAGATATCTTGATACAAACATGCAATGTGTAATAATCACATCAGGGAAAATAGGGTATCTATTACCCCAAACATTTATCTTTTGTGTTGCAAAGAATCTAATTATACTCTTACTTATTTTTAAATGTACGATAAATTTTTTTTGCTATAGTCACCCTGTTGAGCTAGAAAATGTTAGGTCTTATTAATTATTTATATTTTTGTGCCCACTAATCATCCCCATTTCCCCCTCACTCCCTCATTACCCTTCCTAGCCTCCAATAATTATCCTTCTACTCTCTATCTCTATGAGTTCAATTGTTTTACATTTTCGCTTCCATAAATGAGTGAGAACGTGTGAAGTTTGTCTTTCTGTGCCTGGCTTATTTGACCTAACATGATGATCTCCAATCCCATCTATGTTGTTGCAAATAACAGGATCTCATTCCTTTTAACAGCTGAATAGTACTCCATTGTTTACATGGACCATGTTTTCTTTATCCATTCATCTGTTGATAAACATTTGCGTTGCTTCCAAATCTTAGCTATTATCAACAGTACTGCAACAAACATCGGAGTGCAGCTGTCTCTTTGATATACCGATTTTATTAATTTTGAATCTTACTTTTTCTCACTAGGATTGCTGTATCATATGGTCTCTATCTTTTAGTTTTTTGAGGAACCCCCAAACTCTTCCCCATAGTGGTTGTAGTAATTTGCATTCCCATTAACAGTATACTAGGGTTCCCTTTTCTCCACACCCTTCCCATTATTTGTTATTGCCTACCATTTGTATAAAAGTAAT
Organism: Homo sapiens; assembly: GCF_000001405.40. Classification (NCBI taxonomy): domain Eukaryota; kingdom Metazoa; phylum Chordata; class Mammalia; order Primates; family Hominidae; genus Homo; species Homo sapiens. The sequence goes on along the minus strand of NC_000014.9, from coordinate 42,676,174 downwards.
TTTAACTGGGGTGAGATAACATCTCACTGTAGTTTTAATTTGCATTTCTCTGATGATTAGTGATATTGATCACCTTTTTATAAACCTGTTTGTCATTTATATGTCTTCTTTTGAGAAATATCCATGCAGATCTTTTGCCTAATTTTAAATTGAATTATTATATATTTTTTTCTGTAGAGTTGTTTGAGCTTTCTTCTATATTCTGGTGATTTGTCCCTTGTTAGATGGATAGTTTGCAGATATTTTCTCCCATTTTGTAGGCTGTCTTTTTACTTTGTTGATTGTTTCCTTTGTTGTGCAGAAGCTTCTTAACCTGATATGATCTCATCTGCCCATTTGTGCTTTGGTTGCCTGTGCTTTTGGGGTATTACTCAATAAATATTTGCCCAGATTAATGTCCTGGAGAGTTTCCCCACTGTCTTCTTTTAGTAGCACAGGATGAGGTCTTAGGTTTAAATCTTTAATCTGCTTTGATTTACTTTTTGTATATTGTGAGAGACACAGTATAGTTTTGTTCTTCTGGATAAGGATATTCTAGTTTCTCAAGACCATTTATTAATGAGTTTGTCTTTTCCTCAGTGTATGTTCTTGGCATCCTTGATGAAAATGAGTTCACTGTAGATGTGTGAACTTATTTCTGGGTTATCTATTCCCTTCCACTGGTTTATATGTCTGTATTTATGCCAGTACCATGCTGTTTTGGTTACTCTATCTCTACAGTACAATTTGAAGTTAGGTAATGTAATTCTTCCAGTTTTGTCCCTTTTTCTTAGGATAGTTTTGGCTATTCTGGGTCTTTTGTGGTTCCATATAAATTTAGTGAAGGTGTTTTTCTCTGTTGGTATAATTTAATTTCTTGCTTTTTATTTTTTGTGTCCTGTCTGATATGGTTTGGTTGTGTCCCCACTCAAATCTCATCTTGAATTGTAGTTCCCACAATCTGTATATGTCATGGGAATGACTTGGTAAAGATAATTGAATCATGGGATATGTTTTCCTCATCCTGTTGTCATGAAAGTGAGTTAGTTTTCAAGAGATCTGTGGTTTTATAGGAGGCTTCTTTATTTGCTAGGCACTCATTCTTCTCTCTCCTGCCACCTGTGTGGAAGGACATGTTTGCCTCCTCTTCCACCATGATTGTAAGTTTCCTGAGGCCTTCCCAGCCATGTGGAACTGTGAGACAATTAAACCTCTTTCCTTTATAAGTTGTCCAGTCTCAAGTATTTCTTCGTAGCAGCATGAGAAGGAACTAATACAGTAAATTGGTACTGAGAGTGGGGTGCTGCTATAAGGAATGTGGAAGCAACTTTGGAACCAAGTAACAGGAAGAGGGTGGAACAATTTGGAGAGCTCAGAAGAAGATAGGAAAATGTGGGAAAATTTGGAACTTCCTAGAGACTTGGAGGGCTCAGAAGATGGGAAGATATGGGAAAGTTTGGAACTTTCTAGAGACTTGCTAAATGGCTTTGACCAAAATGCAGATAGTGATACTGACAATGAAGTCCAGGCTGAGGTGGTCTCCGATGGAGATGATGAGTAACTTGTTGGGACCTGGAACAAAGGTGACTGTTGTTATGCTTTACTTAAGAGGCTGGCAACATTTTGCTCCTGCCCTAGAGATGTGTGGAACTTAGAACTTAAGAGAGATGATTTAGGGTACCTGGTGAAAGAAATTTCTAAGTAGCAAAGTATTCAAGAGGAATTAGAGCACATAAGTTTGGAAAATTTGCAACCCAACAATGTGATAGGAAAGAAAATCCCATTTTCTGGGGAAAAATTCAAGCCTGCAGCAAAAATTTGCATAAGTACTGAGGAGCTGAATGTTAAACACCAAGACAATAGGGAAAATGTCTTCAAGGCATGGCAGAGACTTTCATGGCAGCCCCTCCCACAGGCCCAGAGGCCTAGGAGGAAAAAAATGGTTTAGTGGGCCAGGCCCAGGGCCCCATGCTATATGCAGCCTCCAGACATAGTGCCCTGCATCCCAGCTGCTTCAGCTCTAGCTGTGGCTAAAGGGGGCCAAGGTACAGCTCAGGCCATTGCTTCAGAGAGTACAAGCCCCATGCCTTGGCAGCTTCCATGTGGTGTTGGGCCTGCTGGAATGTTCAGAAGTGATTCACTTTTGTGAGTTTGTCTTGTGTCCTGCAACCCTGCTATAGTCATTTACTAGTTCCAAGAGGTTATTTAATATATTCTTTTAGGTTTTCTACATAGATAATTATGTTTTCTACAACCAAAGACACTTTTATTCCTTCCATCAATCAAGATGTATATTTGTTATTTCATGTTTTTCTTGTTGCATCAGCTAGGGCTTTAAGCACAATGTTGATTTCTTAGCAGGATTTCTTAGCAGGAAATCTTTGTCCTGCTAAGTTTTTCACCCTAAGTATGCTGTTATTTGGTTGAGGCGGAAAAATATTTTTATACATTATTAGATTTTCTAATATCTTGTTGAAAATTTTTACATTTATCTTTGTGAAATATATTGGCTTGTTCTTGTCACTTTTTAAAAACTTTCCTGTAATGTCTTTGCCTAGATTTGATATAAGGATACAGCTGACCTCATGGAGTGAGTTAGAAGTGTTCTCTTTGCTTCTGTTTTTTCTAAGAGATTGTGGAGAACTGGTATAAGTTATTCCTTTGATGTTTTGTGGAATTCACCAGTGAACGCATCTGGACCTGGTACATTTTGTTTTTCAAAGCTATTGATTATTGATTCAATATGTTTAATAGACATAAGCCTATTAAGACTGTCAGTTTCTTCTTGCATGAGTTTTGGCAGATTGTGCCTTTTGAAGAATTGGTCTATTTTACCCAGGTTTTCAAATCTTGGACATAAAACTTCATAATTTTGTTTTACTCTTTTTGTCTTTATAACATCTGTAGTGATGTGTGCTCTTTTTGATATTAGTAATTTGAATCTTTCTCTTAGCTAGCATGACTAGAGGCTTATCAATTTTGTTGATCTTTTCAAAGAAGCAGCTGCTGGTTTTGTCGATTTTCTCTATTAATTTCTTATTTTTGATTTCATTGATTCTGTCCCAATTTTTATGTTTAATCTTATCTTTACTTGAAGTTTAATTTGCTCTTCTTTTTCTAGTTTTGTAAGGTAGAATCTTAGGTTACTTGTTTTAGATCTTTTTAAAAACATGTGTAATCAATGCTATACACTTCTCTTTATGTACTGCTCTCACAGCATGCCAAAATTTTGATATGAATTATCTTTGAATATTTCTTTACATCTTTGTATATATTATGGATAATTTATTCATATCTATTTTTTCTCAATTGTAAGCCACTGGTTATATTATTTTATTTTTATTTTGTTTTAAATTTCTTCATGTTTCATATGATGTTTTTACAGATCTTCTTGGTTATTTTTCTTATTCATATTTTTAATCTTTTTTTATTTTTTATACTTATTTTATATCAAAATCTGGTGATTCAGGTGTGTGTTGCATCTGCTGGCTCATCTCATTATTTCAGCATTAAAGAAAGAAACGAAGAAAATCTGGCCCTTCATTTTGTAGGTTAGGATTAGGCCCATTGATAGCCCATTCATTTTAAATGTTCTTATACTTGCTTGCTTAATCTTTATTTCTAGTTCTACTGCCTTCTGATATATTAGTTGAATAGCCAAGTGCATAAGAGTTCAGTATATGGCTTCAGGTCAAGAACCGGCAGTAGCTGCTGTTGTTTTTGTTGTTTTCTACCTTTATGTCTTTTGGCTTTCAGGTGCCACTCTATTTTGGCCTCCAGGGATTTATTCTTTTACATCTCTGCATTAGATTTTAATCCGGTAAATATTAAGTCTTTTATTATTTGTATTTTAGCTATTTTCAAGGAGAGGTTTAGTCATCATCTCTAATGTACAATATTGCTGAAAAATTAAATATCATGTTGCCATTTAGCCTCTGAATCATATAATAGTTTCTGGCTCTGAGACTATAATACTAATTTGTACACATGTATTCCTTAGATTCCTTTATCCACATTTTTGTTTTCATTTTTTAGAAGATCTTCAATTAGATTAATTTGAATGGACTAGCTGTCCTTAAGTCTTTTTGTGAATAGAAGATAGACATTTTCCCCAATAGAGCTATAATTCTGTAGTTATATATTAAAAATATAAATGCTTCATTTTGAAATAATATCCAATTTTCATCTTCCTGTCTCTTACAATTTGGTACATATACTTATACATCTGTCTGGGCATCTGTTTTCTGTAGAAAATCCCTTTACAATTTCTTTGGATACAGCCATCCTTCCCTTTGGCATTGCCCAACCTTAAACCATATGAGAGGAGATGACTAAACCCAGAATGAGATGATGTCCATATCAAGCCACAGGAACTATATGTCACAAATTATCTTATTCATTTAACCTTTGGCAATATATTTTTTGAGTGAATGTATCTAAATGCAAACTTTTAAAGCTGACTCATCTGAGATCTGTGCCCTGTGGTAGGATTTCAGAATTCCCATTGCCTTGTGCCATTACATTGATTATGTTAGCAAGGTAATAATTTACTAGTACATTCTTTTCACTTATTTTTAAGCTGCTTTCTTTATTAATAAAAACTCTTTTGATATTGGCAAAAATATCACCTTAAAACGGCTTAAATTAAATAGAACAATGGAAGGAAGGAAGGAAGGAAGAGAGGGAGGCAGGGAGAGAAGGAGGGAGGGAGGGAAGAAGAAAGGAAGACATTTATTTGCTCATATGCATGAAAAGTCTCAGCTATGGAAAGGCCAAGGGCCTCAAACCACGGTAGTAGGACACAGGGTGTTTCTCTGAATGGTAACCTTCTCTATGTTAGCTTTATTTTCTAGAAAGCTCTATAAAAGAAGTTTTTAGATAGACAAAATGTATTTTTCCAGATAATATTTTAAAATGTCCTGGGAAGATTGTAATGAAAATAATCAAGTTATTTGCATCCCAGAACATGTGTGAAGAGAGACCCTTAGAAAGCCTAGACTGTTTTTCAGGAATCTACAAGGTAGAGTGTGAACCATCCCAAATCACATGGACTAAGATTAATAGTGCTTCTTCAAAAGGAAATATCAAATCCAAATGGAAGGGGAAGAGATAAAATGTTAACCACAAATGACCATTGTACTTTATCTCTTGTTTTTTGTTAAGCAAAGAACATTAACTAAAAAATAACTTAACATTCATGTGTATTTATTTTGAAATCCATCCGTGTGAACATGTACACAAAATGTTATCTCTAATGATATTTAATTACTATTTTCAGGAAAGAAAAATAAGAATGCAAAGCCCAAAACACAAAATACATTCTACTTCATTTGCATGTGTGTGCTTTTTCCCAAGGGCTGCCATGTCATCAAACAAGCATCATGATAATTTATGTCATTAGTTGAAAAGAAGATATAAGAGTAAATAGTTGAATATATTAATTGAAACATAGAATTTCAATACGCAACTAAATTCAACTTAGAAGAGTGCTTTTATCCTTACATTTAGAAGATGATGTTTTTCATCAAATCTGGCATTGTCTACTGTTAATTTTGGGGAAGCACGTTACTAAATGCTGCTCATGCTATGAATTTTTTTCAATGACTTCTTTAAAGTTTCTATTTGATTTTTTGACCAAAAAATTTGTCAGTTCATTTTCTTTCCTTAATAATTAACTGAGAAACCTCTATCTTAACCATTTTCTGCATTAAAAAAATAATTTATTAGCTAGAGAATTTCAAACTATTTACCTGGCCTGTGTATTTAGAGTAGACATTGTTACATATTTAGAAGTGTGTAGGTTTTGGAAACAGACTTATCTTTGAATCTTTTGAAATATAAATTTGTCATTTAAAATTGTGCTATTTGGAGCTGGAAGTGTTACTTTCCTATGCCTCCATTTCTTTATCTGGAAAATGAAGTTCATACATTTACCTCACAATGTTGTCAGAATAAACTGAATAGGATATTTAAAACATTTAATAATTATGTCTAACAGAAATCATTAAAAAATGTTTTTCCTCTATTTGAATTTATTATTATATCTTTACCTCTTCTTTTCTACACATAAATACTCAACTCTACAAACTTCAACTGCAATAGGTTGCCCACCATTATCTATAGTTCCTGGTCTCTATGATATGGATTGAGACATTACCTTGTAGGGAATACACAGGGAACTCCTGCTTTATCTTCAAGGGCCAGTTTTAAAGTGTTTATGTAGCATTTCCACTTTTACCCTTCAACCAAAACAAATCAATCACTTCCCCCTTTGTCCTCTATAACCACTGTTAAGCATTTACCAGATCATTGCTTGTTTTGTAATTATATTATGAATATCTGTCTCCTTCAGCATATTTAATCATGTGAAGAGATTATAAATAGGTATTTATAATCTTTAAGTACAATCAACACCTCATTACCTTAGAAGTAAAAGTATGGCAGCAAGGAATTGCCCTTTTAAATATCTTAATGTATAGGAAGAAAATCACAAGTAAGAATACTAATAATTTTGACATGTAAAACTGAAATCCTAAATGTATCTGCACTAATGATAGTTTTCAGTTCTATCAATTTTTGCTTTATATATTTTGATAGTCTGTCATTAGATATATAGATATTTATAATCATTATATTCTTTTATTCTTTGAGCCTTTTACTAACATTTAATGTCCTTTTTTCTTGTAAACTTTTAAATTTAATGGGTTTTTTTGATATTAGTGTACCCCTGCTCTCTTTTACTTACTATTTGCAAGGGATAACATTTTTTAAATTTTAACTTTGAACCTATTTGTTTATTTGGATCTAAAGTGAGTCTCTTGTAGTCTCTTTTACTTACTATTTGCAAGGGATAACATTTTCTAAATTTTAACTTAGAACCTATTTGTTTCTTTGGATCTAAAGTGAGTCTCTTGTACACAGCAAATAGATGGGTTACGTTTTTATCAATTCCATCTCTGTCTTTTGATTGGAGTGTTTAATCCATTTACATTTAAAGTAGTTACTAATAATAAGAGACTTACTTTCATTATTTTGCAATTTGCTTTTGATATGCCTTATAACTATTTTGTTCCTCATTTCTTTCATTACTGTCTTCTTTAGTGTTTAAATATCATAGTCTAATTTTCTTTCTCATTTTGTGTTGTGTATATATTCTACAGGTATTTTCTTTGTGGTCACCAATGAGATTACTTTATATCCTAAAGTTATAACACTCTAATTTGAATTTATAACAGTTTAACTTCAATAGCATGCAAAAAACTCTGCTCAATAACTCTATTAACCACAATAATATAAAAAAACTTTAATGTTATATTTTATGCTTTGTGATTTTTTTTGTTGAAAACTACACATTTGGATCTAATATAATAATTCTGGGAATCAGAGTATGCTCTGATAAAGTTTGCTATTTTTTGTTATTTTTGTTTTTCTTTTGTTTTGCTTTTGCTTTGATGTTTTTTTGCAAAACTGTTTTTAGACTGACTCTGTGCCATGGAGCAGCCTGAGGTGTAAATTTAAGGTCATAAGGTCTATTCCGGTCTTTTCTGAGCAGCACCTTTCCTTGAACTTTCAAGATCATTTTCTCTTATATGCAGCTGCTTTTGCAGTTGAATGTCCTACTTTTTAATGTTTGACTCACATAAGGGGAAAAAGAGAAAAGTGAAGACAGAGAAAAGAGTGCTGCTCTTTTAAATCCCCTGGAAGTTACTTCACCCAGAAGGGGAGGGGTTTTCAACAATATGGAAGGTACAACAGTGGCTTCTCACCTATTTGTATCTATGTGATACAAAACACCAGTCAACTATCAGAACACAGATCTCCTGTATTTGGAGGACAGGGTAATTTTTTGCCCACCCTGGCTTTCACAAACTGTGTGTAGGTTACTTCAAGAATACATGCACAGCTGTCTGCCCTGGGGCTGAAGGTAGATAAAAGGTAATTGCTATTGTGGTAAGAGTTAAAATAGTCTGAAATTAACTGTAATTTACCATCCAAGCCATCTACTGGAACTTGCAGGTCATCAACAGAGTTCCAAAGTACCTGCATCACACAGATACTCCCCATGCAATAGTTGTGTGTCGGGGGAGACAGATATACTTCCTACTCCTCCATCTTAAGAGAATCCCCCTACTCTATTTTTATCCCCCCTATTAATATAGAATCACTCAAAGCTCAGTTCTATACCAATTTATCTTTATATACATCACCATCTATGGCTGCAAATATATTCTATGCACAAATATATATCATATATATCTCTAGTTTACCTCTCTCCTTTAATAACCCCTGCCATATAATAATCACTATATTAGCATTTCATGGTACTATTGATATCTCCTTACTTTTAAGAGGCTCCTGGGACTAACAGAAACAGTGGAATGTTTTTAAAAAAACTTTTCAAATGTATCAAAGAACAAAATTTTTTCCTGCCTCATACTAATTATGTGAACTTACACAAGTAATTCAGCTTCTACTGACCTTATCTGTTACCTTATCTGTATGCAAATGCAGGAACTGCATTATTAAATAATCTTTAAGGTCCTTTCAGCTCTCAAGTTTTACTATTCAATTGCAGCTGGCTGGCTCAATGATCTCGGTATTGATATTGATAATAAGCAAATCACGTTTTATCATAAATGGGTGTCAGGCATGTCATTTATATAGATAACAAAAATTAGGTACTTTATAATAATCTTAATGCCACCAAATATATGCTCAGAAATTGACTTAAGAAGGAAAGAAAGTGAACTAGAAAAGAAATAAGCTAGTGAATGAAAGAGTTAAACAGAAATGTTAAGTTTCAAGAAAGCTGGTTAAATATATCAGAAAATAAAATATATAGCTAGGAATCATAAAGTACAGAGAAGATGAAAACAGAATACTAAGAATAACATAGGAAGATCAACAAAGATCCCAGGGATAAACTAGGGCTGCAGAGAAGCGTCTCACTTCTGTTTACCCTGGTGTCAAAAGAAATGGCTGCATATTGTAAAAGGACAATTGAAAATAAAGTTTCTTACTTCATACTGTCCTCTAGGACATCAGTCCCCAACCTTTGGACACTAGGGACTAGTTTAACGGAAGAAAATATTTCCATGGACCAGGGTGGTGGATGGTTTGGGGATGAAACTGTTCTACTTCAGAAGATCATCAGGCATTAGATTCTGATAAGGAGTGTGCAACTTAGCTCTCTTACATGCTCAGTTCACAGTAGGGTTTGCACTCCTATGAGAATCTAATGATGTCACTGATCTGACAGGATGAGGAGCTCAGGCTATAGTGCTCACTCACCCACCACTCACCTCCTGCTTGGCAGCCCGCTCCTAACAGGACGCGAAACAGTACCATTTCACAGCCCAAGGGTTGAAGACCCCTGCTCTACATACTTCTTTCACAGCTGCAAATTGAAATCTTCCGGCTGATACAATTTAGGACAAAAAAAACCACACACACACACACACACACACACACACTTTTTAGCAACAGTGTCTTCCTAGTCATTGTTCCATGCTCTGAGTTTTTTTCCTCTAGATTTTTACATACCTCTTTCTATACGAATCTTTAAACTATAAATAATGAGGCATATAACTACTTCTACATACTAAAAAAAAGATACAACATTCCCCTAAAACAAGATTAAATGCACAACTGAAGTATGAAATAATTCCTAACTCATCACTGAATTTAATAAATTAGGCTGTACCATTTTTGTAATATTGTATTATGACAATGCAGGACTCTAAATTGAGAGATATAAGTAGACATAATATAGAAGCAAAGTAGAATCTAGTATAAAGTATTCATTCTTTCATTCACTCATTTATTTATAACTGCAACTCACTCTTGTTGCCCAGGCTGGAGTGCCATGGTGCAATCTCCACTCACTGCAACCTCCCCCTTCTGGGATCAAGCAATTCTCCTGCCTCAGCTACCCAAGTAGCTGAATGAGTGAATGAATGAATGAATAAATGCTCTAATTAAGGATTACAAATATGGTTATTATACAGTTCTGTCCACAATAAATAGGGTTGAGTAAGGAACATAGATGTAAAACTAATTACATTGCAACAAATATACACATGAAAAATAGTGAGGACACAATATTTTCAAGGGATTTCACAAAGGTTATAACATTTTAATAATTATTCTTTTAAATCTAGTGGATGATATGTGGTTAAAGAAATTTTGAGTTTAGAGAGAGCATCTAGGAAGGAGTAATACTAGGTGTTAAGAGACTGGGAAAAGACGTTGAACACCATGTTCCTGAAATGGCACGTAGTTTGATAAAGATTGACTGCAAGTTTTCTATTGCTGCATTAACAAATTACTACAAACTTAGCACTTAAATGAACAAAATATTGGCTGGGTGGAGTGACTTTACCCTGTTATCCCAGTACTTTGGCGGGCCGATGCAGGCAGATCACCTGAGGTCAGGAGTTCAAGACTAGCCTGGCCAACATGGTGAAACCCCATCTCTACTAAAAATACAAAAAATTAGTCGGGCGTGATGGCAGGCACCTGCAATCCCAGCTACTTGGGTAGCTGAGGCAGGAGAATTGCTTGATCCCAGAAGGGGGAGGTTGCAGTGAGTGGAGATTGCGCCATGGCACTCCAGCCTGGGCAACAAGAGTGAGACTCCGTCTCAAAAAACAAAAACACAAAAAACAAAAACAAAAAACAACAAAATATTATTTCACAGATTCCTTGCATCCTGTGTCTGGGATATTTTATCTCAGGGGATCAAAAGGCTGAAATCTAGGAATCACTAAATTGTATTCTCATCTAGAGGCTCAACTAAGGAAAGATCTTCTTCTGATCTGCCTTATACTGTTGGCATAAATTAATTGCTTGCTGTTGTAAGACTCAGGTTTCTATTTTCTTGCTGGCTGTTTGCCAAGGATTAGTCTCAACTGCTAGGTACTGCTCTCATTTCCTTGTCATGTGGTTCTTTCATCTTTGAAGCTAGCAACAAAGAATCTCACTCCTGTCAAATTCTTATCTTACAGATAATCCTACTCACTTTCAATGCTCACCTGGATAGGTCAGGACCACCAAGGTAATCCCCATTTTAATTAACTGAAAGTCAACTAATTAGTGACATAGTTAGAGGAATGATTCCTAACTAGGAATCTCTGTTACACTACAGGGCCAAGTTATTTTTGTGGCTTTTGAAACACTTTGTCCACATGCATAGGGCCTCACTCTACGACCCTTTTAGGACCTTACCTACTTGTTTGTTTGTTTGTTTGTTTGTTTTGAGTTAGCATCCTTTTGGAGGAGGGAAAATTCTTCCTTTGCCATTTGTGAGCCCTTATCCCAAGTCCCAAGTCCTCCAAAGGTTCCTCCTTTACAACAAGAGGGCAAATAAATGTTGACCTTTTGAATACAAGGGCTGCTATTTTTGTGAGCATGTAAAGGATTTCCCTTGGTATCCATATTGCTTCCTCTAACTTCCTCCTGTAGCAGAGGGATTTACCTGTTTGCTTAAGCATTTGTTCTGCATATTATCCCTGGAGGATGAAGAACCCCAAATACAAATTTTCCTTCATTTCTTTAATCATTTCCATGCCCTTCTCAATAAACATCAAGACTTTCAAGGTCATATGCAAAGGGAGGGAAGTCAAGCCCCCTTGCAGCAGTTGGCTGAAAAAAGAGGCTTCTTGTCTACTTAAAAAACACAGGAATCTGGAAAAAGACATAATCCTTTTGTTGTTGAATGTTCTGAGAGTCACTATAAGGTCATGAAGACAATGATATAGGCTGGCCCAACGCTGCAGGAACAAAAGATAAAAGTCCCCTTAGGACAGAGACAAAAGCTGGCCCCAGGACATATTAACATTAGAACAGAGATAAAGGCAAGGTCAGGGGTAAGACCATTTTATTTCAGAACTCCAAGGATGAATAGGATGTCCCCTATTTACTCTGGTATCTCCTCTGTTCTCAAGTGGGTAATCATGACAAGATGGGACCAAGGATAAGGGTATGCAGTAAGACTGTTTATTCCAGAACCCTAAGGACAAATGGGGTGTGCCCTATTCAGTAAACGATAATAGAAAAATAAGATGGGATGCCTTCTTTTTCTTTTTTTCCTCCTCTGTTCTCTCTTTACAGATGGGAAATCACACATCCATGCTGCGGAATACACCCCTCGGATACATCCTCAACAACTGGAAGAAGTTTGGCCCCAAAACTCTAATATGAAAAGGGCTAATATTTTTTCTGTAATGCATGCTGGGTTGAATATAAGCTCTGGAACCAGGAATCTTGGCTAGAAAATGGAAGAATAACTTTTAATACAATCTATCAACTAGATTGCTTTGTCTCCAGAAAGAAAAATTGACAGAAATTCCCCATCTACAGACCTTCATGGCCTGAAGAGACAACCCTGACCTTTTTCAGGCTTGCAAAATGGATCCAGCAATGGTAGAAACCATGGTCAGGCAGCTTCTTTGGTTGGCTCAGGAAACCTCTTATTGGGTTTACCCAAAGTTCAAGCCCTGGAGGAACAAAGAGCACAGCCAAACCCAAACCCCACTGTTCCTTCTATCCCATTATTTCTAAGTATCTGAGCCCTAGACCCTTCCCCTCTGTACCCAGGACCATCCTCTATACCACTCCCTTAAGTTATGCCCCCTTCAAGAGGTTAGTGACCCCAGTGGACCCACTAGAGTCCAGACCTATTCATTATGCAAAACCTGAGCCAAACTAAAATGGAACTAGGGAAGTTTATGAAAGTCACTGACAAGTACATCAAAGGGTTCTGTAAACTGGCCTGCACATTTGAACTCGTCTGGAGGGATATCTCAGTCATACTAGAGAAGCCTCCATGTAAAGGAGAATGTGACTCCATTATGGAGGTGGCTCAATAATTTGTAAATGCAATGCATATGACTAACCTTGGTGGCTACCCTGTAGGGGGCCATCACGGTTCCCCAGGTTGACCCAGTTGTGATCACAATACTGAGGGGGTATATGGAGAAGGAACCACATGTTCCTGTGTTTGGTAGAAGAAATGAAAGCTAGAAGAGCAAAGCCTGTGAATTATAATAAATTGGTCTTAATAGATCAAGCCCCTCTTGAAAACCCCACCACTTTCCTAGAGACGCTACAAGAGGCCCTAGTGAAGCATACCAAACTAAACCCAGAGAAACCAGAATGGAAATTGATCCTAAAGAACCATTTCCTAACTCAGGAATCCCCAGGTATTTTGGGGATTCCAAAACCTAGCACTGGGCCCCAACACTCTTATGCCTGAAATCCCCAAAATAGCTTCCTCAGTCTTTTACAACCAGGACCAGGAGAAAAAGCAAAGAAGTCAGAGAAAGGAAAGGTGGAAAGAAAAGCAGCATCTCTAAATATTGGCTGCCTTATAAGTCCACCAGCCCCTCCAGGTTGCCCTCAGAATTCCCTCCTAGGTAACTGCCATTATTTCTCTCCCCAGTGAACTGCCCCTTTTCATATACACCAAAGAAGAAATAGACTGGGGCACCCAACATGGGTGTAAAGAAAAAAAATCAATGATTGGTGCAATTTAGGAGAACTCCTCCATCTACCTTAAAGTCTCCCAATAGAAAGTCATCAGGAGTTACAAGACTACTACCATCTTGGAAAGAAGAGTCCAGGACAAATTTGTAAATGGGTATTCAGTGGGAAGTGACTGAACAAAACCATTCAACAGATTTGTCAAGCCTACATGTTATGAACCATAAATAATCCCCAGAGAGGGAACCCCTCTCACTAATAAGTCCAATTCAAAGGACAGATACAAAAGCTTAGGAGACCTGGCAGATGAACTTTACCCAGCTCCCTGAATGCTGCAGGTTTAAGTACTTCTTTGTCTGTGTATATACCTTCACAGAATGGGTAGCAGCCCACCCCACAAGGGCTGAAAAGACACAGGAGGTAACTAAATGCCTCCTAAAGGAACTTATTCCCTTCTTTGGGTTCCCCAGGTCATTGCAGAATGACAATGGTCCACCCTTCATTTCCCAAGTAACTCAATAGGTTAATAGTGCTCTAGGTATAAAGTAGTACCTTCACTCTTCCTCGAGACACCATCTTCAGGAAAAATGGAAAGAACTTACCAAACCTCAAATGCACCCTTAATAAACTCTGTTAGGAAACAGCATAGCCATGGGTGGATCTCCCTCACATCCATATTGCCCCTAAGGCTCCCTTGCAATTAAGCCCCTTCAAGGCCCTATATAGCAAGGCATTTCTAAAGTTGGACTTACTACTTGTATTAGTCTATTCTTGCACTGATATAAAGGACTACCTAAGACTGTGTAATTTATGAAGAAAAGAGGTTTATTTGATTCATAGTTATACAGGCTTAACAGGAAGCATCACTGAGAGGTCTCAGGAAACTTACAATCATGGCAGAAGGTGAAGGGGAAGCAGTCATTTTCTTTACATGGCAGCAGGAGAGAGAGAGACAGAGAGAGAGAGAGAGAGACAGAGAATACCACACACTTGTAAATCATAGATCTCTTGAGAACTCACTTATTATCATGAGAACAGCAAGGGGGATATCTTCCCTCATGATCCAATTGCCTTCCACCAGATCCCCCTCCTCCAATTCAACATGAGATTTGGGTGGGGACACAAATCCAAGCCATATTATTCTGCCTCTGGCCCCTCTCAAATCTGATGTCCTTCTCACATTGCAAAATGCAATTGTCCCTTTCTAACAGTCCCCCAGTCCTTAACTAAAAAGCCCACAGTCCAAAGTCTCATCTGGAAAAAGGTAAGTCCCTTCCACTTATGAGCCTGTAAAATCAAAAACAAGTTAGTTTCTCCAAGATACAAAGGGTTACAGACATTAGGTAAATGCTCCCATTCCAAAAGGGAGAAATTGGTCAAAACAAAGGGGCAACAGACCCCATGCAAGTCTGAAACCCAGCAGGGCACTAATTAAATCTTAAAGCTCCCAAACAATCTCCTTTGATTTCATGTCTTACATCCAGGGCATGAGGATGTAAGATCTGGGGTCCCAAGGTCTTGGGCAGCTCCACCCCTGTGGCTCTGCAGAGTACAGCCCTTGCAGGTGTTTCATGGGTTGGCACTGAGTGCTTGAGGCTTTTCCAGGAGCACTGTGCAAGCTGTTGGTGAATCTACCATTCTGAGGTCTGGAGGACAGTGGGCCTCTTTTCACAGCGCCACTAGGCAGTGCCCCAATGGGGACTCTGTGTGGGGGCTCCAACAGCCCATTTCCCCTCTGCACTGCCCCAGTAGAGGTTTTTGATGAGGGATCTGCCCCCACAGCAGACTTCTGCCTGGAAATTCAGGCATTTCCATACATCCTCTGAAATCTAGGCAGAGGCTTCCAAGCCTCAACTCTTGCCATCTGCAGTCCTGCAGGTTTAACACCACATGGAAGCCATCAAGGCATGGGGCTTGCACCCTCTGAAGCAACATCCCAACCTGTTCCTTGGCCCCTTTTAGCCATGGCTAGAGCTGGAGTGGCTAGGATACAGTTTGCCATATCCTGAGGCTGCACAGAGCAGTGGGGCCCTGGGCCCAGACCAGGAATCCTAGGCCTCCAGGCCTGTGATGGGAGGGACTGCCACAAAAGTCTCCAACATGCTCTGGAGACATTTTCTATATTGTCTTGGCTATTAACATTCAGCTTCTTTTTCCTTATGCAAATTTCTGCAGCTGGCTTGATTTTTTCCCTAGAAAATGGGTTTTTCTTTTCTACACAGCTCACTTTTGTTCGTAACTGTCATTTATTTATTTATTTATTTATTTATTTATTTATTTATTTATTTATTGATGGAGTCTCTCTGTCGCCCAGGCTGGAGTGCAGTGGCGCAATCTCAGCTCACTGCAAGCTCTGCCTCCTGGGTTCACGCCATTCTCCTACCTCAGCCTCCCAAGTATCTGGGACTACAGGTGCCTACCACCACGCCCGGCTAATTTTTTGTATTTTTAGTAGAGACAGGGTTTCACCGTGCTAGCCAGGATGGTCTCAAACTCCTGACCTCATGATCTGCCTGCCTTGGCCTCCCAAAGTGCTGGGATTACAGGCATGAGCCACCACACTTGGCCTTTTTTTTTTTTTTTTGAGATGGAGTCTTGCTTTGTCACCCAGGCTGGAGTGCAGTGGCAGGATCTCTGCTCACTGCAAACTCCACCTCCTGGGTTCATGCAATTCTCCTGCCTCAGCCTCCCGAGTAGCTAAGATTACAGGCATGCATCACAATGCCAGGCTAATTTTTGTATTTTTTGTAGAGACAAGGTTTCACTATGTTGGCCCGGTTGGTCTCAAACTCCTGACCTCAAGTGATCCACCCACCTTGGCCTCCTAAAGTGCTGGGATTACAGGCTAGGCTGCAAATTTTCCAAACTTTTATGCTTTGCTACGCTTTTAAATATAAATTCCAGTTTCAGGTTATCTCTTTGTTCATGCATGTGAGTGTACATGTTTTGAAACAGCCAGGTTACATTTTGAATGTTTTACTGCTTAGAAATTTCTTCCACGAGGTACCATAAATACTATCTCTCAAGTTCAATGTTCCACAGATCTCTAGGGCAAGGGCAAAATGCTGCTAGTCTCTTTGCTAAAGCATAGCAAGAGTGACCTTTATTCCAGTTCCCAATAAGTTTCTCATCTCCATGTGAGACCATCTTAGCTTGGACTTCATTGTCCATATCACTATCAACATTTTGGTTAAAACCATTCAATGGGTCCCTCAGAAGTTCCAAATTTCCTCATAGTTTCCTGTCTTCTTTTAATCCCTCCAAACTGTTTCAACCTCTGCCCATTACTCAGTTCCAAAATCGCTTCCACATTTTTAGGTATCTTTATAGCAGTAGCCCCCTTCTGGTACTAATTTTCTGTATTAGCCCATTCTTGCACTGCTATAAAGAACTACTCAAGACTTGGTAATTTGTGATAAAAAAGATATTTAGTTGATTCAAAGTTCTGCAGGCTTAACAAGAAGCGTGACTTGGAGGCCTCAGGAAACTTGCATTCATTACAGAAAATGAAAGAGAAAAATCAAGCACTTCACATGGTGCTTGAGAAAGGGTGAAGGGAAAAGTGTCACACACTTTTAAAGCATCAGATCTTGTGAGAACTCACTTACTCTCATATGAACAGCAAGGTGGAAATCCACTACCATGATCTAATCACCTTCCATAAGGCCCCTCCTCCAATTCAACATGAGATTTGGGTGGGGATACAAATCCAAACCATATTATTACTAAATGAAGAAACTGCCAGTATTACCCAGTATGTCCCTTATTTAGTAAACTTTCAATAGGCTCCCAAGTAATCCCAATGGGTTACAAACAAACCCAAAATCCAAAGGGGAAAAATCCCCACATGTATATCCTCCAGGCTCATTAGTTTTTATAAAGCTTGGAAGGATGGAACCCGAAATTCCCAACTAACTCCAGTCTGGAAAGACCCCCTTCACTGTTCCATCATGTACCTTCATAGACATTAAGTACTAGAGATTTCCAACTAGATACATCACACTGGGATAAGGCCATGGAAAGGCCCTGAAACACCAGCGTCAGAATCAGCACCTTCAGCTCCATAATACACTTGTGAGGCACTGGACAATCTGGAATCCTTTATAAATGAAAAGATAAGTAATGCTCCCTTAACATCTTTTTACTTCAATGTAAAGTGGTCCTAGTATTTGAAATTTTACTCACAGTTGCTCTGATTGTTATCACTATTTTAACCCTAACTTGTACACCATCAGAAGTTCCAGAGTCAGCTTACTTTGTGACCAGTTTCTCTTTTCATAATCACCTTAGGTTGCCACGGACCTGCTCCTGCTGGTTCTCATTCTCACCCCTTTATTAGTAGCACACCACCATCCTGATTTTCTGTTACTGGAAAAAGCTCAGCAATTGCTCCAAAGCACAGGATCCGCTTACTCCACCAATTGCTGATTATATATTAGCTCTTCTGTTAAAACACCAAGGATAGCTTATATAGCCTTGCCCCAAGATAGGACAAGCATAGAGGTGGAATTACATATTTTTTTAATCAATGGGACCACAATCTGAAAAGGATATTCAGGGCTTCTTGCAAAAGAAAAGCAATATTTCCCTGATATCTGCAAGGAAACTCTCATTTTCAAACCCACTTTTGTAATATCACTTTAATGGGAATAGCCCCTATTTGTGTTACAGTCAAAAGAAAAAATGGAATGAATGTAGGTGCTCTTCCCAGTACAGTTTGTAATGTGACTCTTGCTGTAGATCCTAACCAACAGACTTACCAAACATTCACCCACAACTAATTCCATCATTAACCAAGATTCCCAAACCTCTGAATATTACCTTTCCTTGGGGAACTTTGCTAGATAAATCCACCCAGTTTTGCCAAGGACACCCAAGCTCATGTCGTACTGAGAATTTCTGGTTCCAGCCTGCTGATTATAACCAATGTTGGCAAATTGTCAACCTCAGCTATATAGCATTTTTACTAAAGACAAATCATGGTAGGACTGGTTGTCTTTATTATAATTGGCCTAATTGTTGTATACAGTGTAGCAAGAATAATTATTTTTTACATAGACTTTTAAATAGGCTTTAGTGGAACTTTGTTCCATGGGAGGGATCTCAGATAAGACTTCTTTAAAGCTGAGCCCAGCCATGGGTTTGTGCCATCAAATACCTATGAGTTGGGTGAATTTCCTTTCCTCTTGAGGTTCTAAGATAAACCTGGGGCTTTTGTGCCTGTGAGAAAGTGACATTCTTTATTTAGCACAGGTCAGCCCTTGGAAAAACTAGCCTCCTATTTTGTGTACACAGACCCTGTGCAGGGTTTCTGACTTAATTTTCTAAACAAGAAGCTCTAATAAAAACAGGATAAAGCCAATTACACTTGTTTTTTCAGAATTTTGTAAACAATGTATAAATTTTAATCTTAATTATAAAATATAACTTCTGTAAGCCTTTTATAACCTTTATTAAGGAATTGGTTAATGCTTCAAGAAAACCTTGTTATTCTGACATAGGGGTCCACATACTGGTTTTGCATCAGTGTGCCTTTGACATTAATGATTAATTTCTAGAGAAACTGAACTTATTTCATTTTTCAAAATCAGCCCTTACAATATTATGCCTCCACCTCTTCCACGATAGACTCTGGACCTTGTGTGTTGAATAGTTTCAATTTCTTGCCTTGTGTCTCAGGAATACAGTTTATTTTGATTGGCATCTTCTATGGGGCCTGAAGATGAGTCTTTAATTGCTGTCAGTGTTTAAGATTTAGCGGATTTGATGTCCTTTTTTAGACTCAGGAGTTAAAAGCCCTGTAACCCAATGTTACAAGGGCTTTCATATCTAGGAAGACACATGGATGTAATAACCTTAATATAAAAAATTATCTCAGTTTTATTTTCCTAAGCAAACCGAAACTTAATAGTAATATGGCAACTTGATTATATAAAAAATTTCGTTTATTTTTATATATATATACATATACATATATATATATACACACATCCTCTTATTGAGACTTATATTGACTGTTCATGACATAGTTGGACTTTCTGATTTGTTCTGAACATCCCTGTTTTTTTAAAACAAAGTTATTTTATCTTAGAACTAAATTTACCATACAAGATTTTTTAAAATATAAATTTCTCTTTAAGCTTTTTTACCTCAAACAAAAAAAAAACTTCTTTATTTTTATAACTTTCTTTACATCTTTTTTTTCTGGTTCCTTTTACTTTGTTTTACACATAACCTTTAAACAAGTTTTGAATTAGAACTTGTTCACCTTTTATTTTTTAGCAAGAATGTTTCCCTACAATATATATTTTTTGAAAAAATACCAAAATAATGAAATATCTATTATTTGACTAACATACTTCATATTCTAAATTATGACCAGTTTGTCTACAAGTATTTATCCCATTACATTTGCATAATTATTTTATTTTAATTGTTTACCTGGATTATTTATGAAAACTGTGATAGTCATGATTTAAAGTTATAAAACTGGCATTGCAAAACTATAACTGAGACAGTGAAAAAAAATTTGACCTAAGTTCAAGATGCAGCTATTTTCATCAAATCCATATTAATGTTTTATTTATTAAAAATTACACAAAAAAGATCACTCTGTTTTGGGCTGGGTTTATAATTTTGTAAACCCTATGCCAAATTTTGACACCATATAGTATTTGGCAGGGATAAGTATGAAATTGCTTGATTAATAAACACAAACAAAAATGCATGCTGGCAATTATTAAGACTTTCTAATATTACCTTACCAATAATTTTAAAGCTAGCTTATTTATTGAAGATTTTACTTAAGTTACATAAACTTGAAAAAGCATTTCACTAGTCTTTTTTTAAGTATCTGATTTAAGCACTTTTGTTTTTCTTTAAGCCAATGAATTAAAGCTCTTTTATATATTTTAATAGTGAAATATTTTGTACACAACACATAAATGCATATAAAGTCATATTAGACATGCCGATGGAAGTACATTTTATAGATTTATAAAGAACCCCCCCTCCTTTCTTTTCCTATCTTAGACTTTCAGAGTCTTGATAACCTGTTTGACAAACCTAAGCAGTGGACAGCTAAATAGCCTTAGATCTGCACATCAAAGAAAATAACTCAGGTGAAAATCAGAGAGAAAAAGTGGCGGTGCTAGAGGGAGATGCTTTTATTTTCCTTTGAGCCAAATTAAACTTAAAATTAAACTACTCTTCCTTAAAAAACCCAAGAGCAGCCTCTGCTGCAATAACTATTTTAGTCAAAAAATCAGGCGAAAACAGAATTCGGTCAACTAAGAAGAAAAAACAAAACAAAACAAAACCTTTGCTCAAAAAAACAAAACAAAACAAAAAAACACACAAAACCCGCAAGGTTTTAGTAGAGAAAAACAAACAAAAACATAAAGGCCTTTTAATTAAACTGACTTTTAACCACTGAACTCCTTTAAAAAATTTTTTTCTTATTACCATATTTCAGCTAGGACAAAATGCTGCTATTTCAGACATACAGCCATTGCTCTTTCAGTTTGTTCTGGCAGGCAAACAGTTGGCCTTGTTACGTAAATAAAGCCCCTTTAGTAGTTAACATTAAAAATAATTTCTTTTATTTTCTTTTCCTCTTCCTGGCCTTTCCCTCCCACTTCAGAGGCATTGTTCACCGTAATTTAGGTTTCCCCTTTGGATTTAACCAAGACAGAAAAAAATAACAACAAAACAGTTAAGCAAAACTAACAGTGATCAAACAAATTACCCTATTTCTGAGTGCTCTAAGTGTAAGCACAAATTAACATCAGCTGATTTTAATGCTAATTTTAGTCATTTAAGAGAATTTGCAAGACACAATCCCAAATCAGTTTTTTTATCTAGTGATGGGGACCAAGCTGGAGACCACTCTCTGCCAATGCAGAAGCAGATGAACTCACCTTCCTTGATGGAAGCGAGTGGCAAAACTCCCACAAAAAGTAGTGGTGTTTTTTTTTTGTTTTTTTGTTTTGTTTTGTTTTACAGCAGATAAACCTCAGACCCCCAACTAAAAAACGTTGGAAGATCAGGGATCCCTAGAGGAAAGAGGTCCCAGACTTCGGCAAATTTTCCTGTTCGTTTGGGCTGTAAGGTTCTCAAAAAAAGGCCTTTATGTTTTTGTTTTTCTCTCCTAAAACCTTGTGGGTTTGTTTGTTTGTTTGTTTGTTTGAGTACCAAGCAGCAAGAGGTGAACTGCTGCAGGCCGGGTCACTTTTACTCAGGATCCCTCCATGGTTACCAGATCTCAGTTGAGGAAACTAATGAGACAAGTCTCAATCACCTTAGGAGATTTATTTGCCAAAGTTAAGGATGTGCCCGGAAGACAGGTCTATTCCTTTCTCTGAAGATGACTTTGAGGGCTCCAAATTTAAAGGGGAAAGGGTGGGATATTGAAAAGCATACAGTTTTTACATAAAAGGGGTAGAGGAAAAATGTGGGGAATCTTCATTTTACATAAGATAACACAGACAAAATGGGGTAGGAGAACAATCAGTTATACATGTGTGTCTGGCTGGCTGGCTGGGGTGATTGCACCTGTAAAGATAAGATATCAATTTGCATTGGCCATGGTGAAGTTTTAACAACTCAGCAGGAATTTCCTTGTGGGCAAAATACGGGGGAGGCAGGTAGCTTTTTATCTTGTAGCCATGCTATTTAGGAATCAAAAGGGGGAGGCAGGTTTGCGTGATCCAGTTCCCAACCGGACTTTTCTCTTTGGCTAAATGAGTTTGGGGTCCCAAAATTTAATTTCCTTTTACATGGGAAATGTTCTTAAAGCTAATGCAGTCTAGAGAGCCCCCATGTCTGTCATCCCTCGTTGATATCAGTAAGCTACGGCATCTCATGGGTTGATTTGCGGGGAGTTTCTTTCTTCACCCACCAGGAATGGTTAGGACACTCTTGTTTCCAATGGCCTTATTGCTTACAATTTGTATACTGCGGTGGCCCCAAGGGCAAAGAGTCCTTTGGCCAAATGGTGGGGTGTGGGGGGTCTTATCCAAAGATTTTTTTTTCCTCCAGAATATGCTTTCCTGTGATCTGATTGTATATGAGAGCAGTGGCATTCAGAGCACCCTGTTGTCTAATGTCACATTATTTTGGCTCTTCCTGGGCTTGATCACTGTTACTAAACACTTTAAAGGCAATCTCAGTCATAGTCATTGAGACATCAACATTCCCAATCCCTCTTCTACTCTTTGTCTCTTTATCTTCTTATATCCGGGGCACTCTGATTGATGAAAGTCATATTAACAAGTCTCATGTTATCTGGGTGTTCTGAGTCTGTATCAGCATATTGCCTGTAAGCTTCAAAGATTCTCTCAAGAGTTCAGGCTTTTTAGCTTTGGGATCCCCTTCGCAATCCAAGTTACTGAACACTCCTTGTAATAATTTAACTTTATCTGGTCTCTGGGGTCATTGGGGTCCCAGTCTGGCTCAGTCCTGGGTATGGCTTGCACAGCTAGTGTCCTAGCTCGATTTTTGTGTGTGTGTGTGTGTGTGTGTGTGTGTGTGTGTGTGTGATTCTTATAGCCTTTTGGCTCCCTGTTGAGTTTTCTAGAACCATTCTACATTCCTCTGGAGTGAGGAAGGTATTTCTGAGAGCCTGAATGTCAAACTACATGGTGTATGAATAGCAAGGATGGATGTAAATAAAATTTCCATCATTTTGTAATCATCCAGGTAGGCAGGCATGTTATTTTTCCAATTATATATATTAAAAGTTGAAAAGGGGGAATGAACATCTAAGAATTCAGTGGGCCACCACTGATAATCAAGATCTGTAGGAACTTGTCTTAGCAAGAATTACCCTGTCTGTTAAGGAGCATTCCCCAGGCCGAATTGGGTACCCTGTGCATGTGTGGAGGTATGTGGAAGGCATACAATTTCTGCCTAACTGGTAGGTAAGCAGTTGGGGGTAGGGAGGTACAAAACTGAGCCACTGCCTTCAGGATAATCATTGTGTCCTTCCGGATCACTTTTAATAGCACCACTGGCATACCATGGAGGCACTGTAGGAGACAGCAAAAGAGGAAAGATAATATCATCATCTGATTCGCATTCTAAAAAGACAACTTTTCTCTGTGGATTCCCTCTTTGAACCATACGAATTTACATCTCTTTTGTAAATTATTATTTTTGTATAAGGTATTTTGGTACAATAATTCTTATTTTTTTTATAAAAAATTGTACATAGGGATCTTGGCCCATTTCTTTTATCTTTTACAGAACAATTCTAATTGGAGAAGAGTAGAATAGTTTAGGGTCCCTATCTTAGGCCATTTTTTTCTCTGATTCTAGCAAATATCGAGGTCAAACACTATTACAAAAGAAAATCATCCCAGCCTAGGCAACATGGTAAGATCCGAAGAGCTGGGACTATTAAAGTTAAGAGATGATTAGGCCAGGAGATATCTGCCCTTATGAATGGATTAATGCCATGATCATGGAATTGGGTTTGCTATAAAAGGGGAGTTGTCTGCCTTTTTTTTCTGTCTCCATCTTTTCCTCTGTTTACCCTCTGGCATTTGATGCCTTTTGCCACATTATGAGGCAGTAAGTAAGAAGGCCTGTTCACAAGTGCTTTGCCCCTCAATCTTGAAATTTCCAGACTCCAGAACCGAAAGGAAATAAACGTCTATTATTTATAATTACCCAGTCTCCAGTATTCTGTTATAGTAGCACAAAATGAACTAAGACAAATAGTGAAAGACTGTAAGGGATACTGTTCAAGCCCACCATATATCCTTGTGGCCTGAAAATTTGTGTTAATCCTCTGTAGACACTTCATATATGCTCAAGCACTACTCTCTCAGCCTCTCTGCCTGAGAAATTTCTCAAGGTCATAAGAAAAAAATTCAAAAATGTTAGCAATTAAATGAGATTGGATGAATACATATTTAAGCTTTCTCACTCTTCAGTGGGACAATACTGAGATACATTGTACCCAGTTCCTCAGAGGATTCCCAGTTGCCCACAGTGGTATCTTGAGTCCAAACCCTTATTGTTGCCCCACTCCCAAATCCTCTCTGGGATTACTTCCAAATAAATTATCTCCATCCAAATATTTTCCTCAGATCTGTTTGGAGTGGGAGTGAAGAAATTCAAACTAAGGCACAGAAAAACAGTATATAAAGAACTTCAACATTTTTTTTTAATTGTGGTTCTTCTGCCTGGAAGATATTTCCTCTGGATGTTTACATGGTTTGTACCCTCTCCTCTTCAAGCCTTTGCTCAAATATCTTCTTCAGTGTGTGTTTCCCTGACCATCCTATTTCAAATGTTGGCATCCACCCACAACAAGCACTCCTTCTCATTCTTTAATAATTTAAGTTTTCTGGAGAACACATTAGCATATTATTTAAGATAAAAGTTGATTTTAGGACATCTTTCTTGGGAGAAAGGTTCAGGCAGGGATTGAGATGTGGAAGGCAACAGCTGTAGGACTGTGTAGGCAAGATGAGCAAAGTACTAGTGATTTCTAAGATATAAGCATTCTATATCAGAAAAGATTTTACATAATAAAAACAATGAAAAATATAATTTACATATAAATATCTCTGTAGGAAAGAAAAAATAAACACTTACCTAAGCATTTTAATGTTAGCCAATATAAATTGATATTACAACCTAAACTTCAAACTGATTTCTAATGCTTCTATTAAAAATATATCTTGCTTCTCTGTAGTCTTACTAAAAAAAAATTTCATTTAATTTCTGTCACTATGGAATAAATTTAGAGCAACATACAGCTAAAATAAATTTTCAACAACTGTTGCCATTGAAGACAGGATACCTTCAATGCTTATCCATTTTTAAGACCTCTTCCCAATTGCTTTTGAAGATAAGCCTGCTGTGAATAGCCTCCCCTTAATGCCTCTTTCTAGAATATCAAAATATAATTCTCTATAGATGTTTTTACTTCAGATATGCACATTGAATAAAAACTGGCTTTTGATTGTACTTCAGAAGATTAAATTCATCATATAAATGTAAGCATTAAGCCTTAGGAAATAAACTCATAGCTAAATTTCCAGAGTTTCTGGTGAATTAAAGGTAGATTTGGAAGAAAAATTTTAGTATGAAATGTGAATAATGATAAAAATTTTAAACATTAGTCCAAAAGTATCCAAAATTTTAAACTGTACCAAATCAAATAAAGGGTAGTTGATTTTTCTATAATAGCCACTGCAAAACAGAAAATAAGTGAGTATAACTTTTTATATGTATAAATTTTTATATACCCAGCTTTTTCTCTCTATATATGTGTATGTGTGTATGCACACATACACATAATATATAAGTCAGGTTCCCCAGACAAAAAGAACATATAGATAAGAAGTGTACGTAAATTTTATCCAGAAAGGATAAAATTTTATTATTTTAGAACTGTCACAAATAGTAACTTACAAACCTAAAATTACCACGTATATCTAAATGAGTGAAATGATTTTGCCTTGTAATATCACAATACATTTATATTTTGCAATCTTCTTTCAACATTTTGATATTTCTTATATTTAATGGTTTTTACAAATTTCAGCATGCCATATCTTTTTTTGAACTTGGACTCTAAATTTATAAGTCAGAGATCTCAAGAGAAACAGAATATATATATACGTATACGTATATATATACGTATATATATACGTATACGTATATATATACGTATATATATACGTATACGTATATATATACACGTATATATATGTGTGTGTGTGTAGTATCACTATTTAGATAACTTACAGAGTATCTTCTCTAATATATCACTAGTAGGATTAAGTTAGAAACCAATAACAGAAGGAAAACTGGAAAACTCTCAAATATTTGGAAAGTAAACAAGTTTTTAAACAGCAGATCAAAGAAGAAATCACAGGGAAATTAGGGATTAGAGACAAATAAAAAGTAAAACCCAACATACCAAACTTATGAACACAGTGAAAGAAGAGCCACATGGTAACTTTGTATTTATGAATGCTTGCATTAAAAAAGAATTAAAATCTCAAATCAACAACCTGCTTTTACAATATGAGAATCCCCCTCCCCCAGAAAAAAACAGGAAAAACAAAAACTAAAAGCAGAAGGAAACAAACAGTAACGATTATAGCACAGATAAATGAAATAGAGAATAGATAACTAACAGAAAAAAATTTAAAAAAAACGTTAGTTCCCTGGAAAGATCAAAATAACTGACCTACATATAGCTAGCATAACTGAAAAAAAAAGAGAATCCTCAAATCACGATGAGTAGAAAAAAACTAGAAGATATTACTACTTACTCTACAGAAATATAAAATATTATGAGAGTACTGTGAATAATTATCGTCTAGTAAGTTAGATAACCTAGATGAAATACACAGAGTTCTAGAAACTTAAAACTTATTAAAACTAAACCCTAAAAAATTTCAAAATGTGAGTAGACTTGCTAGCAGGTTGAGTTAGTAATCAAAAATCTTCCAACAAAGAAAAAACCTAGATCTGATGGTTTCACTAGTGAAATTTATCAAACATTTAAAAAAAACTAACACTAATTTTTCTCAAATTTTTCCAAAAGTTTGTAGAGGGAACATTTTCTAATGTACTCTATCAGACAGCATTATTCTTATGCCAAAGACAGGCAAAGACATTATAGAAAAACAAAACTACAGAACAATATATCTTATAAACTTTGATGCAAGTTCCTCAAAAAAATACCAGCAAACTGAAATTAGCAGCATATTAAAAAGTTAAACACCATGACCAAGAGGGATTTGTTCCTGGAATGAAAGGATGGCTCAATAGATAAAAATTAGTAACGGTTACACACCACATTAACAAAATGTAGAAAAAACACAAATACGACTATTTCAATTGGTACAGAAAATACATTGGGCACAATTCAACATCCTTTCATAATAAAACACTTGACAGAGTAGGCATAAAAATCACTTCAGCAAAACAGTAACTATATATGAAAAATCCACAGAAAATATCATATTTTATAGTAAAATATGGAAAGTCTTTGTATTAGTCTGTTCTCACACTGCTAATAAAGACATATCCGAGACTGGGTAATTTATAAAGGAGAGATGTCTAATTCACTCACAGTTCCACATGGCTGGGGAGGCCTCACAATCATGGCAGAAGGTGAAAGGGACACAAGACACGTTTTACATGGAAGCAGGCAAGAGAGAGTGGGTAGGAGAACTCCCCTTTATAAAGCAATCAGATCTCATGAGACTTACTCACTATCAATAAAACAGCACTGGAAGACCCACACCCATGATTGAATTACCTCCCACTGGGTCCATCCCACAACATGTGAGGATTATGGGAACTACAATTCAGGATGAGATTTGCATGGGGACACAGCCAAATTATATCAGTTATTTTTTCTCAAATATCAAGAACAAAAATATTGGAAGGCCTAGCCAGAGCAATTAGGCAAGAACAAGAAAACAAAGACATTCAGCCTGGAAAGCAAGAAATGAAATTCTAATTTTAGAAAAGGTGTAAAAAATACTAAAACAGTATTTAAAAACTTTTAGAATAAGTGAATTTAGTAAAATTCCAGGATATCAAATTAACATAAAAATAAGTTTTATTTTATACATTAACAATAAACAATCTAAAAAGAAATCAACAAAAATAGTATCAAAAAGATAAAATACTTATTCCTAACCAAGAAAGCAAAAATCTTTTACAATGAAAACTATAAAACAGTGCTGAAAAAAATTGAAGATGTAAATATATGAATATCCATCTTATAATCATGAGTTGAAAAGAGTTGATATTATTTAGATTCAATACTAATAAAAAAGATTTATGGATTTAATGGAATGTTAACCAAAATTCTGATGACTGTTTTGCAAAAATAGAAAGGGACTTTAAATAGTCAAAATATTCTTGAAAAAAAAAAAGCTTAAGAAATTACACTTACTGATTTAAAACTTAACTACAAATTTACAGTGATCAAAACAGAGTGCGGCTGGCATAAATACAGATCTATAAACAGATAAAATAGAATGGAGAGCCCAGAAATAAACTCATGCATGAATGGTCAAATGCTTTGCAACAAGGATATCAAGACCATTTAATGGTAAAGGAAAGTCTTTTCATCAAGTGGCACTGGGAAGCCTAATTATGAACACGGAAAAGAATGAAGCTTGACCTTTATGTAACACCATAATAAAAAATTATGGTGTTACATTTTTTGATCCTCAAAATGGATCAAAAACAAAAATGTAAAACATAAATCTATAGAAGTCTTAAAATAAAATATGGCAAAATCTATAAAAGTCTTAAAATAAAATATGGCAAAACCTTCTTGACATTGGAGTTGACCATGAATTCTTGAATATAATACCAAGGCACAGGCAACAAAAGAAAATAGTAGATAAATTAAATTTTATTAAAATTTTAGAGACTAGGATTGTAACCCTTGCTTTTTTTTAATTTTTATTTTTTGTTTTTTTGCTTTCCCTTTGCTTAGTAAATATTCCTCCATCTCTTTATTTTGAGCCTATGTGTGTCTTTGCATGTGAGAAAGGTCTCCTTAATACAGCACACTGATAGGTCTTGACTTTTTATCCAATTTGCCCGTCTGTGTCTTTTAATTGGGGCATTTAGCCCTTTTATATTTAATGTTAATATTGTTATGTGTGAATTTGATCCCGTCACTATGATGCTAGCTGGTTATTTTGCCCATTAGTTGATACAGTTTCTTCATAGTTTCAATGGTCTTTGCAATTTGGTATGTTTTTGCAGTGGCTGGTACCAGTTTTGTCCTTTCCATATTTAGTGCTTCCTTCAGGGGCTCTTGTAAGGCAGGCCTGGTGGTGACAAAATCTCTTAGCATTTGCTTGTCTGTAAAAATTTTTATTTCTCCTTCACTTATGAAACTTAGTTTGGCTGGATATGAAATTCTGGGTTGAATATTCTTTTCTTCAACAATGTTGAATATTGGCCCCCACTCTCTTCTGGCTTGTAGGGTTCCTGCAGAGAGATCTGCTGTTAGTCTGATGGGCTTCCCTTTGTGGGACCTTTCTCTCGGGCTGCCCTTAAGATTTTTCCTTCATTTCAACCTTGATGAATCTGATGATTATACGTCTTGGGGTTGCTCTTCTTGAGGAGTATCTTTGTGGTGTTCTCTGTATTTTTTGAATTTGAATGTTGGCCTGTCTTACTAGGATAGGGATGTTCTCCTAGATAATATCCTGAAGACTGTTTTCCAACTTGGTTCCATTCTCCTCGTCACTTTTAAGTACACCAATCAAACGTAGGTTTCGTCTTTTTACATAGTCCCATATTTCTTGGAGGCTTTGTTCTTTCTTTTTATTTTTTTTCTCTAATTTCGTCTTCATGCTTTATTTCATTAAGTTGATCTTCAATCTCTGATATCCTTTCTTCCACTTGAACGATTCGGCTATTGATACTTGTGTATGATTCACGAAGTTCTCATGCTGTGTTTTTCAGCTCCATCAGATCATTTATGTTCTTCTCTAAACTGGTTATTCTACTTAGCAGTTTCTGTAACTTTTTTCAAGATTCTTAGCTTCCTTGCATTGGGTTAGAACATGCTCCTTTAGCTCAGAGGAGTTTGTTATTACCCACCTTCTGAATTCTACTTCTGTCAGTTTGTCAAACTCATTCTCTGACCAGTTTTGTTCCCTTGCTGGTGAGGAGTTATGATCCTTTGGAGGAGAAGAGGCATTCTGGTTTTTGGAATTTTCAACTTTTGCACTGTTTTCTCCTCATCTTCGTGGATTTATCTACCTTTGATCTTTGATGTCGGTGACCTTTGGATGGGGTTTTTGTGTGGACATCCCTTTTGTTGATGTTAATGCTACTAACACCTCTTCATGCTAAAAAAACTCAATAAACTAAGTATTGATGGAACGTATCTCAAAATGATAAGAGCTATTTGTGAAAAAACCACAGCCAGTATCATACTGAATGTGCAAAGCTGGAAGCATTCCCTTTGAAAACGGGCACAAGACAACGATTCCCTCTCTCATCACTCCTGTTCCACATAGTACTGAATTTCTGGCCAGGGCAATTCACAATTGCTACAAAGAGAATAAAATACCTAGGAATACAACTAACAAGGGATGTGAAGGACATCTTCAAGGGGAACTACAAAACACTGATCAAGGAAATAAGAGAGGACACAAACAAATGGAAAAACATTCCATGCTCATGAAGAAGAAGAATCAATATTGTGAAAATGACCATACTGCCCAAAGTAATTTACAGATGCAATGCTATTCCCATCAAGCTATCACTGAGTTTCTTCACAAAGTTAGAAACAAACTACTTTAAATTTCACATGGAACTAAAAAAAAAGCTAATATAGCCAAGACAATCCTAAGCAAAAAGAACAAAGCTAGCGGCATTATGCTACCTGACTTCAAACTATACTACAAGGCTACAGTAACAAAAACAACATGGTACTGTTACCAAAACAGTTATACAGACCAATGGAAAAGAACAGAGGCCTCAGAAATAATGTCATACATCTACAACAATCTGATCTTTGACAAACCTGACAAAAACAAGAAATGGGGAAAGGATTCCCTATTTAATAAATGGTGTAGGGAAAACTGGCTAGCCATATGCAGAAAACTGAAATTGAACCCCTTACTTACACCTTATACAAAAATTAACTCAAGTTGGATTAAAGACTTAAAAGTAAGACCTAAAGCCATAAAAACCCTAGAAGAAAACCTAGGCAATATCATTCAGGACATAGGCATGTGCAAAGACTTCATGACTAAAAAACCAAAAGCAATGGCAACAAAAGCCAAAATTGACAAATGGGATCTAATTAAGCTAAAGAGTTTCTGCACAGCAACATAAACGATCATCAGAGTGAACAGGCAACCTACAGAATGGGAGAAAAATTTTGCAATCTATCCATCTGACAAAGGGCTAATATCCAAAGTGTACAAGGAACTTAAACAAATTTACAAGAAAAAAACAACCCCATCAAAAAGTGGGTGAACTATATGAACAGACATTTCTCAAAAGAAGACTTTCATGCAGCCAACAGACATATGAAAAAAAGCTCATCATCACTGGTCATTAGAGAAATGCAAATCAAAACCACAATGAGGTACCGTCTTCATGCTATTTAGAATGGCGATCATTAAAAAGTCAGGAAACAACAGATGCTGGAGAGGATGTGAAACAATAGGAATGTTTTTATATTCTTGGTGGGAGTGTAAATTAGTTCAACCATTGTAGAAGTCAGTGTGGCAATTCCTCCTGGACCTAGAACCAGAAATATCATTTGACCCAGCAATCCCGTTACTGGGTATACACCCAAAGGATTATAAATCATTTTACTATAAAGATACATGCACATGTATGTTTACTGCAGCACTATTCACAACAGCAAAGACTTGGAGCCGACCCAAATGCACATCAATGATAGACTGGATAAAGAAAATGTGACACATATACGCCATGGAATAGTATGCAGCCATAAAGAAGGATGAGTTCATGTCCTTTGCAGGGACATGGATGAAGCTGGAAACCATCATTCTCAGCAAACTCACACAGGAACAGAAAACCAAACACTGCCTGTTCTCATTCATAAGCGAGAGTTGAACAATGAGAATACACGGACACAGGGAGAGGAATATCACACACCAGGGCCTGTCAGGGGGTGCGGAATTAGGGGAGGGATAGCATTAGGAGAAATACCTAATGTAAATGATGGGTTGATGGGTGCAGCAAACCACCATGACACATGTATACCTATGTAACAAACCTGCACGTTATGCACATGTATCCCAGAGCTTAAAGTATATATAAAAAAAGCTTTAAACAATTTTTTTATCAAAGGCACTATCAACATAATAAAAAGACATCCCGTAGAATGGAAAATATGTTTCCAAATCATATGTATCTCATAAGGGATAAATATCTGGAATATATAGAAAACTTCTAAAACTCAACACCACCAACAAAACAAACTACCCCACTCAAAGATGGACAAAAGATTTTATTAGACATTTATCCAAAAAAGTTATATGAATATCCAATAAGCACGTTAAAAGATGCTTATCATCATTTATCATCATAAACATAAGTCAAAACTACAATGAGATACCACCTTACACTCATTAAGATGGGTACTATCATAAACAGAAAATAAGTGTTGGCAAACATATGGAAAAACTGGAACCCTCGTGCACTTTATTGGGAATGTAAAATAATCCAGTTTCTTTGGAAAATAGTAGGTCAGTTCCTCAAATAATTAAAAAGTAGAATTGCCTTATGGTTCTCCATTTCCACATGTGAGTATATACCCCAAATAATTAAAAGCAGCTTCTGAAAGATGTATTTGTACATCCATGTTCATACCAACATTATTTACAATAATTAAGTCATGTAAGCACCCAAGTGTCTATGGACAGATGAATCAAAAGCAAAATTAGGTGTGTACATACAATGGAATATTATTGTTTTAAAAAGGAAGGAAATTCTGATAAGATGAATGAATCTTGAGGATATTATGCTAAGTGGATTAAGCCAATCACAAAGTGACAAATACCATATTATTACACTTACATAAGGTAATTAGAGTAGTGAAGATTATAAATAGAGAAAAAAAAGAATGGTGGTTGTAAGAATCCTGCAAGGGCCCGGGGAAAACGGTTAGTTCTTCTTCAATGAATGTCGAGTTTCATTATTGCAAGATGAAAAGAATTTTGGAGATGGATGATGGTGATGATTGCACAACAATATGAAAGCATTAATGCTAGTGAACTATACACTTAAAATGGTTAACATGGTAAATATCATGTTATATATAATTTATTCTAAAAAATTTACAAAAGTAGCCTTACTGAGAAGTCAGTTGAAATCCTCTGCTCAGGAATATAATGTGAAAAAATATAGAAAAGAAGTTATCTTGGTGTTTTCAATGGAACTTTGTGTGTGTGTTTGTGATTTCCGGTACATTCATGGATTTCTATTTGTGGAATGGCCTTAAGACAGTTTGCACAAGAGAGTTTTGGTTTATACTAGGTTACACCTGAATAGAGTATAAATACTAATAGAATCCTCTTTCAAAATATTTTAGTAATATGTTCATAGAAAGTAATGAACTTTAAGAATCGTCTAGAAGGTAGGAAATAGGCAATGTCTGCTTAATAATATATTGTACAATTAACAGCAAGCACAGATGTGGTTACTTCTGGAGAAAGTTTGTCTTCTTTTTTATGGATTCACAGACATGGCCTTCAACTTTAAGCCATGTGAGCATGAACATAAATTCTGATTTACTAGGTCTTAAGCATGATATTTTTAATACATATCTCTTGTAATTCTGTCATTGATCATCTTTAAAAAAGGTAATCTAGATTCTACTATTTTTTACTTCACTTGTATTCAGCAGATGTACATGTTCATGTACCTATGTTTTTAAAAAACCATTATGAATTGATTTCTATATCCCTCATTTATTTTTGCTCACAGTTTGAGAGCAAAATTTTGAGAAAAAAAATCCTTCATTTATTTTGCTCACAGTTTGAGAGAACATCCAAAAGTAGTAACTTAGAGAGTACTGTATTAAATACCCCATGTCAAACCTAGAATATGATATTGAAGGATTTCCCTCCACAATATTTTCCTCAGTTATCTGGCATTAATCTATAGTAAATAATAAGGGAAGGAGGAGGGTTCCTGTCCCTGAGACAATATTTCAGGAAATGTTAGTGCTGTTTCAATTGGTTAAGTATTGGGACAAAATCACTCCATAGGGGAAAGGTGGACTACAGACAGAAGTTAAGGAACTATGTTCAGCCGAGTAAGTAATGCCCTCTCAATACTTTAAAATGTTTAATATTTATATGTGTACTTTTCTTTGTCTTGAGCAAGATAAATAGTAACATTGATTTTAGATGAAACAGTAGACTTTAAAATGAGATCAATATTAGAAATAAACATATAAGGGAGTTTTGTAATTACTAGAACTGAGCACTTGTGTGGCTCTTGCTCAACTCACAGAGCCACTTCAGAAATGTCCCAACCCAACTACTGCAGATCTTTTAGCCATTATGATATTAGACAATGTTTACTCTGTTTCCTTACCCCCATCTACCAATATATATATATATATATATATATATAAATGTGTGTGTATACTTCATTTTTCTTCATATAGAAGTAGTAAATCTTAATAATAATTTGTTGAGATTTTTTTAAGCTAAATTTCAAATTATGTGGCAGCTTTTCAATCTATTTCGTAGTTTCTCATCACTATGCCTTTAGATTCGAACTGGAAGTTTTGTGGGTTTTTTTGTTACTTCTGGTTTCCCTGGACATGTACATTTCAAAACGGTGAAACAAATTTTGATATAGTAATTTGAAAATAAATGCATAAATCTAAAATATTTTCCTAATGATATAAATAAATACTCAAAGACCACTGGAAAAAAGTGAAAAGTATTAGTAATTGTAAGTAATTATATGTGTTATAAAAAGTATCTATACATTAAAATATCAATGGACTCTTAATTGTTCCCCCTGATTCTCTTCTAATGCTCTTTTTCATCAATCCTGTCATAGGATCTTAAGGCAAATCCTGCTGAAACTCTGTATGCCTCAATATTCTCCAACTGCCTTCAGTTTACTAAAACTCTTCATTCACATACAAGGCTTCTCTTCATGTCAATGTTACATGTTTCCTATGCATCATTTGCTGACACTTTCACAAGTACTAAACAGTAAATTCTTGATACTCAAGAAGGATAAACCCTGAAATATTCAAGACTTATAAGTGACATTATAGGCCTAGGCAGGTGGATCACGAGGTCAGGAGATTGAGACCATCCTGGCTAACACGGTGAAACCCCGTCTCTACTAAAAATACAAAAATTAGCTGGGCATGGTGGCGGGCGCCTGTATTCCCAGCTACCCGGGAAGCTGAGACAGGAGAATGGCGTGAACCCGGGGAGGCGGAGCTTGCAGTGAGCCGAGTTCATGCCACTGCACTCCAGCCTGGGCGACACAGTGAGACTCCATATATATAAAAAAAAATGACATTATAGTATAAAAAAAAATCAAGTAAAAGCCAACGCAGGCTTATTTCATATTTGAATAATAATAGAGTAGCTTGACATAGTCAAAATATAAAAAATTCTGAAGAAGAAAATATTTTTAAAATATCTGTTGGAATTCATAAGGCTATAAAAGAACAAGAAATTTGAAGGACAATAATTTTTTAAAATAAGGGAATTCAGAGAGATCCACATTACATGAGATACCTTTTCTCGCTATGAGGAATTTGTCAAATAAAAAAAAAAAGTCTATGAGATCATGAAAGGGAGAAAAAGTGAATCGAGAGGGCAAATACTGGACTCTAAAACTCAAAAACTTAAAAGACTTACAGTTGGACTCTAAAAGGTACAATTATAAGAAATGATAAAAGAAATTGACAAGTTGCAATGGAAAGTGAAATCCTGCTTAAAAATTGTTGTAGTACCATGTGCTCTAGACTATCATCTCTTAACTGTATTACATTTATTAAAATTAGTTGTTTATACATGCATAGATCTATTTCTGATTTCTCTTTTCTGTTCCATTTACCTATTTACCTATCTTTGCATAAAATCGCAATGTCTTAATTCCCATAGTTTTATAATAATTCTTGAAATTAGATAGAGTTAATATAAAAACTTTTCTTTTTTCCAAGTTGTTTTGACTCTTCTAGTTCTTTTCCATTTCCATATTAATTTTAGAATCAGCTTCCTGAGTTTTACAAACATCCAAATGGTATCTTAATCAGGGTTACATTGTATCTATACACAAATTCAGAGAAAACTGACATCTTGTTACTGAGTCTTCCAAGTCATGAATATAATGTATCTTTCTATTTATTTAGGTATTCCTTAATTTCTCTCAGCAATACACTGATCTTTGGTCAGATTTATCTTTAAGTATTTAATATTTTTGCTTTTTACAATTATATTATTTTGTTAATTTTAATTTCTAAATTTTTATTGATAAATATGCAATTAGGTTTTATACTGATCTTGTATCCTACAGTTTCCTATTCTTATTTATTAATTTTAGTATCACTTTTATAGATCCCATTTTAGTTTTTACATAAACTATTATGCTGTCTGCAAATAAAGGCAGATTTTTCTTTCTTTTCTTTTCAATATAGATTCCTTTTTATTTCTCGCCTCATTGCATTAGCTAAAGCCATCATTGCACTGCTTCATTGTTTGTGCTTTTTGGGTCATATTTAACAAATCATTACCTAATCAAAGGACATAAATAATTACTCTCATGTTTTCTTCTAGGTTGTTTATAGTTTTATCACATATTTTGATTTATAATTCAATCCAGGTTAATTTTGTGTATGGTTTGATGTAGGGTTTAAAATTTGTCTTTTTGCATGTTGATAATCTTTTAATTTTAATCTATCTGCATTCCTATACTTAATATTTCTTTCTGGTTGCCAGGACATATTTAGGTTTTGAGTTGTTTTTTTATCCAAACCTACAATCTATTTTCCATTTGAAGCATTTGCTACATTTACAATGTGTGTGATATCTGATATTTTGGGGCTAAAATCTATCAGCTTACTATTTTTTTTTTATTTGTTGAATATATTCTTTGTTCTTTTTCTTTTTTGTCTTGTTTTATATTGAGTTTTTTCCATGATTGATTTTATTTCATCTGTTAGCATATTAACTAAATTATCAAATTATATCTTGACAAAAGACATAATTATTATTTAGATTCTTATTTAGTCTATGCAAGCAATTATATTGTCATTAAGATAAAAAATACTCAGAGCTTTGAAATGCTGCATAGGTTAGGCGGGGGGAATAATATATCATTTTAAATGTTTTATATCAATTTGCAAAAGCAGTCTGTTTAATTATGAATTATAGATACCTTAAAGGGAAAGTGAAATATTAAGGAAATAAACATGAATTAATGAAACAAACATATGTTAAGGAAATAAACATCAAAATACAAATAATATACTTTTAAAAATCATAATTACACCTCATTAGTTCATTCAGTCCTATATAACTAATTTTGTTTTCTATTTCATTTTGGGTTTGCAATCCTGTAAACTATCAGCTTCTTGACTAGAGTACTGGAAATCTTTACTCATCAGTGGAATAATCTCAAAGTTGTTTAAATGATGCCATCAGAAGCCTCTATGTGGCAGATTGCTTTTCTTCAGGGATTTGAGACATTTCTTGTATATGGAACAGTACACCCTGAAGCTGATTGCAAGTTCTTTCAGGGAAGCATTAGAGCAAAACAAAAAACTTATTTGTATGTAACAAAAGATGTAAATTGACTACAGTTAACTTATAATTGATAATTTCAGAACAGAATGATCTAATGAGAGTTCCTAAAAAGAATAATGCAACTGATAAATGTGGTTGTTTCTGTGACATGTAAAAGCAAGATAATGAGGTGAATTCAGAAGGTTTCAGACAAAATATCTACTATAATCATAACTATTAACTCAATTTTCAGGAATGGCTATTATGTCTAATCTTTTAAAACTTGATAAAATATAGTGAAAAATACTTCAGCTACAATGTATAATTCAGTCATAATATACCATGGATATACTAAACATATAGTTAGAATATATCAAAAATATATACAGCTAATTGACTCCTTAAGTCGGGAATAGATCCTAAGCATCTATATCTTAGTAAAGCTTCATAGGTAAGTGATACAAATCTCATGGAAACTGCTGTCCTGGAAGATTCTAAATTTAAGCTAAGGAAACATGGTTGTAATCAAGTTAACATTTTAAAAAATCACTGAAATTATGATTTATAACACCATTCTGCTGCTGGCTCATATCAGACGAAGTAGCACCAAGACTGATGAATAGAATTGTAGACAGTGAGGACATTGACAACTATCTGGGAAACTCCCATACAATGTACAATTTCTG
The DNA here is from genome assembly GCF_000001405.40 of Homo sapiens. NCBI lineage: Eukaryota > Metazoa > Chordata > Mammalia > Primates > Hominidae > Homo > Homo sapiens. The sequence goes on along the minus strand of NC_000014.9, from coordinate 42,637,767 downwards.
CAATATTAGATTAATAACATTTTACCAATATGTATTTAGCCTAGGGAAGGCTAAGGGATGTCATTTGATTTGGCAATATCTTCTCTCATGAAACTCATTGGTAGTAACTATATTATGGATGAGGAAAATAAACAGTAAACCAAAGAGAGAAGCCCATCAAATTAAGCAAACTTTACTGAGATTTCAACACACTTTGTAGCATTTCAGACTCAGATTTAATAAACCAAGGCAAATATAATTCATTTCCAAATGTTGCCATTCATTATTCTCTTTAATGTTCTGGAAGACGCATACTTTAGGACTAATTTCAGGGGATATATGAGGTCAGAATGAAGTTAATAATATTACTAAGATGTTATTAATGAGCAATAATTTATCATTGCCATATTAAAATTAACCAATACATGAGCATTTTAAGTTTTTTAGTTTTATTTTCCAATAAAGTAAATATCAATGTTTGTCATGCTCTTTGAGGTCATCAAAAACTTTTAAGAGTGAAAAGAGCTATGGAGTCCAAAAACAAAAGCAAAAACCCCAAACAAATAAAAAAGAAAGAAAACACACTAATTTAGGAGAAAACTATATTTCTTTGAATAATAGAATACACAGTTATATTTCTTTAAAATAATAGCCTTTAATTATAATCTAAATCACATAACTTTCAATTAAGTCAACTAACACCGGTGTTACAGATAAAATTGAGAATTAGCGGTATTAATACTTTTGCATTGGCTATCATGCAGTTGTCTTGTGCAGCAAGCTCATAGAGCTGATGAATACACATAACACAACTTTCTACAGCCATGCACATCATTTATACAGTTCTCAAAGTAGCAGAAACAAACATTCATTACAAACCCAAAGACATAGCCTCTCTGTAGCATAAAAAAAAAGGAACAGCATATACATATAGATTAGGCTTAGTAACCAATGTAGCAATGTTCTCTTAAAAATAATCCAGGTGTAGGCCGGGTGCGGTGGCTCACGCCTGTAATCCAAGCACTTTGGGAGGCCAAGGCTGGCAGATCACGAGGTCAAGGATTGAGACCATCCTGGCCAACATGGTGAAACCCTGCCTCTACTAAAAATACAAAAATTATAATGGCGTGTTGTCGGGTGCCTGTCGTCCCAGCTACTTGGGAGGCTGAGGCAGGAGAATAGCTTGAACCTCAGAGGCAGAGGTTTCATTGAGCCGAGATTGTGCCACTACACTCCAGCCTGGGTGATAGAACAAGACTCCGTCTCAAAAATAATAATAATGATTAATAATAATAATAATCTAGGTGTCTGTTGAATGTTAATTTACTCAATATACTATCATTCCAAGTTTGCAAGTTACCTAAAATTCTTTAAATTATTTTTAAGCTAAAACACTGCAAAATAAAATTATTATTGAATTAGTTATGTCAGAATAATGGTTCGATTTGGTTAAAACATATTTATATTTTTATAATCTTACACATTAAGCAAGAGTAATGCAAACTTATCCAATCAATAAACCTGTATAAATGTAAGGAGAACATACTCAAATAGAATAAAAATCTATATGTATGCTATGCTTAACACTAAAACTTGTGGAGACTTGAATTCTCAAAACATTTTCAAGCTGGTTTTTGTAGGGAGATTTTTAAAATCTAGAACAATGAAGTCTTAAAAGTTTAATTTCATTATTTTCTAATAAAGTTTGCGTATTTGTTCACTCCAAATCCCATGTTTAAATGTGATCTCCAATGTTGGAGATGGAGCCTTCTGTGAGGTGTTTGAATCATGGGGGCAGATCCCTCATGAGTATCTTGGTGCCATCCAAGTACTGAGTAAGTCCCTGCTCTATTAGTTTTTGCCAGAGATGATTGTGGAAAACAACCTGGCACCTCTCTCCCCTTTTCCTTCCTTCCTCTCTTGACATGAATATATGCTCTCTTATTCCCTTCTGCCAGAGATGATTGTGGAAAACAACCTGGCACCTCTCTCCCCTTTTCCTTCCTTCCTCTCTTGACATGAATATATGCTCTCTTATTCCCTTCTGCCATGAGAGGAAGCTCCCCGAAGCCCTCACCAAAAGCAGATGCTAGCTAGCGTCATGTTTCTTATGCAGCCTGCAGAACTGTGAGGCAAGTAAAACTCTGTTTTTTAGAAATTACCCAGCCTCAGGTATTCCTTTATAGCAACACAAAGGAACCCAAGACATTTTATTTTTTAAAGTTAAGACAAATATATTCATATATGACCATTTATCTCTAAACCAATCATATTGAAGCTCCTTTATGACATTTCATAATCTAATTTGGTAATACCATTTAGAGGTAGGCAAATATTACACAATGAATGTGATAAAGACTTCTCTGAATTACAGATACATAAATATACATACAGACACATGTCAAGACCTTATAACTTCAATTGTAAATCACATCCCTCAGTCAAGAGTAAACACAAATAAGAAAAGCTCACACATAACATAGATTTTTTCTCTTCCCAGTATGGACCCATTCTTAAATGATTTGAGCTCCAAACAGGCAATAGAGAAGACTAACAAACCAGATTACCTGTTGTCTCTCACTCAATAAAGTGAAGATCTCTATAAACTATTCATCTGTTTATTGAGATCACCAAATTGTTAGACTTTAAACCAAATTCCCAATATAGGATAACTTATTAGCTATTAAAAATCAAAAATAAAACACAAAGTACAAGAAACAAGTACCAAAAATCAAGCCAGTAGTCAAAAATAATTACAATCAAGTTCTTGTTCTCCTATAGATGAACAAGACTCCTCTTTGGATCCTGGGTCACCTGTCCAGAGATGATCAAACAGGCCTGGGTTGAGTGAAGGGGGATTTGAAAATGAGGTTCTGATTGTGAGCCATGTTATAAAATATGTGAAAGAAAAAATGCATTAAATAATTCAGAAGAAATTTTTTTTAGCCTATTGCAATAGTAAGAAAGTTCATTTCTGAAGAAAATTTTCAGAGTAAAGGAAGGCAGTCTGAGGTTCTACAGAGGCAGTCAAACAACGGAGTTATGAGGAAGATTCTTAGCCATGAGGAATGGTGATCCCTGGAAGTTAGCAATTTTCAAAGATAAGCAGCAAACAATTACTTAATCATCATTGCTTTTTTGGAGCACAGGAATCAGACAAACCTCAACACCGTCAAGGGTAACCATGGATTCTCCATCCTTGCTCCTTGATAAGGAAACTCTCAAGTCAGTTACCAAGGTGGCCTTCAAATTGCACTTAATTTAACAAAACTTTAGATAGGTTTCTTCCCAACCATAGTACTTACATCCCTTTTAGTAGGTAGAATACTTAGTTTAGAAAATTTGTAAATCTACAAATTATTTTTTTGTTTCTTTGAAATGCATATACATTTCTTTAAAAGTCTCTTGACAGTTTTAGGATTCAAGAAATTTTCCTCAAGAACCTGTAAACCAACTCTGTGTAATATAAATATGGGAGGTGATAGCACCCTAATGTCCCAGTCTTTGTTAGAGGGTAGGATCCTAACTCCCATGGGCACCAAATAACAAACACAGACGGCCCAATCATAGAGAAAAACATTTGCAAACTCAAGAATAACTCTTATTTACTCCAAATAACTCCAATTAACTCACAAATAATATTATATTGATCAACCTCCCCTCTCGTGTTCTCCTGCAATACTTTTTCACTAGCTCTAGTGGAAGAAATTTTCCAGTGCTGAAAAATTCCCCTGCCATTTTTTTTCCCCAGCAGCATTGAATTCAGTCTCTAATCCCTATAGCAATAACCTTAAATAAAGTCTTATTCGCCTGGTTAAATTTGTTGCAATTTTTGCTTTGACAGAATAAAGCTAGGCAGTCATGAGGCTCACACACATCACTTGTTTCGCATCTCTTGATGAATGCTGTCTTTCATTGCCTGAAGTCCAATAACTTGGAAAACATTGTTTCATATATTGTGTCCTTTCTTTGCTTGTTTTAAGCAGGAAGATAAATCTTATCTTTGTTACTTGTTTATGGCTGGAAGCGGAAATAAGTCACACAGATTAATTTATTAAGTGGAAACAGGTGTCAACTGAAAGTAATAATGCTGAGTAAGGCTGAAGATCCATTGGTTAGATTCATTCAATAGCATAAGAGAAATCAATCGCAAATAGCCTAAAATGTTTTGGTCTTTGTTCAGATAATTACAGGAACGTTAAATTCATGAATGCGCCACTTCCCCCCTACCAAAAAAAAAAAAAAAGAAATGATGAAAAAAAGATTTCTCCTCATGCAGTTTTCTGATTGTGTCAAGCTCTCCTGGCTTATATGTGTGGTTTCATGACAATTTCTCCATCTGGAATCTTCTCAATTCCTCAGCTGAGTGTTTCTTTCTAACCTGACTTTTAAGACATCATTGCCAACGAACCTTGGGATCAATTGTAGCTTTGTCTTTAGGAATCCAGTTGAATTATTCAGGAAAAAGGAACTAGCAGTTTGGAACATCAAAGGACATAAAGCTGAGATGACAGATGAGGTACAGAAGTAGTGGTAAAAGTCACATGAGACCAAGTCAACCCTTTTAGAGTTACATGCAACATCCTCAAAAAGGAAATGAGCTAAAGTCTGTGAAAGAGACACTGAAGGATTGAAGTTAAAATGATTTGCCTCATTCTAACAGATAGGTCCTTCCATAAAACTGTCATGAGTAAAGTAAAATTGTGTATCTATACAATTGAGTGGGGAGTGTGGAGTAAGAACTTCTTTGGTAGGCTAAGAATATTTGTTTAAATATGCATTTGAACTATAGAATAGATAATTGGAATCTAGAAAAATTTCAATGCAAAAGAAATTAAAATGTTACAACTATTTTTGAGCTGAAAGTTTGAAAAAACAATAAAATTTTAATAGACATTAATGCACAAAAATTAATGGGCCTTAAAGACACAAAATTTGTTTGATATTTCATATTACATAAAATTACATTAAGTTGTTTTATAAATTTATTTATTCTCTTTTTCCTATTTGAATTCTAAATTCTTTAACATGACATTTTTGTATACTGTGGGACTGAGAAGAAACTCTCTATTTTCCGTGCATATGTTTTAATGGTCTCCCTCGCTAAAATATTAATATGAATTCATTGAGAAAAAGACCAATATTAGCCATCTATTTATTTCAAATTGCTAACCTGGTACATTATCTATAGTAGGAATATAATAAAGATATATGATTTCAGTTGATTCAAATTACAGACCAAAAATATGTGCATACGTGTTCCACACAATGTTATTGATGAAAGTAAAAAATAGCAAAATTAAAGTTCCAATGGAAAAAATAGTTTATTAAATTGTGGAGCATTTATTAAACATATATGATATAAGTATTAAAAGTGAGTTTATGAAAATTATACAGGAACATGACTAAGTATGTCTTATGATATTAGGCAAAGAAATAGCTAAAATATTGCTGGTAAATTATGATTTTTCAACTATTTAAAAACACATGAGGCTGAATGAAACCAAGTGGAGGAAATCACACAACTTTACAATAGTAGTACTTTTGCAAGCATCCAATGTATTTTTCTCTATTATTTTATTCAACTTTGTTTATATTAAATAAATATTTTATTGGTTTTTGGTAATTCCATTGAGCCATGATTGATAATATATGTCTTACTATTAGGGAAACAAAATCATTATATCAAAAGAATGAAGGATAAAGGAAAATACATATGATAATAGTATCCTAAGAGTAGCAGCCAAACTAAGCGCATGACCCTCAGATTACAGAATTGAAAACAAAGTTGCACAGCACAAAAATAAAGCAGGGACATAAGCTTAAGTTATTTTGCCTATATGTTTTTACTGTCTTTCGTAAAGAAGAAAAAATTAAAACAAAAACTGGGCAAACATTCTGGGAAATGTACTCTATTCCCCAAACATGCACATGCATAAAAGGCCTTGGTTGTCATTTTGGTTTTAGAGTAAATAGAATGTGTGGGCTATTTAAAGAATGAAACAGTTCAGTGAACAACAACAAATTAGAATTTGTAAAGGATACCTAAGGGCATAGACAGCCTTTCACTGCAATTTTTATCTGTCTTTTTTCCAATGTCCTCCAACAGCTATAGATTAACACTGGGCTTAGACATCAAGTACTTTAATTTCTGTGCCACAATTCCTGTCTTTTATTCTGGCTGAATCTACTAACAACCTTGTCATAAAATTTTCTTATAATAATTGATGGTACAATCTTCTTTGTTTATCGTCTTTATCCCAATCTATAGCCATGTTTTCTATTAAGAAGGACAAATTATTATCGTACTCTAACTTTTATTTTTAACCAGAAAACACGATTTTTCTTTTCTTTTGGGAACTACATTTTGTTTCTATAGTAATAACAAGGATATTCAATATAAAAATATACATTTTTAATATCTGGTTGAGAGAACACCCAACAAATCTTCTCAGTTTTATGCTTTTAATGCTTTATTTTGAGAGCGTACAGACTTACTCCTGATTTACATACTTTTCTAGAGAGAGACAAGGTCTGCTTAGCCTTAGCAGAGATTCCAAAGAGCAGCAAATGTTTACCTTCTTTTTGTTGTCAGGTTATGTGTGTATGAATATATGTTATGAAGGGACCAAGGTGCTTGACCCCTGAAAGTTTGCTGAAAATCACTGTCGTGAGGCAGATTGATTAACAGGAGAAAAGGCACATAAATTTATTTAATTCTTATACATAAGAGCCTTTAGAAAGAAAGCCCGACCCCCAATAGGAAACTAACATACCATCTTGAGGCTACAGAAAGAATGCAGGCTCAAAGTATGGCTACGAACAGGTTATAGTGGTATATCAGGCTTTAATGGCAAGGCAGGTGATGGGAGAGGGGGAAGAGGAGGCATAGCTAGCAAAGGTGATCTGGTTACATAGATGAAACCTCACAGGTAGCAACCTTTAGAAAAAAATAGATGGTAATTATTATCATTATTATTATTTATTGTTATGCCACTGAAGTTATCAGATTCTCAGTTAATCTTTCTTAGATCTGGACGAGGGGAGACAACACTGCATTAATGGAGATTCTCTATAGATGTAAAATTTTCCCATTAAAAAATAGCTTTGCATGGGCCACTTTAGCCTGTTGCCCCTGTGACAACCATTTTAAATATGGCAAAAATTATATTTTAATTTTTAATTTTTTTCAGTTTCCTTTGAGTTTGCTGAAAATATTATATGAAATGATGGAGTAGTAGTCATCTGTATCTCCAGAAACTGAAATCTAAAAGAAGCCACTATGTTCACATCAACCACAAAACAATAAACTGGCAACTTCAGTGGATCAAATAAGAAGAAATTATGCAAGATAATCCATTTGAAACTTAGCATTATATCTTATTTGATATTTTCAAATGAAATAAAATTGTCCAGTATATTAAACATGTTTAACATGTACCTTACAATATATAATTCTTATATGTAAGTCATTGAAAGACATATTTTCATATTGTAAAGCCCTATAAATGGACTGTTTTTTTAAGTAGAAGACCCCCCAATGTTTAATTTCTCCAAAATGATCGAAGCTTATATGTTCACACATAAAGATATCTTCAAGTAGATACAACTGAAAACTGCATGTTTTATATACATTTTAATTGATAATTGTTTCTTGAACTGGAAATAAATTAATTTGCATTGGTGAAAATAAACAAAGAACAAACTCCCTGGTCTTTGAGGCCAGGTGAGACAACAGGCTTATAGAGCCTTTATCTGTGCCTTCCCTCATGATTCTCCCTTTTATGACAAACAACAGTTTTAAACAGCAAAAAACAAAAGAGTTAACAAAACAAAAAAAATAGCAAACTACTATGAGAAAGAATGGCCTGATTTCATCAAGGAGGGCAAACAAGTGGGAACCAACAACAAAACCCTTGTACCAAACCAAATAGTAAATAGTGGAGAATTCTAAGGTAAAGAGAGCAGGATTCCAAATTACCACACTGTCACTTACTCTGCAAGCTGAGAGCAGCAAGGCACAAGAGGCCTCCTGTGGGCAATACATCTGGTCCAAAGCTAGGGCTCCCAGAGACCGCTAGTACAGACTGAGTTTCAGTGGGACTTCCAAGATAACTGTGGAAATAATATACACCATGGTATACTAAGCAGCCCTAAAAAAAGCAAAAAACAAAAAACAAGAGCATGTCTTTTGCAGGGACATGGATGGAGCTGGAAGCCAATATCCTTAGCAAACTAACAAGGGAACAGAAAACCAATTACTGCATGTTCTCACTTATAAGAGAGCTGAATGATAAGAACACATGGACACATAGAGGGGAACAAGAGACACTGGAGTCTTTCAGAGGGTGGAGAGTGGGAGGACGAAGAAAATCAGGGAATATAACTAATGGGTACTAGGCTTAATACTTGGGTGATGAAATAATTGGTACAACAAACCCCCGTGACACATGTTTACCTATGTAACAAATCGGCACTTGTACCCCTAAACTTAAAGTTTAAAAAAAAAGTGAAGACCGACCAAACATAAACAAGAAAAGGCTATTTATTCAAAGATTGCTATAGCAAGAAAGTCAGCCACTATCATTTGCTTTTGGCAGAAACTAAAAGGCAAGCAAGAGTGGGCAACATTTATTGCAGGAAGAAAAAAACTAAAAGCTTGATGTATGCCCTGACTGGAGGCTGTCAATGTGAAGTTGTAGGCAGGCTAACTAGAACTGAGGCATTGTATGTGATTGGTTAGGGTTACCTATTTGGCCTTCTCTGGTTAAGTCTAAGATGGAAGCAGGAACAAAAATTAAGGAAGTTGTCAAGTATTGATTAAGCCTTGGGCATTTTGGACTGATTGTTAAAAAAGTTATTTAGATTTCTCCAAGGCTACTAAAAATAGAATTCTAATTTTCTAGATGTTAGACATAGCGGGCTCACTTCCTGGCAGGTTACTGGAGATAAGTGGTTGGTTTCCTGGGCAGTTACTGCAGACTGTAGGTCAGAGTTCTGTCTTTATATATGGTCTAGTTATTTTTCAGTTGTGTATTCATTCTCTCACATTGCTATAAATAGGAAGAATTTGCATCACTGTTAACCCTTTACAATGAATGTTAGCTCTAGCTAGATGCAAAAAAGCTAGATACTGAAAGGTGAAGACCCTTGTAGCATAAATTAATTTTTGAATTATACTCTAGACAACATCTAGGAATTTATTAAAAGCTATTTGTAATACCTTTGTCAATTTAAAAGTTTAAACTAATTTTTTAAGATGAATTATACACCTAACTTACATATAAAACCTATACCTGCTATACATGAAGTTAGAACATATATAATGTATTCCTACTTTGCATCTGTTTATATGTATATAGACGTATGTCTGTGGATAGATATATACATTGTTAACCATTACAATTTCTACTTTTTATTTGAAACCATAGTTTTAAAAGAGAAAATCAGCATGTACATTTTATATTTTTACTGATTTATTTTTTCTTACACTACTTTCTACCTATATCTTCAAGTTCATCATTCTGAATTTGGAAGAGAGGATGAAAAGAGATTTGAACCCTACCAGCTGGGTGCTTGTTGTTGTTAATATTTTTAATTTATTTATCAATTAAGAGTGAGTGTGTGTGTGTGTGTGTATTCTCATCTCTCTCTCTATAAATGTCTATACCCAATTTAGAGTGTATATATAAACATATAAATATACACTCTCAATTGAGTATATATATATATGTGTATATATATATATATATATATAAAATGTCAAATACATTTTCTTATAATTTTCTATTTTTTATGGTTTATTTTCATTATGGAATGCCAGAAGTAAAATGTATGCCACTGAGATTCAGGAAAAAAATGTACAATAGTAATTATGTAATGATAATGATAGCTCTCAGTTAAGAAAAGGCATATCCTGTGACTGTAATTACTGTCAGTCAATTTCATGTTTTTATTAGCTGACTTTATCCACACAAAATATAAGAACTATTATTACCATCTTTGCTTTACAAATGATATAATTAAGAGTTATAGAGATTTAGATTAACTTGCTATGGGTCACCCACTAATTATGGAGCCAGGATTTGAATGTAAGCATCTAGCTCTATAGTTTGTGCGCTTAACCATTCCGGCACACTACTCTTATAAATAAAGTAGTAAATACAGTACTATTTTCATGGACTTGTGTTTTACTTTGTTTTGTATTTAAAACTTTTTTGTGTTTATTAGTATAAAAAACAGAACTCGTAATTAAAACAATTTCAAAATAATGCATAATCACGCATAGATTCAAGATAAGAACTGTGATACCTACCACAATGATTCACATATAATTTATTCTGAAATCCTCAAAATACTGTCTCTTAGGAGGAGGCAGGATACAGTGAGAATATAGCATTTAGAGTAATAATGTAAATAATTAACCTTAATAAGACATTTACTATATACTAGTCTTTTTACCCAAATTTTTCTTTACTAGGCCTCACAGTAACCCAGATATAGTAGTATTGGTTTTTAGCTTCTAGATAAGGACTAAGGCAAAGAGAAGTTAAGTATAAAATAAATGAAGTCATGGAGCTGGTAATTAACAGAGACATGACTCAATCCAGGATTGATGCCAAAGCTTATACTTTCTAGTGAGATCTTGGGTTAATTTCAGCTCAGTCATATATACACATATATTCAATGACTGAAAAAGGAAATTGTTTTTCAGACTCAATTACACCCTATACTGTGAGATAATAATATCTATTTCAAAAGATATATTTAAAGTTTATACATTTTAATATTCTTTTTAAATAACAGAAATCCATAAATAGAAGACACAAATATTTATTAATATTCTTTGACACAGTAATTATTACAGAAAAATATTTATTTCATTTGATTTAAATTTTCTATGATGTTTCTTTATAGATTTATGTCAAAATAACAGAAATAATAACTAATGACCAAGATGGCCTTAACATTCCCCTCAGCTTGAACAAACTTTGGACTGGTTTCTTCCTCTTTAATTGGGGACTATATGTCCTTTACTTCTCTTTTCGTAGAGCATTTTTTTTTCAAAAACTTGAAATTGTGAATTCCTTCTCTGCCTCTTTAAAATATATATAAATCTTTCCCTAGTCTCTTGCCAGTTTTACAACCAAGAAAATGTCATTCCTGAGGACTTGAGAACCATCTCTTTGAAATGTAAATTTCTAAGGAGATGTGTCCCTATCTCCCAGTGTCTGTGGGAGGGGAGGATCCTAATTTTTAATAGATGCTAATTAGCAATCACAGAAGGCTAGTTACAGAGAAAAATATTTGCAAACGCAGAAATATCTCTAAGTGCCAGACATGTATACTGATCAACCACCTCCTGAATATGCCCAGGACTTTTGTACTAACTACCCAACTACTTAAAAATCCTGTCTGCCTTTTCCTTTTCAGGGGTGTTGAGTTCATTCTTTCTCACCTACAGCAACAGTGTCAGAATAAAATATACTTCTCTTTGCTTTTCTGGTGTGATTTTTCTTTTCCTTTAACACCTAGAAGGTACTTAATGTGATACTTACATATCTACCAGCTTTAATACAAGAATCTTTGTCTAATTTTAGTAAATACTATGAAATAAATCTTGAGAACAGATATATCTGCTGTGAGGATCATTGTTAAGGGGCTGGAGCCTCAATGTAGACATAAAAGCATGAGATTTTCTTTGCAGCACATTGTATTGTTGCATTTTAGGGCCCTTTGAGCAGTAACAATCTCTAAGCTGTTTTCTAGAGTGATTAAATAGTTAATAAAAGTTAGAAAAAAAAAGGCACGAAAGACCTCAGCAGCTCTTTTGCCCTTTGAAATACACTACTTATCTAAAAGCTATTAGCCTAATACTCTCCTCTAGTAAAAACTATAATTCATCCTCTAAAAGTAAAGGTATTATATTGGATCTGTAAAAGCTCTCTTCAACTTCATTCAAGATCCTAGATCTGATTTGATATAAAATGGTCTCTTTGCATGCACAGGGTGATAATACGAGGGACATGATATTACAACAATACCATTTTTCCTTTCTTCCCCATCAACCAACAATCAACAAATCTTCAATGCTAAAAGGACAGCAGTAAATTGCTCAATTACCTCCTGATTCTGTGCACTGATGTGAAGAAATCTGAGATGAGCATGCCCCTGACCTTATGAGGTTACTCCTTCACGAATTGTTAATGATTATCTTCATAGAGTGATAGTATCCCTGGGTCATCCATTTCATTTTTGTTAAATAGAAGCTAAAGTTCATGGACTAGCCAAACTCTGCTACCACAGAGGGCTCTCCAGGATGAAGAGTCACATTGTCAAAACCACACTTGAGAGCAGCAGTTAATTTTTCTTTTAAGATTCTCTATTTTCACAGATTTTTTTTTAATATTGCACAAGAACAAATGAAGAAAATGACTAAACACTAAACACTAATCCTGCTTTGGAATAATACTTTCTGTCATACTACAAAAGCAAATTATGGAATGATCACTAGGAAATCATTTCAAGACATAATTTTGGAGGAATATTTATTCTTTTCTAAAACAATTGATACATTTTATAATGTTTTAAATTGTCAAATTTGCTGACATTTGCTAAAAATATATGACTAATAAAGAATTACTTTAAAAGAGTGTCTTTTAGGTTTATATTTTCATTTTGATAATTTCATAAGATTATTAAATGTATAATAATATCAATGTTAAGCCTCTGCTATACCCCAATAGTAGATGTTTGTTATTATGCCATTGATAAACATCAATGTGTTAAGCATCTACTATATGCCAGTAGTTAGGCATAAATTACTTAATCTTCAACAACCATATAAGGGAAGTTAATATTACTATTACTCTTTCACCTGTGAGAAAATGGAATCATAGTAGATTTATATAATTTACCACAGGTTTTCCAGCTAGTGAGCTAAAGAGCTAGGTTTTGGAACTTACATGCCTCCATCTAACGGCAGCAGTGCTGCTTACGAAGCCTCTCCAGGAAAAACATGTGTTTTCGTAGCATTTCTATTTAATTTAAAAGAAGAGCATACTATCATTTCTTCCATTTCTTTTTTTTTTGTGTGTGGCTTTTCAATCAATGATTTCAATTTGTGTCCTTGGCTTTTCTATTAGCTTTGATGACTTGAAATATTTAATAATGGAAATATATATGCATAGATCATCTCTAATATAGTCTATCATATTGATTCATATGATGTATTTCATAAAGTATACAATATTGACTCTTTTATGAAAACATCTAAGTATTTACCCAGTGTTTGATAGTAATAACCTAGCAATGATCAGAATGGCATTAGAGGACGCAGTGTCTGGTCCCATCCCAAAGAGGACTGAAGAACCTTCTCTAACCCAGCAATGAATAGGAGAAGATGAATCCTTCAATGGTGACTATATATTTCTTAAACAAATTGTTTCTGAGGACAGAGACAAGCACGGCACACTTTTCCTGTGTTGGTGATACTCAGACATAAACATAACCAAAAAAGACAAGGTGACAACCATCAAAGCAATTGGCGAGTAAGGAAGCTGTTATGGCATGTGGGGTCCATAGAACAGCTTCTGCTATGATTTGGTAACATTCCTGACTGCGACTTACAGGGTTTGCTTAGGAGCTCCAAACTGGAAGTTATTATGGCACGGTATTCAGAGGGTATCTACTAATATACAATTTATTGTTCAAATTGAGATATCAGCGATATATAAAAGAATATAATATAAATAATTAGACAGGAATAACATAGTTAAACAGATACTCTTAGGGATATACCAGGTCAAATTATCTTCTAAACATTTTGAATTTGAAGTCACAAGACAATGAGTAAAACTTCAGTTCTACCATTATTACGTGAGAACTTAGACAAGTTACTGAAATAGTCTGTGTTAGATTCCTATACACACATGAAATGAAAATAACTTCACAGGATTGTTTTTGTGCAGGTAAAATGTGCTAATGTTTACATAGTGCCTAGTCCTAGGAACTGGGCAGTAGTTAAGGCCTCATTGTGTGTAGACTCATATTTCAAGGTTAATGAAGCCGACTTTACTGATGGTGAACCGATTTCACTATCCGTTCTGGTTAAAACTAGCTGTATAACCTTGAAAAACTATGCTGCCTCAGATTCATTATCGTAATATTGGAAAACAGTAGTAAATTAAGTGCAACCCCTCCCCCATCTTCCCACACAAACAGTTTAGTAGATTACCTTACCCATGGTAAATATTATATGGTTACTAATACTTGAAATTCCTTAAAATAGTTTCAGTGATTGCTTTTGTTCACTGGTCTTCTTTCAGTGTTTTGGTTACAAGAAAGAAAGAAGGAAGAATATAAAAATATCATAAAATAATGAACGATATTAATTAATTGTATTTTCAAATTATACTCTATATCCTACATTGTGCAAAACTATACAATTTTCTCTCTTCTGGTGTTCAAGAAAAGAAATATTTAGTAAAACACAAATATCTGATCTTATCTCTTCACAATTTTTAAATTATTACTTATGCAATGTTATTTCAAACCGTGAAAGGATATGGGAAGTCAGAGTGACATTTCTGAAACCAAAATTATGGTGTTTAAAGACCACCTAATTCTTTCCAGCTTGATTTTTATTTCTCTTGACAAATTGATTTAATATACAAATATTTCCTTACTTTTGATACAAATTTAGCCAAGGAAATTTACCTGTGAATACTGAGCCCTTTTTACATCATCTCAGATTTTAAAAATTTTAAACTCTTTACAAAAAAGAGAAAATGTTGGTAAGAGAAACATGACTAGCACTCACTTTAAACAGCACTGTATGTTTGAAGTGAGCACTAGCCATGTTTCTCTTAGGTATGTAGGTGCCTAGCTTAATAATGCATCAGTAATTAAAACCAAAGGTAAAGATCTATTTATAAAAGTGTTCATGTAAGCACATGAAACTGTGCAAAGCTTCATTAGACCTCATGTCAACAGAAATAAGATGACAATCTGGTATCGAAATTCCACATGTATAGGAATTTTAGCGCTGTTTTGTTCACTACAGAATTCCCAGCCACTAAAATTAGGCCTGGCACATTGTTAAATGAATACATTTTACCCAAAAAACATGCAAAAATTTAAATTTTTATAATATCAAATGTTAGCAAAACATATACAGCTGTTAGTAGCTTAAATTGATGTTGTCATATTGGTAGAAAACCATGCAGCCATTAAAATTAAAAATGCTCTCTATTAAAAAAATTATGATTCACTACCCTAAAGACCAATGTGCTCACCTATATAAGGATTATGTGTTCGATTCATGGTTTATTAAATGAAAAATACAGTAATAATTATTATTTCAAAATGGTAAATGTTTTTGCAGTTTTGAGATTCCATTGAACAATCCAATTTTAAGAAATTTAAGAGTCCTATAATAAAATTCTTAAACAGCTTAATTTGTTATAGAATAAATCATGATTACTTCAATTATGATGCTTGTTTATAAAGTAGTAATTTCTTCAGGAACATTCATTTTAGTGGAAAAAATATAATTGCTGAAGGCGTTGTCAATTCCGACAATTTTTTCCGCTCTTCAGATTAAACCTAAACAATAGCATACAGCATGCTTTAATCATTCTGCAATTAAACCGTGCATTTCCAACTCAAAGAACAGTTACAAGAAACCAAAAATTCCTCAGAGCAGTGCTAGTAAATTTGAGATAGACAGCTGTATTTCTCTCTATGTCTAAGGCTAGTTGTTCACTGGGTGGGATGCGTTTGTGTAGGGGGAGTGGGATTCTTCCCAATAATTTCTTCCTTTGCCTTTGAGATCCATTGCACTATGGAAAGTGGTTTTGTGGATAATACTTTGCACGTGTAGTGTAATATTTCACAAGGTGAAATAGACTGTGTTACTTTAGTTTTTACCCAATTTGTCTTTTCAAATAGAAATTTCCACTATAGGGAACAAAAACTTGAAATTTTGACCCTAATTTGAGACAATAATTTCTACTAAAATTTACAAATAAGAAAACTAACTGGCTCATCCTTTGATCATGTTGGGTTGTTCTAGGAAATCAAGGCAATACAATCTAAAAAGGATAAAGGTGCTTTCATTCCTTGTAAGAAAGGGCCAAGTATTGAATAAAGTCTATAGTCTGGCACACAAGTTTATAAAGTAATCATTTAACCCATTAGAAAAAAAAATTCAAAATATCTTTATATTAGCAATTGTTATTTTCTACAGTTAACAATATTACATGATTGAGGCACACCCCAACCATCCTAAAATAAGCATCTCTTTCAGGTATACAGATTAAAAAAAAAATTTTTTTTGGAAAGGTTTGCCGATTAACAATAATTTCTTTATCTATATGCCTGAAATAATGTATCTGCCCTTAGTAAATATTTATTTAAAAGCATCAATATAAATAGCTTTATAACAAAGGAAATATAGACAAATGATAGATACCTATAGGTAAATGGATTGATCAGTCCCTCATAATAAGATGAATATATTTAAATCCATAGCTTTATTTCCATAATAAAATGAAAATGTCTAGTAATAAAATATCAGTACAATGAAAAGAGGGTTTACTCAGCACGTTAAAGGAAAAAAATACATTTTTTTTCTGAATTGTGTTTCCCAAGGCCATGTTAATTTGGGGGACTTGTCAGCTTTACCAAATTGGGTTACATTATTTTTAATATATAGGATAAAGACAAGTAATTATAGATTATGTTCACAGTAAGTATCAGAGTTAGATGCTAGTGTGAGCTTTGGGTATCACGCCAGAGACCTAAAAATAAAAAAGCAGGGTCAATAAATTCTACTGCATAGTGGCCATCTCTGAATTTAGGAGATAACAGTGAACATGAGTCCTGATAATGGTATGCATTAGAAAAGCATTTGGGAGAAGAAAAAAATAGATTACTGAATAGATACATGAATATTTCCTGCCCTTAATTATATAACCTGAAAAATGAAGGATTTAGAGTAGATATTATTCAGTTTTCTGTAAATTCTAAAGTTCTACAAATTAAAATTTTAAGAAATCAAATGGTAAGAATTCTAAAAAAACTTATGAAATATAAAAATAAATAAAACATTATAATTTTATATACTTGAATGCAAAATAATGTTGTTTTTATTTAAATAACATAGCTATTGAAAACAAAATTACAAAATGTTTTATATAATATTATAATCACAAGACAGCTGAAAAGTTAAAAAGGAATAAACATGAATTCTAATTAAAATTATTTGTAGACATTTACAAAAACGCTTTAAGAGAATATAAAAGGAACATTATTTTATACTGCACTGTTAGAAAAATTCCATTTTCTGTGAGAATAAAGAACATGCAAGATCTTTGCTTTTATGTTAACAAGAAGTAACTCAATGAAATAAATGCCATATCTTTCTATGGGGCTAATGAAGGACATGAAATACAAGGAAGCTTCAAGGAATTAAATGACACAGAGAAAAACTATGTTCACATAAGATCAGAGAGTCCTGGAAGCAAGTGGACCATGGTGGGGGGAATTACCACGGATGGAGTAACTATACAGGGATGACCAAGACAAAATAGACTTTGAATCCCATCGTGGGCTTGTGACACTGATTGGAATCTAAAAAATACTCAAATTCAAGAGTAGATTTTTTGGCCCAATAACCCCCATCCCTACTGATATGGTTTGGCTGTGTCCCCACCCAAAATCTCATCTTGAATTGTAATACTCATAATCCCCACGTTGTCAAGGGCGGAACCAAGGATGGAAGTAATTGGATCGTGGGGGTTGTTTCCTCCATGCTGTTCTCATGATAGTAAGTGAGTTCTCAGAAGATCTGATGGTTTTACAAGCATCTGGCATTTGCCCTGCTTGCACTCACTCCATCCTGTCCTGCTGCCCTGTGAAGAAGGTGACCGCTTCTCCTTTACCTTCCGCCATGATGGTGAGTTTCCTGAGGCCTCCCCAGCAATGCAGAACTCTGAGTCAATTAAACCTCTTGCCTTTATAAATTACCCAATCTCACATATTTCTTCATAGCATGGACTAATACACCTACCAAGGCATTTTTCAAGGAAACTCTATTAATAGAGGAGCTAGTAAGGAGGGGATAAGTCCCAGTAAATTTCTCTCAGCTTAATTGCTAACAGTTATAAGGGCTCTGATTGGGAGGTGATATAAATACAAGGTAACTGTATACAATTAAATTTGAAACCCCAAGTCAGCTGAATGTGAATGTAACTGCGGAAGGAGTGTAAATGATCAGTAACCCCCTGCCCGTCCCTCAACACGTACCAATTATTACTCAGAGAATAAAAGGCCTAAACTTTTTGGAAAATAAATAAAGCAAAATTCGCCTTCATTTTCCAGTGAAATTCATATACGGTGTAAATAATGCAATGAAAATTGTGAAGAGATAGGGAATTTCAGGAGATATATGGAAAATTATAAAATATACACAGATGGTCCCTGATTTATGATCATTAGACTTGCAATTTATTGCTTCTATGATAGGTTATTGAGACATAATCCTATCATAAGTTGAGGGGCATCTATAGTCAAATATAAAATCTGAAATAAAAAATACAACGAATAGACATAATAACACATTAGATATTTAGAATAAAGAATTGATAAACTTGGAGATTAAAAAATTTCCAAATAGAAATTTTCCTAAGTAAAGCAGATATATATATATATAATAATATAATCTCTATATATACTATATATATTTTTACTGTGTACATATACACATACATAGTAAAGCAGATGTCTCTCTCTCTCTCCCTCTCCCTCTCTCTCTCTCTATCTCTATCTATGTATCTAGCTAGCTAGCTAGCTATCATCTGTCAGCATGAGCATCCTTCTCTTGTACCAGCTCTCAAGGGGAATAGTTCCAGCTTTTACGCATACACTGTGATGTTGGCTGTAGGTTTACCATATATGGCACCTATTATTTTGAGATATGTTTTTTCAGTACCTAGTTTATTGGATTTTTAACATGAAAGGATGGTGACAAAATTGTCAAAAGCCTTTTCTGAGTCTATTAAGATAATTATGTGTTTTTTGTTTTTAGTTTGTTTATGTGATGAATCACAGTTATTGATTTGTGTATATAGAACTAACCTTGCATCCCAGGAATAAAGCCTTCTTGATCACGGGGGATTAGCTTTTAGATGTCCTGCTGGATTCTATTTGCTAGTATTTTGTTGATCAACATTTTAAAGTAGTTTATGGCAAATATGAAGCTTATGGGAAAAGATTGAAGGAAATATCAACTAGCCTCTACCAATTTTTGTTTTGTTTTATCCAAATAGGGGGGAAAAACAAATTGGTAAAAACATTGTTGTATCTTTCCAAAGAGTCATATACACAAACAAAATTTAAATCAGAGCCTAACAGCAAAGAATAAGGACCAGCCACAGGACAGGAAGCAGGAAAACATCAAACCTGAAAGGAAGGGCAAACTAAGTAATGTGGGAATTTTGCCACAGCTAGTCACTTTTATTGGTGAGGGAGTTAACATAGAGATGAGGACAATTCCCCAACTACCTTCAGGGAAATAAAACATGGGAACTAGAATGACTTAGTGAAGCTGTGGATTTCTGTGATGTACTTGGCTTCTCAGAAAATCCTTCCCTAAGTGTTGGTATCAGATGAGTGCCAAAGGGGTACAAGTGGGGCACCAACAGCATTTCCTATGCCATGTTTCTAAAATATTTGAATGGGTCATTATTTATTATGTTTAAACTTGAGGGAACTCTTTTAACAAAACTCCTCTTTTACCTACTAGTTTGGACTAATTGAAAAGTAATACATAAATAATTAAACACCTCTTAAAATGGATATTTGTAAGTGTGGCTTATTAATAAGATCAAGTCATCTTCTGAATATCAGAATTGATGAATATAGATGTCTATTCAAACTGGTTGAATACTCTTCTCTTAATACAGAAAGGCCTTATTTTTGAGCTCATCTGATTAAGTATTGAAAGAAAGCAAATTTTCCAGCATTATCAGCTTCTAAAGACTAAAGGGGCTGTGTGATGCATTCCTGATTTCTGTGCCAACCTCATCAATAACATAGGTCACTCCAACAAAGGAGATGAAGAAGGATTTTTCCCCATAATCTCACTTCCAGCTGTGACAAAAACTCTGAAATTTACCAGCATTGATTGCAACAATTATAACTTTTAACTGACTGTATCTTTAGTTTTTAGACAGCACATGTAACCTAGTAGATGGTCAATATATTTAATCCTGTCACTTTATTTCGCCTTCAAGATGGTGACATTTCCCATGTCTGTGTTGCCTTGACAGATGAACTTCTTACCCTTTGACTAGATCTTCAAGCTAATAACCATTTACACATTTAATACAATAGTTAGTTAAGCATCTTTATTTTAGTCTCTCAGACTCACCAATGTTTTATATGAATCTACATGAAAATAAGAAGTAAGTGAATCTATTATTTTTTTAACAGAACAATGATGTCAGTTTTAGGTTACCTTCTCTTTTGATCTTCCACTTATGTTGCAAAATGGCTGCAACATATCCAATCCACATTTCTATGAATCAGCATTTCTAAATACTGAAATGGACAGAAAAGGACTCTATTTTGCATTATTTTCTTTTATCAAAGATTAAATTTTTTTTAGAAATATGATCTATGACACTAACACTTTCTCATTATTCACACTGGCCAAGATTTAATCATGTATCTGTTATTCTGGCTGCAGAGATAGCTGAAAAAATACGTGCCTGGCATTTTCATAATATAGTGGAAGGCAGTCTCCACTATATTATGAAAGGAAAAAGTGTGGGAAGAGGGCTCTTTTTAAAGCAAACCACAATGCCTGTCACTGTCACTGTCTATGTCTATTTTGTTTGTTAAAACATTTACCTACAAGGGTACTTTTTGCCCCTAAAAATATCAAATATGTATGTGCGTGTGTGTGTGTGTGTGTACATATATATATGTATGTATCAAGCACACATATACATATACATTTGTAACATATCTAGAAATACAAAAAATAAGGAAACATCATTTAACGATGTCTGTCATTAGTGAGAAATGTGATATGGCATGAAAAGTACAATGCAAAAAGAGCCCTATATATTTTATTTGGGGACAGAGTCAACAGGAACGTTCTTAAGTGACCCTTTGGAGAAAGCATTAATTAAAAAAAAATCTGACCAGAGATTTCTCCCTTTCCATGAAGAAGCCTGCAGGTTTCTGGTGTTCTGTGAGTCAACTGTCTAGTAGGTCCCAGAAGGATTAGTATATTTTCAGAAAAAGCAGAGCCCCATAAAAAATGAAACATCAAATGTCTGAGAGTAGTCATTAGATATTTAGAGAACGTAACACAAAAAAGATATAAATGCCACTTACTAAGTCTTTATGAATAGTGCTTGAGTTGGCATTCATAGGAAACACCCTTATTACCAAATACATTGGGGTTTTATATGCTTTTGGAAACTACATAATAAATGAACTATATATACAAACAACATTTATTCCTGAACTTTCTCTTATCCCATTAACAAATCAACTGTGCAGTTACTTTAAATAGTATTTTTCCTACTCTTTCTATTTTGTGTTAAGTGTCTCCAAGACCACCCTTAGGTTTACTAATGCTCTAGAATAATTCACTGGACTTAGAAAAATTATTATATTTATGGCTATGTTTTATTACATTGGAGGGATACACATTAAAATTAGCAAAAGAAAAGATCCACGTTCTGAATTTCAGGAAAAACCAAGCACAAGCTTTCAGTTGTCCATTCACAATGAAGTCTCACAGATGCACTTCATTTTCTTATCAAGGATGCATGACAAGAAATGTGAAGTGTTTCCAACATGGGAAGCTTGTTTGAGCTTTGAGCCAAGGGCCTGTCCTGAAGATAGCCCTTTCTGGGGTATGTGCAGGATTTGAGCGACCCAGTCCTGTTGAATTAACCCTGTTCTTCACTGTACATCCTCCTATCCCATGGTCTATGTTCTCTTAGAGCAAGATGATCAAGTTTCTAAGCTTATATTTATTTTGGCATTTATATAACAGATTCAGAGATAATACCAGCATGAATTTATGGAGTAGTCAGTGTGGGGTAGAGACAGGTAAAGAAACAACTAATCCATGCTACAAAGTCATTACATGTATTTTCATATTTTGGTACAAATTTGATTACTTGTTTCTCTTCTTTCATCTACAGTTACTTATTCTTTGAGATAACTTTATGCAGAACTATTAGGCATAAAAAATTACTAATGGTTACCTAACTCCAGTTTTTCCTCAGTCCAGTCATTTTCTGTCAGTATCCTGAAAGGCTTTTTAAGTCGATCTCCCAATACATTTGATCATCCATATCAGTATTATCATATGAATATATAAATAAAGTACTTGAATCTTATCAATAATGTCATGTAATACAATATGGAAGTATGCTCATGATAAGTTTAAATTGCATTACAGAACAAATCAGTAAGGTTTGCAGAGGTATTTGTTATGTCTTCCCCCCAAAATAGACTTTTGTTCATGTACCAGATATTATTGTGGATAGACATCATTACAATTGACCATGGTTCAATTATTTGTGGATTCTAAGTCAGTTGGAGACAAAGTCAGCTGCGTTTAGCTGTCTATGTTCCTCATTTTGTTGAGGGTCTCCTCAATTCACATCACACTTAGCACCTCTCTGCCATCCACCAAGCAAATTATGAGGTTTATTTTCTATCCTCACCTCTCCTTACCATCACCCAATATAACTTGCTTAATACTGCCACTTTACTTGCCCTTCAAGATGATGGCATTTCCCACGACTGTGTTGCCTTGATGGATCAACTTCTTACCCTTTGACTAGATCTTCAAGAGACTCTCTTGCCAAAATGGATTATAATTGGTTAAATGATGGGTCATACCCGAAGAGAAAGCAATGGCAAATACCAAGCAGGATATGCAATTGCCTCCCTTAGTGAGGTTAGAACCTGATCTCATTCCTTATACCAGGTCCATGCAACAGGCAGAACTGGATGCTCTTACTAGAGCATGTCTTTTAGTCAAGGATAAAATGGCCAGTATTTATATTAACAGCAGCTCATGACTTTGGTGTGTTCTCAAAATAAAGAGGTTTCCTTATTTGATCTGGGCAGAGAATAGAAAACAAAAACCCCAAATTGATGCTTCTCAATGTTATTCCAGCTCCAATATCTTCAGCTATTATATAAGTTCAGGAATATTTTTTACCCCAAAATGTAGAAATACAAAAAAATAAATTAGCCAATACTCCCACCAAGTCAGCAGTGGCCCCCAAAATGATATAGATCTTAGTAATCAGAACTAAACCCTCACCTATTTCTGCTTTGCCTTTATTTCTCCAGTTTTATTAAGGATTGGCCAAAGCCTAGGCTCTCACCCCAAAGGAAGAGTGGGATAAATTGGTTCAACAAGGTTGTTCTTTTGGTTTTTCTCATGCCTCCGTACAGACCCCAATTATTACCCCATTTTTTTCTAATAGGCTGCAGAAGGAAATTTTAACTTTTATCCATGACTTGACCCATTGAAACACGGATGAAATGGTTCAATGTGGTAAGCAATATTATTGAGGTTCCTCTCCCACCACTACCCACCAGGTATAACAACTGTGTAAAATTTCTTCATAATACAATCCTGGAAAACCATCGCATGCCTCCCTGGGCCACGTCCCTTTATCAAATGGACCTTTTGAGGTATGTCAACCAGATTTTATTTAGTGGTTCACCTCTTGAGGATACCAGTATGTACTGGTTATGGTTTGCCTGTTTTTGCATTGGATTGAAGCCTTTCTTTGTCAATAGACCACAGCCATGACAGTTTCCAATAGGCAAGCCCCTACTGCAAAAGAATTATACTGACTTTGGGAGTTCCTTGAGGGCTTCAGCGTGATTAAGGAGCTCATTTTACAACACAAATTATTCAAAACGTTTGTAAAATTTGACCTATTTATCAACATTTCCATTATGCTTATCACCCTTAGTTCTCTGGGCTTTTGGAACAGAACAAAGAAATAATAAAAGCATGACAAAGGTTTGCACAACATTTATCCTGCTATGACCCAAAGCTCTTCCTTTATCTCTCCTTAACTTTCATGCCACTTCTGTAGGAAAACATAAGTTATCTCCTTTCAAACTCATTTCTGGCATCTAGATGAAAGACTTTACCAGCCAGTGCTCATCAAACAAGATATACATTACTTCAAGGAGCTGATTAATATCCTACAACATAACACTAACCTTGTCAAAGATTCCTTCAACAGTATTCTCTCTGGGAACAGAGAATGTCCTATAAAACCTCAGGCCTGGTTGGGCACGGTGGCTCACGCCTGTAATCCCAGCACTTTGGGATGCCGAGGCGGGCAGATCACGAGGTCAGGAGATCGAGACCATCCTGGCTAACACGGTGAAACCCCGTCTCTACTAAAAATACAAAAAATTAGCCAGGCTTGGTGGCGGATGCCTATAGTCCCAGCTACTCGGGAGGCTGAGGCAGGAGAATGGCGTGAACCTGGGAGGTGGAGCTTGCGGTAAGCCTAGATCTTGCCACTGCACTCCAGCCTGGGCAACAGAGCAAAACTCCGTTTCAAAAACAAACAAAACAAAACAAAAACAAACAAACAAAACCTCAGGCCTGGGGACTTTGTGTAATGGAAAAGGAACCAACTTAAAAATTCCCTTCAGCACCTTGCTAGTGGAGACTCTGTCAGGTACTTTTAGCCAATCCATGTGCTGCTAAGTTACAAGGCATTGACTCATGGATTTTTATCTCTTATTTAGAAAAGGCTCCTGATTCCTCCACCAAATTAGTCTCTGAAAATGTCACCAACACCAAGCTCAAGTTAATCAAAGTATAGTCACTCCAATGGGATAAAGATGACATATGAGGTGGACTACTTTTTCCCAAGATACCAGACTAGACCTGTATAACCTCTTCCCTGTTTTAGACAAACAGGCCTAGCCCTTAGGTTTACTTTATAATTGTTTTTATTATTATAGCTTTGAGAATCTTATGTGCCCTGAAAATCTTACATCAAACAAGAGTAGTTCCACGTACTTCAATATTTAGACATGTATAAGTTTTTATAAAATGATGGGACTCATTGACTAGATGAACTCCTTATAATACCCTTTTCCTATATCATACTGTATTTCTTCCTCTTCCTTTCTTTACTCCCCTTGCCATGTCTTCCTGTTCATGGGGGAGATAATGCCTTGATAGACCTCTCTCAGTCTCTTGCATCTGCAGGCAACCTAACTGAATGCTCGATATGTTGCCTTTCCCCAGCCGGATCCATTGGCAGAACAAATAATCCTGTAATAATCCCAATTACTGACTTTACTAATGTGCCTAATTGCTCAGTATCCCTATTTGAGTCAACGGTTGTTGCCCATTGGTGTACAATCTTTTTAATGCACTGTTAAATTTGGTTTGCTATTTCACTGAGGATTTTTGCACCTATGCTCATCAGGAATACAGACTGGTAGTTTTCTTTCCTTGTAGTTTTCTTGTCTAGCTTTTGCAACGAAGTAATGCTGACCTCAAAAACTTAGTTTGGAGGCTAGCACTTTGGGAGGCCAAGGAGAGCAGATCACAAGTTCAGGAGTTTGAGACCAGCCTGGTCAATATGATGAAACCCCATTTCTACCAAAAATACAAAAAAATGGCCAGGCTTGGTGGCACGTGCCTATAGTCCCAGCTACTTGGGACGCTGGGGCAGAAGAAGTGCTTGAACCAGGGAGGCGGAGTTTGCAGTGAGCTGAAATTGCGCCACTGCACTCCAGCCCGGGGAACAATGCAAGACATGGTCTCAAAAAAAAAAAAAAAAAAAAAGTTTGGAAATGTTTCGTTTTTAAAAATTATTTGGTATATTTTGAAGGATTAGTATTAATTCTTTAAATATTTGGTAGTATTCCCCTTTAAAGCCTTCTGGTTCTTGCCATTTCTTTGTTGGGAAGTTATTTTATTACTGATTTAATCTCTTTATTCATCATTGAACCGTTCAAATTTTCTATATCTTTCATGACTCACTCTTGGTAGGTTGTAAGGTTCTAGAAATGTATCTATTTCTTCACGCCCTTTATTGATTTCTAGTTATTAAGTAAAGTTTATCTACCTTGGTTGATCAGAACTGAAAAAATATCCCTCGTGTGTGATTCTGCTTATTTTTCCACTTATAGTTTTGCAGTATCAGCTTTCACTCCAATAGTTGTTCTTGCTTACCTTCATAGGATCTCTCCACTTATAGTTTTGCAGTATCAGCTTTCACTCCAATAGTTGTTCTTGCTTACCTTCATAGGATCTCATGCTGTGAATGAGGAGTTTAGTCCTCAGCCAAAAAAATCTCAGGTGTAGTCTTATGTATATTTCTGGAGCTACTTTGTTTCCTCTCTGTGGTTCTCTATTTTACACATTCAAGCTACCTCAGCCTCTCCCAACAACAATCTCCATCTCCTCCATTCAGGAAGGTTGTAATAGTCTACTTGCTTTTCCACTTCTTGTGCCTGCACCATGCTCTGGAAAGTGTCTCTATGCAGTAAGTGACATGACTGCAGAACTCATCTTCTTTCCATTTTCATAGATAACTGTTTTGCTCTGTTGTTTAAAGTCAAAAATATTGTTTTTATTTATTTATTTTTATTTTAGGTTATCTTGTTGTTTACTGGGTAGAGAAAGTCCTGTAGCAGTTATGCCATTATGAACAAAATTAGAATTACTTTCTTATTATTTTTAATGATAATACTTAGCATTTTGTTTTATATTATGACCCTTCCAGTATTTTCTAGTGTAGTATTCAGTGAAAATTCTCACAGTATTTCTGTTGTATTTCAATGATATCTTCAGTAAGATGTGGTGCCTCACAGAATGTTCACATGTATTATCTGAAAATTTGTTGCCAATGGATTCCAAATATAAAGGTAGAATTGTCTGTATATTTTCTGTTACGTGCTTACAGATTAACTCTTAAGTCATTGTTATTTGATAAATAAAATGTATAACAAACTGTTTTATCATTTCCAGCTCATGTAAAAATTTTGAGCTTCAAAACATACTTGCATTTATTACTAACTGGCAGATTATGCCAAAGCCTGAGTTGTGATGACATCAATTAAAAGTAAAATGAAATAGACAATATTTCAAAGTGAGGATGATGGCTTTGCAAAACAGACGACTATACTGTATTCATTTATATAATAATGATTTTTAAAGTGCACTTTTAGTGACATACTTCTAGTCATTTCTGAATTTCAATTGACACTAATCTAATCTACTGATTATTTTGAAAGGAAGACTGATTTTACTTCTTAAGCAATAGGAGTAGTTAATCATCCTGCAGCAATGAAGCATAGATTTGTAAAGGATTTTCTGTTTTTTTTTTCTTCCAAGAGAGCTTGCAGTTGCACACATATAACAACAGGAAAATGCCCACTGAAATATTTATTTGAATAAATGTCACAAACACAGTAAAATTTATCAGGAAGTAAATGACTGTATTTCAAGTAGTATCATTGATTTTGTAATGAAATAGAAGTATTAAAGATTTTCAAAGTAGAACTGTTCTAAGCATATTCTCTTCATCTCTTAGTAGGAATTACCCAACATTTTTGGAGTGCATTCCCTGATATGACAATATGAATAAAACAAATTATATAATTCCCTCAAAACTTCCAGAACTGAAAATATGAATTAGAGCATAAGATTTAAGGCCTATAAATAAATAGGCCTAGAAAACCTAGAAGGACTAGAATGGATAGAGTAGAATAGAATAGAAGAGAAAGCACAGAATGAATACCTGGACAGAAAGACACGAAAAACTAATTATTTAAGAACATTTCAGAGAACTGGAGAAAAGCACAGTTCTATGATCAAAGTTGAGTGCTAATAGAAGATCAAGAAAAAAATAGGATTAAGTTTCAGAATGCTAAAGATTAAAAAAAAACACTAAAAGCCCTCTTTCAAAAATAGAGTAGGAATAACAAATGAAAACTAAGAGTTTCTTGACAAACTTTCTAACATATTTCTTGATTATTGGAATATTTTGTTATGCTTCTTTTTTCATTTTAATATTCGTTTTACTTTTTTTCCCTGACAAATACATTTTTTGTAGCATTTTCAATACAATTACTAACTAAATACAAAGTTATCCTGGATCATTTCACAAAGGCTATTTATTTGATTTCTTTAGCTGCTTTACATAAAACCCAGAGCTTTCAGGAGTTTCACTGAAAGAGACAGACGCTCCAGTCTTCCTCAGCAAAACTGCGTAATGCTTTAGAAACAGATAATTAAACGTTGTATTCTTTGCTTTCACTGCTCAAACAGGGCTTTAGCAGAAGTGACATTATTGTTTAAGACATAACATTGTATGGAATGGTATAATTCTTTGTCTTCAGCTAATTCAAATTTCCATTCTAATAAAATCTCACAGTTGGCACCTTTCCTGTTCTCTAAGATTAATCTCTGATAGGGAACACTGGCAGAACTTGGTGTTTCAGCAACTGCATGACATGGCTGTAGGAAGGCTCTCATATCTTCCAAGTTGCCAATTCTACAAACTGAAAGAAAACATCCATGCTAGGTTTGTAAACTGCAAATAAATTTGCCGGTCTCTCTGCCATGATGCTTATCTTAGCAATTGCTAATTCTCAGTACTCTTCTATGATATTTAAAATACACACTGTGAAATTACTGCCAGTCCACGGTTAGATTGCCTGAAGTATTCTATTATTCTTTACTTCTGCAGAAGCAATGTGACTGAAGAAAACTATATAAAACTAGATAAAGCTTAGTTCATTTACCATCTTTTGAGTTTATATATACTTTCTATAGACTCAAGGCACATGTCTGAATAACACATGTTAATGCTATTTTAGAAATAAGTTTCTTTCAGCATTGTAAGAGTTTTTCACAATGTCTTTAGCTCTAGGTTCCATTGTTATTAATTAATTAATTTTTTTTTTTTTTTGAGACAGAGTCTCGCTCTTTCGCCCAGGCCGGACTGCAGTGGCGCTATCTCGGCTCACTGAAAGCTCCGCCTCCCGGGTTCATGCCATTCTCCTGCCTCAGCCTCCTGAGTAGCTGGGATTACAGGTGCCCGCCACCGCGCTGGGCTAATTTTTTGTGTTTCAGTAGAGACAGGGTTTCACCGTGTTAGGCAAGATGGTCTCGATCTCCTGACCTCGTGATCCGCCCACCTTGGCCTCCCAAAGTGCTGGGATTACAGGCGTGAGCCACCGTGCCCGGCCCATTGTTATTAATTTTAAAATGGGTTCCCAATAAAATTATTTATTTCAAATATAAAATGGTTTAGTACAGCCTATTAAAATAATCATGAGTTATTTGTAGTTATTAGTTTCTATTGTAATAGCATATTGATTAGAATATAATCTAGTTCAGGTGTGATGGCTCAGCCTGTAAATCTCAGCGCTATGGGAGGTTGAGGTGAGAGGATTGCTTGAACCCAGGAGTTCAAGAGCAGTATAACAGAGTGACACCTTGTATCTACTAAAAATTAAAAAAATTAGCTGGGCACAGTGGTGTTCACCTTTACTTCAGGCTACTCAGAAGGCTGATGCGGGAGAATCTCTTGAGCCTAGAAGGTCAATGTTGCAGTGAGCATGATTACACCACTGCTCTTCAGCCTGGGTAACAGAGTGGGAACCTGTTCTAAAAAAAAAAAACAAACAAAAAAATCATATAAATAATCTATGCAAATTATAATTTTAAAATTATAAAATTGAATTTTTGATATTATCAATTATTTTATAATGATTGGATAATCTGAAAGAAAATAAACTTATTTGGTATCCAGATTTACATTTTTATAAATTAAATTAAACTTGTTAAATTTTATTGCATAAGCTTCTATAATTTTCTTCAATTTTATTAAATGAGGAAGTGAAAATCTGAAATTAATATATTAAGTTAACCACCCTTAATTTTATTCAGCTAATTCAACAAAAATTATTCATTTTTTTGTGTTAATTTGTTTTCTAATTCTTAATCTTTTTTGAATAGATATTTTTCAACTATGAAACCTCAGTGTTCTTTCATCTTAATTATTTTCTTCCTTAAAATAGTTAAAAATATTTGAAAGCAAAATTTCAATATTTTCCATAGGTTTCTATTATATCTGACTTGTTTAATACCTGTTTTTCAGTTTCAATATTTATAGTTTGTGTTTTCTTGTTATAATGCTTTTTTAACAATTTATCACTTCGGGAGTCATTTTGTGTGTTTTGTCATTTTGGTCTCCCAAAGTGCTGGATGAGAGGTACGAGCCACCATACCCTGGCCCAGAATTAGCCTATACTACTTATTTCATTTTAATCTTTTATTACATTCAATAATTGATTATAAATTTTTATTTATACTTTTTTAACATTTTTATATTTATAAATTTAGGTGGTACAAATACAGCTTTGTTCCACAGATATATTATGTATTAGTGAAACCTGGGCTTTTAGTGTACACATCACCCAAATGGTGAACATTGTACCTAATAGGTAATTTTTCAACCCTTGCCTTCCGCCTAGCCTCCCCCATTTCAGAGTCCCAAGACTATTTCACTCTATATGACTATGTGCACTCATTATTTAGCTCCTATTTATATGTAAGAACATGTGGTATTTGAATTTCTGTTTCTTAGTTATTTTATTTAGGATAATGACTTCCAGCTCTACCAGTATTGCTACAAATGACGTGATGTCATTTTTATATGACTGCATGATATTCCATAGCGTGTATATGTGTGTGTCTGTGTGTATATGTCTGTGTATATATATACACACACACATACATATATATAATATACCCACATATGGGATATATATATACACAAACACACATATACATAGAATATATATATGGAGTATATATGTGTACATATTTATCTCTCATATATACATATGCATGTATCTCATATATA
Organism: Homo sapiens; assembly: GCF_000001405.40. Taxonomy (NCBI): domain Eukaryota; kingdom Metazoa; phylum Chordata; class Mammalia; order Primates; family Hominidae; genus Homo; species Homo sapiens. Next base: position 42,606,814 of record NC_000014.9, on the reverse strand, counting down.
TGTATATATAATATATACATATGCATATATCTCATATATATGTGTATATATAATATATACATATGCATATATCTCATATATATGTGTATATATAATATATACATATGCATATACCTCATATATATGTGTATATATAATATATACATATGCATATATCTCATATATATGTGTATATATAATATATACATATGCATATATCTCATATATATGTGTATATATAATATATACATACCATATTTTCTTTAATTATCCATTGATGGACACATAGGTTGATTCCATGACTTTGCTATTATAAGCTGCAATAAATATGAGTACCAATTTTTTTTGATATAATAATTTCTTTTCCTTTGGGTAGCTACCCAGGAGTGGGATTCCTGGATTGAATGGTAGTTCTATTTTTATTCCATGAAAAATCTATACTGTTTTTCATAGAAGTGATAGTAATTTAAATTCCTAACAAAAGTGTATAAGTGTTCCCTTTTCTCTGTAGCCTTGCCAATATCTGCTGTTTTTAACTATTTTTTTTTTCTTTTTTGAGACAGAATCTCATTCTGATGCCCAGTGCAGTGCACTGGCTTGATCTCAGCTCACTGCGACCTCTGCCTCCCAGGTTCAAGCAACTCTCATGCCTCAGCTTCCTGGGTAGCTGGGACTACAGGCATGCACCAACACGCCTGGCTAATTTTGGTATTTTTAGTAGACATGGGTTTTGCCATGTTGACCAGGCTGGTCTTGAACTTCTGGCCTGATGTGATCCACTGGTCTCAGCCCCCCAAAGTGCTGGGATGACGACCATGAGCCACTGTTACCAGCCTTAACCTTTTAAGTAATAGCCATTCTGATTGGTGTGAGATATCACATTGTGTTTTAATTTTGCAAATCTGTGATTATTAATGACGTTCAGCATTTTTCCATATGTTTGTTGGCTGCTGTATGATTCTTTAGAAAATGTCTGTTAATAGCCTTTTCCCACTTTTTAATAGGGTTGTTTTTGTTTTTTCTTATTGTTTGAATTCCTTGTAGATTGTTGATATTGTCTTTTGTGAGATGCATAGTTGGCATATATTTTCTCCCATTCTGTAGGTTATATGTTTACTCCATTGGTTATTTCTTTTGCTGGGCAGAAGCTTTTTAGTTTAAGTAAGTCTCCTTTGTCTATTTTTGTTTCTGTTGCATTTGTTTTTGAAGACTTTGTCATAATTTTTTCTGCCTAGGCCAATACCCAGAAGAGATTTTTTCCAGGTTTTCTTATAGAATTCTTATAATTTCAGTTCTTACGTTTAGGTATTTAATCAATCTTAGTTAATTTCTGTATATGGTGAGAGATATGGGTCCACTTCATTTTTCTGCATATGGCTATCCAGTTTTCCCACCACCATTTAGTGTAAAGGATGCTCTTTCCCCAGTGTACATTTTTGTCGACTTTGTCAGAGATTATTTGGTTGTACATACGTAGCTTTATTTCTGGTTTTGCTCCATTATGTTCCATTGATCTATGTGTCTACTTTTGTACCAGTAACAGTTTTGGTTACTATAGGCTGGTAGTATAATGTAAAGTCAGGTATTGTTATGTTTCCAATTTTATTCTTCTTGCTCAGGATTGCTTTGATTATTTTGGGCTTTTTTTTTTTGGTTCCATAGAAATTTAATATTCTTTTTTTAATTTTGTGAAAAAATGTCAATGGTAATTTAATAGAAATTGCATTGAATCTGTAGATTGCTTTGAAAAATATGGTCACTTTTAATAATACTGATTCTTTTAATCTATGAGCATGGAATGTTTTCCATTTGTTTGTGTCATCTGCAATTTTTTCATCAGTGCTTTATAGTTTGCCTTGTAGAGATCTTTCATCTTCTTTGTTAAATGTATTTCTAGGTATTTAACTTTTTTGTAGCTATGACATTTAGATTTTGACATCTTTTTATGATTTCTAATATATGGCATGTTTTCTCTGCTAAAGCTATATCTAGCGTTTTAAAAATTATGTATTTGGCTTTTTTCTATTAGTGTTCACATCCAAGTTTTAAAGCATTTGTTAAAACATTTCTTAATTTTAGAATTAACATTGTAGTAGTAACTTTTGGATTGTACTGTGTACAGCACTATAAGCACTATAATTAACAAAACTTTTACTTTATCTTCTCATCTCTTAAATCAACTTCTGTATCTTTTTAATGGTGTTATATATTCTTGTTCTTACTTTATTATTTTATACCTTCCTTATTTTCTCTTTCCAAAGTGGTTGTTGATATTTATGTACAGTATTATAATAAAATATGCAAATATAATTTAAAATTTTCTAAAATTTTCTTTATTATGAACTGGCTCCAGTGTTGACTTTCAATCTTCTTATTCTATGTCTTTCCAATGTTTTATTGTATTTCATTTCAGGTTTGAGCATATCTTGAAGCAATTTTATATGAAAATATACATATAGTTGCTGAGTTCCCAACTATTAAAATGTTTAGATGTTATTTCATATTTGAAATTTGTTTTGAATAATTTAGACCTTTTGTTGTCATAAATTTATGTTACTATAATTTAGACTTTACATTGGCATAAATTGTCAACTTGAGTTGATAAATCTTAACTATAATCTAACCTAAAATTAGAGACTTGCTTAATTTTAGTTACAAGTCAAAACAAGTTGACATAATTAATGTAGAAATTATAAGAAGTTTAAATTATGACTGATAAAACCAAAATGTCTAATTCAATTATGTTAAAATTATTTTTAGATAGTGATAATGTTAGGGAGAGGACAAAGTATATTTTGAAAATTAACATATGGCCACTTTAATTTTTCCAAAGAGACATCTAACCGTTAAAAATATATAAATTATTTTTAAAATATACATACATTTCTGTATTGATATACTTAAAAAGTCTAACTCTTCAGTGCGTACCAAAAGTTTGAAGTATTTATTTTTTCTTACCTAAGAACCGAAACTGTTAACTTAGAAATGATTTTTTTCTCTGTTCCAGTTTTGCAAGAAAAAAGATCCAATAAAGCACAAAATATTTACTTTAAAAAAATTAGTAAGAATTTAACTGTACTAAATATTCCTAGAATGTACACATTAAAAAAAAAAGTAAGAGTGAAAAAGACGGGATTTGTATTCTGGTCAGAGCCCTGTTGACCAAAACAGAATCTGGTCTAGACACGATAAAGTGAAGAAACTGACCCAAACCAGCAGATGGTGATCAAAGTGATTCTTAGCTGCCCTCATTGCTCATTAGCATAAGACACTCCGCTGGTGCCATGACAGTTTACAAATGCCATGGCCGTGACCCAGAAGTCACCACCTCTTTCTTTCACGTATGTTTACTGCGGCACTATTCACAATAGCAAAGACTTGGAACCAACCCAAGTGTCCATCAATGATAGACTGGATTAAGAAAATGTGGCACATATACACCATGGAATACTATGCAGCCACAAAAAAGGATGAGTTCATGTCCTTTGTAGGGACATGGATAAAGCTGGAAACCATCATTCTGAGCAAACTATCGCAAGGACAAAAAAACCAAACACCGCATGTTCTCATTCATAGGTGGGAATTGAACAATGAGAACACATGGACACAAGAAGGGGAACATCACACACCAGGGCCTGTTGTGGGGTGGGGGGAGGTGGGGGGATAGCATTAGGAGATATACCTAATGTAAATGATGAGTTAATGGGTGCAGCACACCAACATGGCACATGTATACATAAGTAACAAACCTGCACATTGTGCACATGTACCCTAGAACTTAAAGTATAATAAAAAAATATATATATATAAGAAAGTTCTAAATAACCCAACCCTCAATTTGCATTAACCTGCCCTTTAATATGCATGTAATTAATAGTAGGCATAAGTGACTATATTATGTTGTAGCTACATATGTTGTTGTCAGCTCATATGTTATAGTCAGCTCATATGTTACAGTATGTTATAATAATATGTTGTAATCAGCCTGTGTGTTGTAATATGTTGTAAAACCATGTTGTAGTCAGCCCATATGTTGTAGACTCTGGGTGCCCTGCCTATGAGTTAGCTCTCCTTAGGAAGGAGCAGTACTGTTCAATAAATATTGCTATCTAACATCACCAGCTCACCCTTGAATTTTTTCCTGGGTGAAGCCGTTACCAGGAATTGCCAGAATCATCAGTGTTGTCTAACTTGGAAGAAAGAATTCATCCAAGAGAGGCATAACAAGGGTTAAGTAGAAGAGTTTATTGAAGGAAGATAAAGTACATTTCTAGAGAGGTGTGACAAACAGCTCTGGGCTGGTCTGTCTAGAAAACAGCTGTAGGATGGTCCAGCTGGAAAAATAGTAGTAGCAGTGTTTATTTAAATGGACAGGAGAATCTGAAAGATGAGGCAGAGTGGGCTGCTCAAAAGAATAAGCCAGCAGCAGCTAGTGCTGGGGACTCTATGAGAAGGGGGAGTTACTTGAAAGCATGTTTTTGGGAGGTCTTTAGGGGTGCTCAGGCTCTGTGCTCAGGTTCTACATGCTAGTACACACAATGCATGTCTTATTAGCATCTTAAATCTCTACCAAAGGGTGAGCTTTTGGAGAAGTGCACATGCTTGTTAGTGGGGAAAATCCCTACCATGGTTATCTCTGGATAGGGCCTGATAAGTCCCCTTCAGGACAAGAGGAGCCTAACCACAAGGCCATATGTAGCCAATGCAGGCATTGTCCTTTTTGGTGATTTTCAGTGGTCAGTGCTGAATATCAGTGGGCAGCATCTCCTGGACTTCTTTTCCCAGGGAGCTCCCTTGCCTGCTTATTTCTGGCTATCTGCCTGCTCTAACAAAGCCGAAAACCTTCCTAGATAACCCCTAATTGTGGGGTTCGCCTTTCCTGCATCATAATCTCCATGGTTTCTCTGGTGAAGGTAAATAGATATAGAGTGGGGAAGGCAAAGAAGAGAACTGATATAATAACAACTTCAGTCAGGTGTAAAATTACTATTAAATAAGGGCTAATTATAGTTGCTCTATAGTAAAAGGAGATAGATTATATGTAAAAGAATAGATTTCAACACAAGCATACACACACACAAACGAGAGAGACAGACAGATACACTGTACTTTATTTCAACAATAACTTCAACCTTTAGTAATTTTATCGTGTTGAAATTCAATTGTATGATTAAAAGCCCTCATTTATTAATTCCAGGTGACCCTTCATTTAAATGCAGAAGATAGAGGAGAATATTCTCAAAATAATTTCTTCCTTTTTTTTCCTAATTTGACTCAAATATTTTGCATGGCAAAAGTTCCCAAAGCCATTATTGCAATTTCAAATTATCCTTAGTTTTTATATGAAGGAAGGAGGTATATGGCCTGAAATGCTAAATGAACTGACAATAACCCATAAAAGCTTTATCAGTTTGTAAGGGCAATGCCTGTGCAACTTCTTATCTCTAGAACCTGGTCAAAAACTATTGGTCATCAACTGGGGGATCAAAAAATGTCATGGCTCCAAGTAGATGATAAATTTTTTAAAGCACTTTTCAGGAAAACCAGGAAACTACTAGGGGAAGGCATATGACTTTGAAAAGATGACCCGAGGAAAGGTTGATTCTAAAATTATTACTCTTACAAAATTACCCATACCCATTCTTTGAGACCAGTATAAGGACGGACTTATTAGGGCTATATGGTCTCCCTATAGACACTCAATCTCCCACAACACAAAATGACAAGGATGACAAATAATAATACTACTGTTAGTAACAAGATAGATTTTGTTTAAGGATAAGAGTTTTCAAATCAGATCACTAAGGTTTTCTAAAAGGGTTGATCATTTCATGGTACAAAATAGACATGCAAATGGAAGCTCCGTGTGAAGAAATCAGAGTGTAAATCCTTTCCAGGATATATCCAGTGTTGTGGTCAGAAAGACTCATGAGCAAGAGGCTCAAGGAGGCTCAGAAGAGCGCACAGTTCCACTTAACGGGTTTTGATCAATGAGGCTTATTGATTAAATTTCGATAGGACATGCATGATATTGCAATACCAGGAAAATGTGTTATTTTGATGAATCACTATTATTTTTGAAAATTCTGCAGTTTGGGGCCAGATTTTAAAAACGTTAAAATAATTATTTTTCTTAGAATTATGACAATGGCTATAAAAGGGGCCAATTTTTACTGAAACCTATAAAAATCTAAGCAAACGTGACAAATGGATGTCCTCCCCCAAGCACAAAACAGAGTTGTATTTTTTGTTTATTTTTCATCATATATTTTAAAAATAAAAGCCAATATTAAAGTTAATAATCACTACATTAACTAAGAAAATATTTCAAGACATAAAACTAGCACAAAGCCGCTGGATTAGGGTTTTGCTTATGGATAGAGGTGTCTACTGATCAAACATTCCCATGGACACTGAATGGTAGAAGGCATACTGGGAAACCCACAAGAGGAAATAGCATAAAGGCTGTCAAGCTTTTAATTTGTTCACAGTATAAGGTTAACATTTTACTTCTATTTAAGAATATTCAGAATTGAAATTCTTATGTGTGAATAATGTGCACCCACAGGAAAAAAAAACCAGTTTCTTTCTAGCATCTAATTTATGTTTGAATCACTTTGCAAAACATCTAAAATTGCAGCATTTGATATTTCTATGGAATACTCTTAAATTGAAGCTCCTGAAAGAAACGATTTTTAATGTTTCAATATGCAGCTTGGAGCTATCCAAGGAAAATTTAGTCTATCATTTGCTAGATGTTTTTCTAAGTTTCTGAATAGCTGAGCCATTTACATTATTTATATTATTCTTGTGGCCCCTTAAATAGTTATGTCAGAAATGCACGGATACCTAGTGTCAAGTTCTAAGGAAATGAAATACAGAAACCCCTAAATTAGTAGAATAGTGAAAAGCATACAGAAAGGCTTCTGGCTCTTTTTATACTTCTAAAAAGCCAACTTCAAGTGACAATGGCTCCGCGTTAATTTATCGTAAGCATTTACTTTCTCTCTTCAGAAAGTAGCTGTTGAACTCAGACAGCAGACTTATCTTCAACTTTGGAACTATAATTGTCCACAGCTATGATGAGAAGCGTGAATTTCTTCCCTGACCACATATGGTATTACTTATAGATTGATAAATAAATGAAAATATTTTGCTTTGTGATATAAATGATTATGTATATAAACCAGATGAAATATATAATGCTAGGTAGGTAATTACTCTCTTTCAAGGCTTCTACAAAAGAATTGAAGTGTGTAATAAGTAGAAGATGAACCTAATTGTTCAGATAGAAGCAGAGTAGAAAAGAGACATATTGTGTACTCCAGCATGGTGACAGAGCAGGACTCTCATCTCAAAAAAATAAAATAAAATAAAAATAAATAAATAAATAAAAAGAGTACACGGCCAAAAAGATATAAGGAAAAAAGTATATATTCTACTGCATGAATATATCTCAGTTTATTCATCAATTTTCCAATCATTGTTTGGTTTGTTTCCAGATTTCTGCTACTAAAACAAAACAATGCTCCTATAAGCATAATCAAACATCTTCCCCAGTAAAAATGTGAAACAGTTTCTCAATGTGAAGTGTATTCTTGGAAATAGAATTGATGTGTTATAGATATGTCAATTCTCTACTTCCGAAAGGAGTTTCAGACATATAATTAAATAATTCCATTTTTTATGATGAGTTCTATTTAATTTTAAAGAGATTATTTTCTATTCTAAATACTTAGATTTTTCTTCATATATTCTTCTAAAATTTTTAAAGGTGTCTCTTCAAGTGGTTCTCAGTACAACACTATATAGAAACCAATTCTACTGGGTTTGTTCATATGAATAAAACATTTTTTCAATATCATTTGTTCAATAGTCTATCATTTTCTGAGAAATATTCAAAGCCTCCTGTTATATGAGCTCTAAGTATTTGCTGTTGTGTTTTAGAAATCTTAATTCTACTTAATTGAACAATATAATTTGCACCAATATATATCCTTAATTATGTAAAAATTTTTAATAAAATATATTGTATGTGAATAATCCCATCTTTATATTTTTGTGTTGAGGTGTCTTTACTATTTTTAGACACTTATTTTCCACATAATAATTAGAATTTGTTTATAACACTTTTTCATCAAAACTATGTGGAATTTGTATTGTTATTGTATTAAAGTTGACTCTTTAAGGGAAAACTTTTTTTCCATAAGCATTTTATGTTTCCATAACTATTTACATCTTCTCTAATAACTTATGAGAAAATATAGTTTGACATATATTTGTACTTATTTTATTACATTTTTTCTAGGTCCATGATGTATTTTTGTTCTTCTCATAAATGACATAGTGTTGATTTTTAGTTATGTTTGGTGTTTGGTTTTTTTTGTTTTTTTTTTTTGAGAGAGAGAGAGTTGTCCTGCTGTCACCAAGGTTGGAGTGCAGTGGTGCGATCTTGGCTCATTGTAACCTCTGCCTCCTGAATTCAAGCGATTCTCTGGCCTCAGCTTCCTGAATAGCTGGGATTACAGGCACACACCATGCCCAGCTAATTTTTGTATTTTTAATGGAGACGGGTTTCACCATGTTGGTTAGGCTGGTCTCGAACTTCTGACTTCAAGTGATCTGCCCACCTCGGCCTCCCAAAGTGCTGGGATTACAGGCATGAGCCACTGTGCCTGGCCTATGTTTGATTCTCATAATTTTTATATTTGCATAGTACATATACATATGGGATTGCTTTTTAGTGTACTTTAGAATTGAATGCATTCTGAAGTTTATTATTTCTTGATTTTTTCTCTATGGATTCTTCAGGTTTTTTTTTTTCTATATGGACAATTATATTGCCTGTTAATTATTAAAGGTGGTTTTTTTTCTCTCCAAGCAGTGAGAGTGAATAACATTATTCTTGATTTTTAAAGAAAATATTTTTAATGTCATTAGATTTACATATCTTGTTAAAATAATTTTCCCCAACTGATTAGTTTAACTTCTAATCCATTTACTTTCTTTTCTTTTTATAAAAATCATGTGTTGCCCTTAAATTTTATGTCATCTTTTTCTGCATCTATACTTAGTTACATTCTATGGAAAACTCAACTTCACCATGATATGTCGTATTCCTCAATCCATCTTTGTCTAACTAACTGCTCATCACCATCAAGCTCTCATCTATATATCTCTAGGCATAGAAAAGTATGTATGTGGTGTGCTAATATTTGTTTTAATATTTTTGCACCAATTATATTGAATGAGATGAACTGGGGATTCTTCCTTGCTGTACTATCCTTACTGGTATTGGTATCAAGTTCTGCTGGCCTTAGAGAAAGTGTTGGGAAAACTGTTGTCCTTTAAAGTAATTCCCTGGAAGAGATTTATACCACTTGATCTTTGAAAATTTGGTAAATATGACCTAAGTACATCTGGCACTAATATTTTGTGAAGATATTTTTTAAACTATGATTTGACACCTTAAATAATTTCTATAACTTTCTATATCAATTTTACTAGGTTATATTTTTCTGGGAATGTGTTTTGCCTAATTTTGGTTTTTATCCTAAGCTTGTTTTATATTTTCTGAGCCATTTTTAGTTTCTTCAAGATCTCTCTCATTTGTCAATCTCATTTATTTATATAATTTATATTTTATTATTGATGTGTCTTGCCAGATGATTGACTATTTTATTAGTTTTTATGTAGAAACATTTTTTGCTTATTGTGTTTTTTTCTATTATGTGTGATTTTCTACTTTAGTAATTATTTCTGTGATTCTTTTTACATCTTTCTATTTTCTTTGTATTTAAACTCTTGCACTATTTTACAAATTATAAAGATAAATGCAGAGCAAATTAATGTTCAGATATGCTGCTATGTATGAATACATAATTATGGGATTTATATATAGTAGCATAAATATTGATAAATAGCAATTCTAATATCATTGGTGCTAAGTAGTATTTTAAACTTTATATTATGATGCTTTAATTGATTCGTTAGTTATTTAGATGCATTTTCCATCCCAAAATATATGGATAAAATTATAACCATTTTCATTTCAACTTCTTATACCAACTGATTATTTCCTAAAATTATGTGTACAATAGAATTGTTGATATTAGCAGAGATTGCTTGATGACCTTTAAGAAATGAATTTTTGAAATGTAATTTGCATATAAGAAGTCATAATTTAAATTGTGAAATGCAGCACTGATTATTGTATCCTTACAGTTGTACAACCAGCAACACTATCTGATTCCAGAACATATTCTACCTCAATGAGAAGCCCTATATTCATCAGTAGTAATTCCTCATTCCTCCCTACCCACCCTCACTGGCAACTAGTAGTCTATTTTCTCTTTCTATGAATTGTGTATTGGGACATTTCATATAAATTCATCCGATATATGACCTTTTCTGTCTGGCTTCTTTAACTTTCATGATAACTATATTTCCAACTTTTTGTATAACTTCCAGGCTCTTTTCCGACGTGATGATGACATTTTATGTTTCCTCCAGCAATGTACAAGGGTATCAATTTTGCCACATCCTCACCAAAACTAGTGAATATGCCTGTATGATTACAGCCATGAGAGCATGTATGATGTGGCATCTTATTTTGATTTTGATTTTCATTTCTCTAATGACTAATGACATTAGGATGGTTAGTGGGTACCAAAAAATAGTAAGAATGAATCAAACATTGAGCATCTTTTAAAATGCTTATTGGTCATTTACATATTTTCTAAAGTTAAATATCTATCCAAATTATTTCTCTATTTCTTCATTGGGTCACTGTGTTTTTATTGTTGAGTTGCAGTATCTTTTCAATATTCTAGATGCTAGACTTTATATTTATTTGTATATAAATATTTATGTTATTATAATATAAGATATAAATATATACTTGTAGGATATATATATATATATACACACACACACATATATATATATGATTTGTTAATATTTGTTCATGGCCTGTGGGTTGTCTTTTTACTTTGTTGATACTATCTGTTGAATCACATAGATATTTAATTTAAATGAAGTCTCAGTTATCTCAGTTATTTTATTTTGTTGCTTGTGTTTTTGCTACCATGTCTAAGAAAACATTGTCTTATCTAAGGATCTTGGAAGCTTTGTTCATTTATCTTCATTCCTTTTCTTTCTGTTCCACAGACTGGATAATCTCAATTGATCTATCTTCAAATTTGCTGATTCATTTTGGTGACAGTTCAAATATGTTTTGGAGCCTTGTGCTGGTGAATTTTATGTATCACGTTGATCGGGCCATGGAATGCCTAGATATTCATTTAAGCATTACTTTGGGGTGTGTCAGTGAGGATGTTTCAAGAGTAGATTAGCATTCGTTGACCGAATAAAGAATACGGCCCTTCCCAAAGTGTGTGAGCATCTTAAAATCTTTGAGAACCCGAATAGAATAAAAAGGCAGAGGGAGCTTGGATTCCCTTTCTGCAACTAGGAAAGGTGGGACATCAATCTTTTTCTGTCCTTACAGCTTCTAGCACGCAGGCCTTCAGATATAGATTGAAATCTATACCATTGGCTCTCTAGCTCTCAGAGCTTTGAACTAAAATTCTGGCTTCTCTGGGCCTTCAGCTTGCAAATGTGAGATCGTGGGACTCCTCGGCTTTCATAATCACAGGAGCCAGTATCTTTTCTCTCTCTCTCTCTTTCTCTCTGTCTCTCTGTGTGTGTGTGCGTATGTCTCCCTACACATACACTTGCAACCACACACAGACTCGCACCCACACACACGCACACACACACACACACACAATCTATTTACTACTGGCCTGTTTCTCTAAAGAATCCTAAAACAAGTCCCTCCGGTAGATGTTTTTTGTTAGATTGATAGTCTTTCTTTGGTGAGACACTATTTTCATACTTTATTTGGACATGGTTTCGTTTGGTTATTTGAATATATTTAATTTATCTGTCTTGAAGAATTTGTCAATAACTGCAATGTCTGGGATAATTTAGGAACAATTGCGTTGGCTATTTTTTTACCCAAGTGCCTTGGCCACAATTGCTTGGTATAAGGTTTTATTCATTTTCAATAATTCTCTCTCTTAAATTTGTTTTACATTTACTGTATTTTTACTATATATTTTCTTTGCATTAATTATGTGTATGGAGAGATATTTTTCGATATCTCCCATCAACAAATTACCAAGGTGGTAAATTTTCCTATTTTTCCCATGTGTCTTCTAAGTTTTGTTTTACATATGTTTGGGCATAAAATCCTTTTCAGTTATTTAAAATCTGTACCATGTAGAAACTTATTCTCTCCCTGATAATTTATGTCTCAAAAGACTATTTTGGTTTATACGAGCCTACCTACTCTCTATTTACGTTTGTTAATATGTTTCAGTATATGCTTTAACTGGTCATTTACTTGAAACCTTTGCTTCTGTTTTAGAAGTATCATTCATAAACGAATTCTCAATTCCATTTTTTAATTTAACCTGACAATTACTATATTTAAAAATGAATTTAATGCTTTTATTTATTATTTGCTTACACCATATTTTTATTTTTCAAGAATGCTATTTTGTGTTTCTACTTATTCCGTATTTATATACTACTATATTTCTTTTACTTTGAAAATTAATTCTTTTTTTTATTTATTTAGTACACTATATTATTTTATCTACTAGTATAAAATGTTTATACTTTTTCTCTTATCTTCAGAGATTATTCTTTTTACCTAGATCAATAAAATTAATGGCTAAATATAATATCTTGCTTCTCATGATGAATATTCTAAAAAGCTTAGGAGAAAAATAATTCAAAATATTACTCCTTCCACATGCAATGCTATTTGTATCCAGAATAGCATGCTTTAATTTTTCTACTTCCCCATTAAGCAAAATTATCATTGTTGTTATTCTTTTTTTTGTACAATATCTCCTACATATTTCACAAATAAATTTCTCTTTGTTTTTGCTTAAGTGTTTTTCTTGAATTTCACTTGCCTTATTATTCTCCCTTCCTTTTTTAAATTTCAGATAATTCACCTTCTTAAATACCTCTTTTGAAGTCAGGAATTTTGTGATTATGTTTTTTAAAATTATTCTACTTTTTGGATAAAATATGCTATATATACAATCAATTCATGAAGCATTTTTTTTACTAATATTTAAATTATAATTATTGAAAAGCCATTCTATATTTACAATCTACCAGGCATTTTTATAAAGCTGGTAAACTATAATTGATGTTCTGTGCCTACATGATCACTAACCTTTTTTTTTTTTTTTGTAAGACAAGGAATGAGAATATGGAGAAACAATTCAATCTCTAACTTAAGTCTGAGTTATTATTACCCTCATTATACTGTTAAGAAAATGGATGCATACAAAATTTAACAAACTTCTTCATAGTCACAGATATAGTAAATGACAGACATGAAATTTATCTGTGGTGTATCAACTATAGAGTCTGCTTTGTTAAGATCTCTTATTGCTTTTGTTGAGACATCAGCATCAGTTTCATATTTTCTTCTTTGGGGTAGGGATATTTTAAATACATTCTCTTCTGATCTGGTATTCTTCCCCTTTAGTAAAACCTGTTTAGGTCTTAATTTATCCTACATGGTATATATTGTACTTCTTATATCAATAAGTTTATTACTTTCTTCAGTTTTTAAAAATTCAGTTATCTCTTCATATATTACCTCTCATTCATTTCCATTTTATTCTTTAGATATTTTGATTAAATAAATATATAAGAATTTTTCAACATATTTTGACTTCACTTTTATAAAATCCAACTGCTTCTATTTTTGAGGCATTCTTGGTAGTTACTTTTGACCCAGTTCCCAATACACTAATTCTCTGTTCAACTCCGTCTAGTTTATTGTTCAACTCATCCACTGCATTCTGTTGGTTTTTATATTTTAACAAATATATTTTCTTTCAAAACTGTGTTTTCTCGAAATAACTAATCATATATATAGTTTCTTGTGACATGCTCATTCAATGATTCTTTTATTCTTCAAGTATATCATACATAAATATTTTATATTCTCTTTCTGATAACTATTTTAGGCCCAGGTCTTGTATGTGCTCATTAAAACATTCATTCAATATCTATTATTGCCATGTCACCAAATAGTTTCTTTTCTTTTTTATAAAAGTAAGAACAAAAATATTTGGAGCTATCTTAACTTAAAATGTTTTATAACTATAAATTTTCCATGAGAATGCTTTTGTGACTTTTACTAATTTTCTCAATTTAAAGATGAGTCCTATAGCCACCCTCATTGTAAAAGCATGCGTGCATGTGCAGTTCATAGAGTGAAATGTCTCATCAATAAACTTCACAGTTCAGTAGTTTAAAAGTTGAAATAGGTTACGCAGATTACAGAGATAATCTGTTTATTAAGTTGAATGTGTTATATGGATTAACTTAAGTTGGTAAGAACTTTTTAGAAACTCGGACAGGATATTGGGTAGCTAAGAAAATGTGTAAACGATCCCTCAGGCTTGGAGGTTCTCTCTCAGGCTTTAACTGCTTCACGTAGACCCCTGTAATCAGACTGTGAAAGTCAGAGCAACTGATTTATACGGCACATAACACTAAATCTTGTTTTAATCACATCTTATTACACCTGTTTATGAATCTCCTTAAAACTAAATAAATTATTTGCTTATGGTGATACATATGAGCAGTTTGATTATTGGCGTTTTGCAAGGGTTCCAAGTGAGTATGTAAAAATTTACAGAGCTCTCATATAAGCAGAGGGATTAACCATTGCATCTTTTACAATACTACTTACTGAATGTAGAAATAATCTATTTCAATAGAAATAATGTAATTTTTAGCTTTTGTTATTTCATGGCAAAACATCACATTTTAATTTAGAGTAATAAGCACATATACATATATTTATCAGCACTTCCAATAAGCAATGATAACTTCTTCCTCTTCATATGTTAATAGGAGATATTGAATGCCACTTTTTACATAAGATGAGTACATTTCTTGACTAATTCTTTTAGCCCTGCTGTCTGTATTGCATGGGAAATCAATAGGAATTTCATTTATATACTTCTTATAGGATAATATTATCTATTAGTGTCCTTTTTTCACTACAGGCTTATTTTCTTGATTTTGCAACTTAACCTCCAAATGCTTTCATATTATTATTAACTGATATTTATAAAAAAGAAAAAAATAGTATGTATTGTTACTGACACGCATTAATATGTCATCACTTCTATACTTTACAAGGTCTCTTTTTTTATATAAATGTTTGTTTCTGCTTTAGAAGAGAAATATTTTCTGGAGACATGTTATAACTGGCTGTGAAAAACAACCATCATTAAGGTTGACATTCTGCACCCTCACTGTTAAGTTATTTTGTTCTCTATACGAAAACAATCCAAATAAAAGTTCAAAGACTGTCAAAAATAAAATAACAGAATGACTAATATCACATTTGTGTAGAGTCAAGAAAACAATGGAATAATAAGGATGTATTGCCTATTTTTAATATTTATTATATAGGTAATTTTAACCAAATACTCAGTACTTTGAAGTTTACTCATCTAGGCACTTATGATTAATTATATAACATAATTTAATTTAACAAATGAACTTTTGTATCTAGAAATAAAATTGAGATATATTCTACAAAAATAAAAATTGCTCATTAATAAAGGGATTTATTAAACCTTATTAAATTCGACAGTTCTAGGAAATGTGAGGCATCCGTGTTTAAACACTTTGCTTTTAATACTTTATAGGACTGTGTTTTAGTCCTTTACATCAAGTGCACCACTATAAAGAAACGTTAAGAGTAACTAACATTTGTGCCCAAATCATGAAGTTCATAGAGAAAAAGTGTTTTATTCAGAAAATTGTATGTTAACACAGTCCTCGAAATAAAGATGTTGGGTTAGATCCAACAATTCTTTAAGGGTCCCTAAACATTGTATATTTAAAAAGTAAAGTCTAGGTTTATTTCTGTGCCAATATAGGGTTCTTACCTCTGTCACCTGCTCTGCTCCCCGCTCATCTTCTCATTGGAAAAACAGCAAAAAATCCTATTAAAACAACCACTAAACTAACTCACAGATTTCAACATAAATCTATATTTCAGCCATCAGAGTATTACATAAATAATCCAAATAAAGAGCATAAACTTGTAGTTTATTGCTGTTAAAAGTAGTAAATCTACTCTGTTATGCAGGCTCGCATGCTGAGCACAGCATTATTATTGTGGGGAAATGGCAATATAGATAATATTTAAAATGCAGCTTCTTTTTTTGCTAAGGCTTTGGTATATATACAGGAAGTATTTCAAGTGCATTAGAAGTATAAGTGAATACAAATAAATAGAAAATAGAAAATACAAATGAATGTGTAGAATTTAAAAAATGTTTCTACTCTAAGTCTCAGTTTCCTCCTCTATAAAGTGTAGAGATTTAACTATACATTCCCCAAAGATTCTCCTACCTATTAATTATTATGATATAGGTTACATTTGTGTGGGAGAAAGGTGGAAGGAGTCTTCCAGTCTTGCCATACACAAAGAATGGCTCTGTTTAAACTAGATGGATGCTTTCACTATCATTGCAACTTTTCAATGTAACAAAAGGAAGCTTGCCCAGGCTTGCATCTGTGTTAGTAATATATTTATTATTTAAAAAGTTCCCTCTTGACTGTAAAATTTATATAGTTATGGTTGAACCTGAAATATGAACTTCGGGGGATATGATATATAGAATAAATGTCCCTCTGTTTATTGTCAGATGTAAGAAAATGATACTGTGCTCAGAAAGCTGTGTTTAAATGATACATTCTACAAACATTTATTTTGCATCTTCTGGTTGTGACCCACACCATTCTTTGGGCTTAGGAGAAATACAAAATTAAAAAGTAAAAGAACTCAGAAAGGTGATGCAATGGATTGAATGTTCAGGACCTACTCACAAATTTTTATGTTGAAATCTTAACCCCTAAAAGTGATAGAATTAGGAGTAGGGAGCTTTTGGGACGTGATTGAATGGGATTTGTGCCTTTATAAAACAGACCCCGAAGAAATCCCTTTCCTCTACCATGTGATATTACAATAAGAAGACAACCAGAAATTGTGCCCTCATCAGATATCAATTCTGCTGGCACCTTGATATTCAACTTCCCTGCCTACAGCATTATGAGAAACAAATTTCTGTTTTTATAATCTACCCAGTTTATGGTATTTTGTTATAGCAGCCAGGGTTAAGACAAACTATATCCTTGTCACTTCTGAATTTAATATGTAACTAATTTAATTTATTCCTTTCTCTTTTCCCTCCTATCGATAGCGTTTATCTTTCTAAAACACAGGGAGAAAATACTCTTTTTCTTCTCAAACAACAGCAAAAATTCAAAGGCTAAACTCTTTGCACAAATTTAAATTTCTTTCTAACCTTGTTCCTATTTGTCCAACCTACAATAATCTATTTCCAACTCCCAATCCATTTTCCATTTTCAGCTTCCTGAAATCAACCTTCTTTTGAGTGTAGCTCAAATGAATCAATCTTAAAAATGCCCTAATTTCTGCAGTTGGAAATAATTGATCTTTCTTCTGCAGTGGTGTACCTATTTTCCAAATGATACTCATTTCAATTTCCCTTTCCTTATACCAATTAACTATTCCTGGAAACACAATAAGTATTCAATAAAGGATGTTCTATTCCATGACTTAATCATCAAACAAGTAGGCAGGAAAGTTTAGAGGAAATGAAAGTATATGAAGTAAAAGTTTCTAAATGTTAACCATATTTTAAAAAGTATCTGCTAAATTATAACTGTATTCTAACTCAAATTTAGGTTAAATATTTTTAAAAATGGCTGGGCGTGGTGGCTCACGCCTGTAATCCCAGAACTTTGGGAGGCCAAGGCAGGCAGATCATGAGGTCAGGAGACTAAGACCATCCTAGCTAACACACTGAAACCCCGTCTCTACTAAAAATACAAAAAATTAGCCAGGCATGGTGGCACACACCTGTAATCCCAGCTACTCGGGATGCTGAAGCAGAAAAACCGCGTGAACCCAGGAGGTGGAGCTTGCAGTGAGCCAAGATCACGCCCCTGCATTCCAGCTTGGGCGACAGAGTGAGACTCCACCTAAAAAAGTACAATAAAATAAATAAGTAAATAAATAACTTTATATTACTGCAAAAGCAATAATTCAGTCCAATTGAAGCAGACACAGCTTAAATAGGTTGCCTTATTATAGCTCTTATAAAATTTGTGAATCTTAAAGATGAGGAAAATAAAGACATTATGCAACAATTAAAAGCTTCCAAACATAAAGTCCATATTAATAATGCGAATACAATTTTACAAGCTGGTCACTGTCATATTGCTTATACCCTTAATCTACAACTTAGAAATATTTACTTGAGCCTACAAGTTACGATTAGAATGGTAGAGTATCAGTTTAGTAGGCTGGCTTGTCTGGATTTTTCTGAGAGAATTAAAATATAGCAAAAATATTTCTTTACTAGAGGAGAGCCAAAATTGATGAAGTTACTCAACTACAATGCTCTATTATTAAGGAAGAGATAATTAGTAGCATGACATCAGGACTCTTAATCAAATACATATTTGGCCTAAATTCCTACATGAATGTCTGAAATCTTGAGGGGAAAAACGATTGTAAGTAAATATTAAAATATATGTTTCCTAAACTCTAAAAATAATCAAGGCCTACTTGCAGGATTGAACAACAAAGTGAAGTGATGAATCCTCTTTCTGTAGACCCCTGTGCCATTGACAACACAAATGGTCAACGACTTAGCAGTGGGTTTCCCAGAAGAGCAGCAGGCACCAGGAAAAATGTTGATCCATGGGAAAATTTACTCTGGATAAGAAAATAGTGAGCTAGAATCTGTACGTGGTCTGATTTTAGAGTCAGGGAAGGATTTAATTCTCAGAAGAATGCAGATCTTCTGAGTTGGCGAAGACAAATGATAGGAGAAAAAATAAAAAAAAGAAAGGTTGATGATGTAAACTTTCCAATAGGGTTATTCAAGTGACTAATATTAACTTCCAATATTTCTTTTACATTAGAATTCAATAAGTGATTTAATGTATATGACAGCAGAATTTAACTTGAATTTATACACTATCCTTTTTTACAACAGATAAATGTTTCCAACTTACAAAATCTTACATAGAATATAATGAATGACCATGTTCTCATCTGTATAAAAAGCGAATCAAGATAAATTAAAATTCAGTGCTACAGACAGTGAAAGTCCAAATGCATTATCCACAGAGTAAAGTTCAAGGTGCAAGGCCAAGCACAATAGTGGTACCTGCACCTTCAATCATACCACACTTATTTTTAACACTATATTTTAATTTTGGCCATTTTTTCAAGAGTCCTAGCCAAAGCAATATTATATGAGATGTTAGACATATTTTCCCAAATGTAAGCAGCAAGTTCTGCTACTCTTTAGAGAACAAAGAAACAGCAAGAGTATGTTCACTCAAAAGCAATGTACTTCATTTAGGAAAACAGAGGCAGGGGAGATAATACTGTATGATTAAGAACTTAGCTGGGAAATAGCCTCTAAAGCTTTGGAATTTCCCCATATGAGTATCAATACTTATGGGGGGCCCATCAGAGCACATCTGAATTCATGCTAATGAGATGACTGGAGATGGGCCCCTAGATATTTTCAGGATGGGAACTGACCATGCTGGAGAGACCAATCATGTGATTAAAGGATTATGCCTTTGAATAACATTAGCCCAACATCCAGGGAAGAGAGAGGGACTGGAGATTGAGTTTAGCCATGTGGCAAATGATGAATCAAGCATGGGCAGATGATAAAACTCCAATAAAAACCCTACACACTTGAAGATCAGTGAGATTTCCTGTTTGGTAATCATACTGTGATGTGCTGAGTGGATGTCATGACCTAAGGACATGGTCCTTTGTGTTTGAAATCCTCTCAGACTTCACTTTATTTGTCTCAATTTGGCTGATCCTGGTTTGCATCCTTTATAATAAAACTATAATCACAAGGATGACACTTTCCTGAGTTATGTGAGTCATTCTAACAAATGACCAAATGGGGGAGGTATATTCTCCAAATTTCTATCCAGTTAGGATACAGGACCTTGGAACACTGTTGCTTATGGCTGCTGGCTGGAGTGAAAGCAATCTTTTGGAGACTGTGCCCTTAACTTGTGTGAAGTCTGTGCTAACTTTGGGTAGTTAGTGTCAAAACTGCATTGGTGGCAGCCAGTTTCTAAATGGTCACCAATGATCTCTGCTGACTGGTATTCATACTCTTGTGTAGTTCCCTCTGACATCACACTTCACTCTTTGTGATGGGCCAATGAAATATGATAGAAGTGATATACCATCAGTATATAAGATTACTGTATAATAAGAATGCAAGCTGCTGTCTTGCATTCTTGCTCTTCCTGTCTTTTTTTCCACTAAAATTGCATTTATTTTCTTGTCATAGTAAAAAAAGGAAAAACAGTAGCAAATATTGGGCTTTCTTTTTCCCCCTCAACAGCACGCCTTCCGCAAAGAGCACAGGTGGCGTGCTGCCTTTCCCTCTCTGTCTTTCTCTCTCTTATCGTTGCCATGCCATAGAAGCCAGCTGCCATATTGTGATTATCCCTATAAAGAGTTGCATGTGAAGAACTAAAGCTCTTTTCCAATAGCCATTTGAGCGAACATGGAAAATGGATTCTACGGTCCAGTCAAGCATTCAGGTGATCACAGTCCAGCTGACTTATTGAATGAAACCTGAGGCCTGGTGAGGTGGGTCAAACCTATAATCTCAGCACTTTGGGAGGCTGAGAGGCAGATTGCTTGAGCCCAGCCAGGCGTTCAAGACCAGCTTGGGCTACATAGTGAAACCCCATTCTACGAAAAAAAAAAAAAAAAATTAGCAGGGCATGGTGGCACGCACTTATAGTTCCAGCTACTGAAAAGGCTGTTGTGGGAGGATCACTTAAGCCTGTGAGGCAGAGGTTGCAGTGAGCCAAGATCACACTACTGCATTCCAGCCTGGGCAACAGTGTGAGACCCTGTCTCAGAACAAAACAACAACAAAAAAAAGTAACTTCATTAGAATCACTGAGGCAACATAATTTGGATAAGTTGGTCTTGGATTCCTTCTATAAGGAAACCATGCGAGGCAATACATGTTTGTTGTTTAAAACTTCTAAGGTTAGGAGTCATTTATTATGCAGCAAGAGATAATTGAGATAAAGAGCAACTTATCCCCCCCTTTTTTTTTTCTTTCAGGTATACTAATTGGTAGTGTTTCCTGAACTTGCCTGAGGAGTAATACATAAAGGATAGAGGATAGGTTTGGACCCTTATGGCATGTGGAACTCTTTCAGCAAGAAAGGAATTAGTAGTAGAGTAAAAAAGAAAATGGTCCTTTGCCCACACCAAATTGATGGTATTATCATACCTCAGAATGCACTTATACAGTATAATATTATGTTGTGGAAAATAATATTGCAGTTTTCCTGAAGAAATTAATGGACATTATCATGTTTATTTTCATTTTAAAATAAAAAATTAAAATGAGATGCCAAGAAAATTACATGGTAGCCAACAATCCTAACAATTAAAATGAAGTATTGTAATATATATTCAAATTAATCTTCAAATTAATCTTATATAGTTAATGTTTGGGCTTTATCCAGCCTTTAAAATATCTCTGGTGAATTTTTATCAGGAGAATATTTAAAAGACAGCAAGATTCACTAGGTCTACTTGTCTAAATCTATACTGGTGAATTCTTATTTTTTTCAAAGGAACCAATGAGGTTATCACTTTTACTTTGTTAGTCTATAAAGTTAAAACATCAATTGTTTTGTATACTGGCAAAATTTTTATTTATATATCTATTATATAATTTGGAATCATTGGCTTGATTTGGGTTTCTGTGAAGAGATCTGTATTTCATTTGGTTATGCTTCATAAAGACTTATATTCAGATTTAAAATGATTGATTGTAAATGCCATTCTATGTTAAGAACATTTAAAACTTACTAACCTGCTTTAAAAATTTTTGAAGCAGTAAATTTTTTTATATAAATACTATCTGTGAGAATAAAATTTTAAAAACATAATTAAATGAGGTCCTAAATTAGAAATATTGAATGTACAATCAAACTATAGTATTTTGTTTTGCTATGTTATGCTTTTCTTCTTGTTCTCTTTTCCAGTGATACTGTGGCACATTCTGAAGGTCTTTGTTAGCTTCAAAAACCTGAACGTTAATGTGTATGTCATATAAATTAAGCCAAATGTTATCATTTATTTATTGGATTTTTTTTTGACAAATTTTGAAATAGCATTTACTCAAAGGGCCTGGATTGATTGCAGCAAATTTCAACGCAATTAAGCAAGGAGTTGGTAATCAGGCCATTGCCTTACCTGTCCTACTGTATACAATTATGAAAGAAAGCATATTAGCTATTATTTTTCTGAAGGGGAATACCATAATCCTCCCATTTATACCATGAATTATCCTTTTTAGGAGGAAGACTTTTCCAAATATATAGATGCAAATAATTGACATTTCTCTAGTTATTTGTGAATAATAATTTTGTATCCAACAGCAGCATAATCTTCTAAGAGGGAAGTGTGTATATATATATATATATATATATATATATATATATATATACACACATATATATGGGATTAATTTACAAAGTCTTAGTTTAGAATTGCATAAACACAGTTATCTACAAAAATTTAAATCATTCTAAATGCATTTACTAATTTCTTCATGGCAGGCTATGTTATGTGAAGCACAAAGGTGCATTAGAAATTGGTATTGCAAAATAAAATATCAGAGTAAACAGACATCCTACAGAACAGAAAAAAAAAATTTGTGAAATACGCATCCATAAAAGATCTAATATCTAGAATCTATAAGGAACTTAAACAAATTTATAAGCAAAAACCAAATGAACCCATTAAAAAGTAGACAAGAGACATTAAAAAACACTTTTCAAAAGAAGACACACACCTGGCCATTGCGCATATGAAAAAGTGTTCAACACTACTAATAATTAGAGAAATGTAAATCAAAACAAGAATGATATACCTTCTCGTACCAGTCAAAATGGCTATTGTGAAGAAGTCAAAAAATAACAGATGCTGGCAACGTTGTGGAGGAATGGGAATGCTTATACACTGCTGGTGGGAATGTAAATTAGTTCAGCCACTATGGACAGCAGTTTAGCAATTTCTGAAAGAACTTAAAATATAATTATCATGTGGCCCAGCAATCCCACTATTCGGTATATACCTAAAGGAATATTAATGATTCTACCATAAAGACACATGCACACCTATGTTCACTGTAGAACTATTCACAATAGCAAAGATACGGAATTAACCTAAATGCCCATTAGTGGTAGGCTGGATAAAGAAAATCTGATACACATACACCATGGTATACTACACAGCCATAGAAAAATAAGATTATGTCTTTTGCAGCACCATGGATGGAGATGGATGTTATTATCCTAAGAGAACTAATACAGCAACAGAAAACCAAATATCACATTTTTCACTTATCAGCGGGAACTAAACATAGAGTACATGGACACAAAGAAGGGAACAACAGATTCCGGGGCTTACATGAGGGTGGAGGTGAGAAACGGGTGAGGATCAAAAGAAACCTATCAGGTACTATGCTTATTACCTGGGTGACAAAGTAATCGGTACAACAAACCCCGGTAACACAAAATTTGCCTATATAAGAAACCAGCACATTACCCCTGAACCAGAAATAAAAGTTAAAATATAAATAAATAAATAGTAAGTGAAGATGACAAAAAAATACAAGCCATACACAAGGATAAAATATTTACAAACCACATATTTGATAAAGGATTAATATCTGAAATAAATAGAAACTCTCAAAATCTAACAGTGAAACAAACAAACAATCCAATGAGGAACTGGCAGAATACATGAAAAGAAATTTCACTGAAGAGGAAATAGATGGCAAATAAATACATGAAAATATGTTCAACATCATTTGCTTTTAGGAAAATGGAAATTAAAGCCACAATGGTACGTCATTACATACCTATCAGAATGGCTAAAATTTAAAAATAATGATGTTACCCAATGCAGGCACGGATGTTGATGTTAAAAATGGGATCACTAATACATTGCTAGTGAGAATGTAAAATGATACAGCCACTGTAAAAACCAGTTTTTCTGTTCATTAATAAAATTGAACATGCAACTAACACATTTCCTATCAACTGCATTCCTGCTATTTATTCCTAAGTGAAAACATATGTTGACCCCAAAACCTATGCAAAAATGTTTATAACAACTTTATTTGTAATGACCAAACCTGGATTCAGCCTAGATGTCCTTTAACAGATGAATGGTTAAACAAACTGTGGTATATCCATACCATATTACTCAAAAACAAAGACAGAGATAAAACTATTCATATAAGCAACAATGTGGATGAATCTGTAGAGTATATTCTGAGTACCAAATGCAAAACGGCCATAGTTTTATGCTATTTAATTATATTCATATATCATTTTTGAAATGACAAAATTATAGAAACCAAGGACAAATTAGCTGTCATCAGGGCCAAGGAGGTTATGACAGTATTGGATGTGGCTATAAAAGGGCAACAAAAGTATTCTTCTGATTGTGGAAATACACTGTATCTTGACTCTATCAATTTTAATAAGGAACTGGGGTGATATTGCACTACAGTTTTGTAAGATAATATCATTAAGAAAACTGGACAACGTATACACAGAATTTATCTGTATTATTTCTTACAATTGCATGTGAATCTATGAGTATCTCAAAATAAAAAAGCCTATTACAGGCCGGGCGCGGTGGCTCACGCCTGTAATCCCAGAACTTTGGGATGCCGAGGCGGGCGGATCACGAGGTCAGGAGATCGAGACCATCCTGGCTAACACGGTGAAACCCTGTCTCTACTAAAAATACAAAAAATTAGCCGGGCTTGGTGGCGGGCGCCTGTAGTCCCAGCTAGTCGGGAGGCTGAGGCAGGAGAATGGCGTGAACCCGGGAGGCAGAGCTTGCAGTGAGCTGAGATCGTGCCACTGCACTCCAGCCTTGGCAACAGAGTGAGACTCCGTCTCAAAAAAAAAAAAAAAAAAAAAAAAGCATATTACAACCAGAAAATATATATGGCCAAGGATTATTCCCTCAGTTAACTAACTTCTTATCATATTCTATATCTAAAATAACTATAAGTAATCCAGGCTATATCCTATTATATTTTTGCTGATTCTTCTTTTCCTGTAACTCTTTTTGCCATTAACTAACTGCCCACTCCCCAAGGAAAAAAAAAAAAAAAAAACTTATTTCATTGAGATTTTACATATTTACATTGTATTTCTAACATTAACAATGTAATACACAAATTAATGTACTCACATAAGGGATTTAGTTTTAAACACTCTTGGGTAGGAATATGAGTTGCTGAAGTCACAAATAATATCTCTGAAAATTACATTAAATTGCCTTACATGACAACAACAACAATAAATCTGGGCCTTTTGAAATTAAAAACCAAAATATAAAATCTGGAAAATGTCTTGTTGTGGTTTTATTGCATTTCCACTGTGGTTGGTCTCTGTTTCTCTTGGGGTGCGAGATCAAATACTCTTTTGAAGTACGTGTGGGAGCAAGCAACCATATAAAAGGAATACACCACTGCTTCTCTCTCACACTATTTACATATGCTTGCTTTAAACTTTATATTATACAGCCCTGTATAATTTATCTTTACTACATGACTATTGAAATAATAAGTAATTTAATATATATTAAATGAATGAATTAATTAATTTTAATGACATATTACCACAAAGATCTTAGAATACTACTTACCAATAAGATTCAGTGTATCTTTTAATAAATGCTAATGACATTATTAAAATACAATTTTACTTTGATGCAATTTTATTCTAAATGTAATTTATGTCTTTGCAACTATTCTCATTTATATGGCCTCAGAAAGATAATGAATGTTTTTCTCTTTTTATATGTGCAACTATTTTTTGTGGACACTTTCCTTCACCTCATTTCCAAAATATTTTAAAGGATTAGCTAACATATAATATTTTCTTGGGAAGTAATCCCCTTTTTTTGACAACTCTTCACTAAGTGTTACCTATATAGTAGCAGTAGTGATGTAGATATCTCTGACCCTTCTATGGAAGGAAAGTGAAAAAAAGATTGAGATGGAACAATGTTACAAAACCCTTTCAAGATTTTATGGTACAATAGTGAGAGAAAATGCTTAAAACAGTAGGAGTGTGCTCAAGTTAGAAAAAAAAAACGGACAGACTTTTTTATATATAAAAAAATTACATTGTCAGATGGAACTCATGCAAATTATGAATCTTACCAATTAGTACATTTTGGTGAATGGCAAAAGCAAGCACACTATGTTAGGAAAGTCTTCTTCCCTTAGAGATGCCTGAATTCATCCCTGTTATATCTGAAAGATGTTGTTCCCCTCCTCCCCAACACCAGGACTTCAGGTTTGAAATTTAACATGCAAATTGCTTTCTGAGTAATCATATGGATATTGCCCACAGAGAAAATCATTTTAGTTTTGAACTATCCCCACATTAACTGCACAGTTTATGTGACAATTTTCAGCCACACATTCCCTCATAAATTTATATATTCTGAGTTTATTTACAAATAAAAATCTAGAAAGAAGAATGTATCCCACAAGAAGCATTTTACAGTTAAGGATTCTCAGGTACCTTTCTGTTTAAAGACAGTATTCCTATGTTTATCAGGTGGTCACTCATTTTTATGTTTAAAAGAAGGTTTGATTGAGGTCATACATTTCTCTCCAGGGCATTATGGTTGAGAACGACTTGTTTACACATCTACTACTAACACTTTTCTTCCCAGATACACCCTGGGATATTGGGGAATTATAAGAACTTAATTGAAAAGTCTAGTGAACCAAGATGCTCATGAATATTTAACTATTTTGAAGGCAAAGATAGATATTCTCACATAAAAAAGATAGAGCAAGAAAAGTAAAATCATAAATCATTTCTAAAGTCTAAGACTTTCAGTGTTTTGTACATTACTTTTCTATTCGTCTCTCCTCTTTCTGTGCTCATAACCCAACACACACTATTTTTAATGTAAAGCTGGCTCCTTGGCATCCCTAGAACATCCAAGCAGTTATGAACATCCATGTATTTACCACCCATGTATTTGCATATGCTGTTTTTTCTGGTTTCTTTGTGCCTTCAAGAGATGTTAAAGTGTTCCTTCAAGGGAATAATAATAATAATAATAATAATAATTCCACAGTAACTGTCTCCTTAAATGAAGTTGCTTATTTTTTTCCCTTGGTAACACCATTGTTTCTGCACATATGTAAAATAATTTTTCTTTGTTCTATTGGTTTTACAAAACAAAATAAGAATTGTTTTTACAAACTTGTCTATCCTCCTGAAGCAAAGGACTATATTTTATACATATTTAAATACCCAGCCCATGACTTTGGAATTCATAAGTACTGTAAGAAATAAAATCAGATCAAGTTAGATAAAAAATGAAATTTATTTTGCACACAAAATAACAAGTTTCAAACCAGGAGATCCCCAACTAAAAGTAATAAGAAGATCTGCTCACAGCAGTCATAGCGCAGAAAATATAGCACAACTAAGGAAGATAAAGCATAAATAAGAAAGTATTTTGACTGACTTAATGTATAACAGTATTTGTTATTATACGTTAAATTACCTTTGAGGGAAGGAGAGTAGTTAAAGCTGGTTTGTCTATGGCTGATTGCTTTAATTTTACTGAATCATGATGACAAGAACATAAAACATGTGCTTTTTCATGATTGGAGCTACAACTTCAGGGAAATCAGGATAACAACTTTTGGCTACATGGCTATGAATAGTTGGCCTTGGGGAATCTAAAATATGACTTCCATTTTTACTGTTCTTTAAAAATATTTGATAATGTTTGCTAAATTTGAAAAAAAAAAGTCAAAAGGTACCCATCATTAGATGGTTTAAAATTCTTTTTAAAAATATTTTTTTCTGAATTTTTAATTTTGTGGGTATATATATATATATAGTCAGTGAGATCTGTGAGATATTTTGATACAGGGAAACAACATGAGCAGGGTAAATGGAGTATCAGTCACCTCAAGCATTTATTCTTTCTTTGTGTTACAAACAATCCAATTATACTCTTTTAGTTATTTTTAAATGTACAATATTTAAAAAGTACAATAAATGAGTCTAAATGTACAATAAATAATTTAAAATGTATAAGAAATTGTTATTGACGGTAGTCACCCTCTTGTGCTATCAAATACTATATCTGCTTCATTCTATCTAAACTTGTTTTTGTATCCATTAACCAACTCCCCATTCCCCCTCTCAGTACCCTTCCCAGACTCTGGTAACTATCTTTCTACTATCTATCTCCATTAGTTCAATTGTTTTGATCTTTAGCTCCCACAAGTAAGTTACAACATGTGAAATTTGTTTTCTGTACCTGGGCTTATTTCATTTAACATAGTGACCGCTAGTTCCATCCATACTGTTGTAAATGATGGGATTTAATTCTTTTTTACGGCTGAGTAACACTCCATTGCGTATATATACCACATTTTCTTTACCCATTTGTCTGTTGTCTGCTGATGGATACTCAGGTTGATTTCATATCTTGGCTATTGTGAATAGTGCTGCAATAAATATGAGAGTGCAGATATCTCTTTGATGTACTGATTTCTTTTCTTTGGGATACATAAGATTGCTGGATCACTTGGTAGCTCTATTTTTAGTTTTTATTTTTTTTAATTTTCAATTTTTGTGTGTATATATAGTGGGTGCATATATTTATGGAATATATGGTTTAGTTTAATATATGGTATAGTTTAATATAGCACATAATGTGAACTATTATACCTAGCGTGGGATTGCTGGATCATATGGTAGCTCTATTTTTAGTTTTTTGAGGAACCTCCAAACTGTTCCCCATAGTGGTTGCATGAATTTATATTCCCACCAACAGTGTATGAGAATTCTCTTTTCTCCACATCTTCAGCAGCATTTTATATTGCCTATTTTTGGATAAAAGCTGTTTTAATTGAAGTGAGAAGATATTTCATTATAGTTTTGATGAGCATTTATCTGATGATCAGCAATGTTGAACATCTTTTCACTTATCTGTTTTCCATTTGTATGTTTTATTTTGAGAAATGTCTATTCAGATCTTTTGCCCACTTTTTAATAAGATTATTAGTTTTTCCTATAGTTGTTTGAGCTTCTTATATATTCTGTTTTTTTTTCTTTTTTTTTTTTTCTAAATTGAGACAGAGTCTCACTCTTGTCTCCCAGGCTGGAGTCCAGTGGTGCTATCTCAACTCACTCACTGCAACCTCCGCCTCCTGGGTTCAAGGGATTCTCCTTCCTCAGCCTCCAGAGTAGTTGGGATTACAGGCAAGTGCTACCACACCCGGCTAAGTTTTCTGGTACTTTTAGTAGAGACAGGGTTTCACCATGTAGGCCAGGCTGGCCTCAAACTCCTGACCTCAGGTGATCCGCCCTCCTTAGCCTCCCAAAGTGCTGGGATTACAGGCATGAGCCATCGCGCCGGTTTTTTTTTTTTTTGTTGTTGTTGTTTTTTGTGTGTGTTTGTTTGTTTTTTGGGGGATGGATTTTCACTTTTGTCATCTAATCTGTAGTGCAATGGTGTGATCTTGGCTCACTGCAACCACCGTTTCCTGGGTTCAAACGATTCTCCTGCCTCAGTCTCCCAAGTAGCTGCCATTACAGGTGCCTGCCACCACACCCAGCTAATTTTATTATTTTTATTTTATTTTACTTTTCTGTATTTTTCATTAGAGACAGGGTTTCACCATGTTGATCAGGCTGGTCTCGAACTCCTCACCTCAGGTGATCCACCTGCCTTGCCCTCCCAATAAATTCTGGTTATTAATCCTTTGTCAGATGGGTAATTTGCAAATATTTTCTCCCACTCTGTGGGTTGTCTCTTTACTTTTTTATTATTTCCATTACTGGGAAGAAACATTTTAGCTCAATGTGATCCCATTTGTCCATGTTTGCTTTGGTTGTCTGTGCTTTGAGTTATTACTCAAGAAATTTTTGCCTAGACCAATGTTCAGGAGACGTTCCACCATGTTTTCTTTTAGTATCTTCATACATTTTCCACAAATTTAGGTCTTTAATCCATTTAGATTTGCTTTTCTTTATGGCAAGGGATAGGGGTCTAATTTCATTCTTCTGCATATAGATAGCCAGTTTTCCAGCACCATTTATTTAGGAGACCCTGCTTTCCCCAATGTATGTTCATGGCCCCTTTGCCAAAAATGTCTTACCTGTAAACAATGATGCAACAAACATAGAATTGCAAATATGTGGATTTATTTATGAGTTCTTTAATCTGTTCTATCAGACTATGTGTCTGTTTTGATGTTAGTATTGTGCTGTTTTGTTTACTATAGCTCTGTAATATAATTTGAAGTTAGGTGATGTGATTTCTTCAGTTTTGCTCTTTTTGCTCAGGATAATTGGGTCTTTTGTTGTTCTGTATAAATGTTATGATTTTTTTTTTCAGTTTTGGGGAAGAATGTCATTGATATTTTGATATTTGCATCCATAGATTGTTTTAGGTAGTACAGACATTTTAAACAGATTTATTCTTCCAATTCATGAACATGGAGCATCTTTTCATTTTTTATGTATGTCCTCTTTAATTACTTTCATCAATTTTTACAGTTTTCATTGCAGAGAACTTTCACTTCTTTTAAGTTTATTCCTAGGCATTTTATTTTATTTTTATTTACTATCATGGTATTACTTTCTTCATTTGTCTATCAGATTGTTTGTTGTTGGCATATAGAAGTGCTGCTGATTTTTATGTTAATTTTGTATCCTGCAACTTTACTGAATGTGTTCATCTGTTTTAATGATTTTTGATAGAATCTGTAGGTTTTTCTAGATATAAGATGATATCATCTATAAAAAGAAATAATTTTACTTATTCCAATCCAATTTGGATGCTCTTTCTTTCTTTTGTCTAATTACTCTAGCAAACAGTTCCAATACTATATTAAATAACAGTGGTGAAATGCATAGCCTTTTTCTGTTTCACATCTTAGAGGAAAGGCTCTAAGATAATTTTTTCCTCATTCAGTATGTTGATAGCTGTGGGTCTGTCCTATATGGCTTTTATTGCATTGAAGTATATTACTTCTATTCCCAGATTTTTTGAGATTTCTTTTATTATGAACTAATGTTTAATTTTATTGAGTGCATTTTCAGCATCAATTGAAATAATCATATGATTTTTGTCCTTCATTCTGTGGATATGATGTATCACATTGATCTGTGTATATTAAACCATCCTTGCATTCCTGGAATGAATCTCACTTGGTCATGATAAATGATTTTTTTAAATGTGTGATTGAATTTGATTAGTATTTTGTTGAGGATTTTTTGCATGTATGTTCATCAGAGATATTAGCCTGTAGTTTTCTTTTTTAGTTGTGTCTTTGTCTGGTTTTGGTATCAGTGTAATACTGGCCTTCCAAAATGAGTTTAGACATATTCTTACCTCTTCAATTTTCAGAATAGTTTGAGAAGAATAGCTATTAGTTCTTCTTTAAATATATGGAATAATTCAACAGTGAACCTGACAGCTCCTGGGTTTTTGTCTGATGGAAGACTTTTTGTCATGGTTTCAATCTTTTTACTTGTTATAGTTCTATTCAGGTTTTGGATTTCTTTATGATTCAATCTTGGTAGGCTACATGGATCTTCAATTTGTGGGCATAGAGTTGCTCATAGTAGTCTTTAGTGAATCTCTAAATTTTGTTGGCATCAGATATAATGTTTCCTCTTTCATCTTTGATGATATTTATTTGAATGTTTTCTCTGATATTTTAAATCTTGCTAAGAGATTGTCAATTGTGTTTATCATTTCAAAAAACCACATTTCTTTTTGTTCAGCTTTTTTTTGGCTTGTTAGTTTCAAATTCATTTGTATCTGCTTTAAATTATTGTTTTTTCTTCTACAAATTTTAGGCTTGTTTGGCTCTTTCTTTTCTAGTTTTTGAAGATGCGTCAGTTTTTTTGGAAGTTCTTTCTTGTTTTTTGCTGTACGTGCTTATTGCTATAAACTTTTAGCATTGCTTTTGCTGATGCCATAGGTTTTTGGTATATCATGTTTTATTTTCATTTGTTTCAAAAAATTTTTAAATGTGCTTAATTTCTTCGTTGACCCACTGGTCATTCAGGAGCATATTATATAATTTTCACATGTTCTATTGTGATGAGAGTATATATGATTTCAATACTTTAGAATTTTTCACGACTTGTATTGTGGCCTAACACATGGCCTATTCTTGAGAATAATCTATTTTCTGAGGAGAAGAATGTGTATTCTGCAGCTATTGGATGAAATGTCCTATAAATATCTGTTAGGTCCATTTGATTTATAGATTAAATCCAATATAGATTTTTTTTTCATTTTTTGGATGATCTTCCCAATGCTGCAACTGGGGTGTTGAGATCTCCAGCTATTATTTTATTGGTTTTATCTCTATCTTTAGCATGAATAATGTATAAATTATAAATTTGAGTCTTCCAGCATTGGTTGAATATATATTAACAATTATTATATCCTCTTCCTGAATTGACCTTTTTATCATTAATGACATTCTTTGTCTCTTTATATAATTTTTGTCTTAAATCTATTTTATTTGATATAAGTATAACTACTTCTGCTCTTTTGTCATTTCCATTGTCATGGAATATCTTTTTCTATCCCTTTGCTTTTTGTCTATGTGTATCTTTATAGATTAAGTGAGTTTATTATCGGCGGTATGTAGTTGGATCTTCTTTTTTTTTAATTCACTCTGCCGTTACATGCTTCTGATTGGAGTGTTTGGCCCATTTAAACTTAATTTTATTAATTATACTTTGGGACTTATTATTACCAATTTATTACTTGCTTTTTAAAAATTATCTTTCTCCCTTCCTTTCTGCCTGTTTTTCTTTGTGTAAAAGTAATTTTCTCTGGTAGTATGTTCTAATTTCTTGCTTTTCATTTTTTTGTGTAGCTGTTGTAGGTTTTTGATTTGATGTTGCCATGAGGCTTGCTGATAACATAATATAACCAGTTATTTTAAAATGATGGCAACTTAAATCTGATTATTAAAAAACAAACAAGCAAAGAGAAAACTAATAAAAGTTTCTACTGATTAACTTCCTCCTCCCAACTCTTTAACTTTATGTTGTTTCTAGTTATACCTTTTCATACCATCTATCCTTTTAAAAGTTGTTGTAATTGACTTTTAGTCTTCTTACTAAGTAAGAAAGGTGTTAAGTATCCTGTATTATTAGAGAGTTAAGTATTCTATATTTGCCTGTGTTCTTACTATATACACCACAATTAGAATATTGAAGTATTCTATGTTTGTCTGTGTATTTACCATTACTAGTGTGTTTTGTACTTTCAGATGATTTCTAATTGCTTGTTAATGTCCTTTCCTTTCAGAGTAAAGAACTCCCTTCAACATTTCTTCTAGGACAGGTCTGATGTTGATGAAATCCTTCAGCTTTTGTTTGTCTGTGAAAGTCATTATTTCTCCTTCATGTTTGAAGGATATTTTTGCTGGATATAATTTTAGGGTAAAAGTGTTTGGGTAATTATTTTTCCTTTCCTTCAGCAATTTGAATATGCTATGCCACTCTCTCCTGGCCCATAAGATTTTCACTTAGAAGTCTGCTACCAGATGTATTAACACTCCTTTGTACATTATTTGTTCATTTATATCGCTGCTTTTAGGATTCTTTTTTTTTTAATCCTTGAGCTTAAGAAGTTTGATTATTAAATACCTTGAGATAGTCTTTTTTTGAGTTACATATGCTTGGTGTTCTATGACTTTGTACCTGAATATTGATGACTTTCTTTAAATTTGGAAATTTCTCTACTATTATTTCTTAGTAAACTTTCTACACCAGTCTCTCTCTCTCTACCTCTTTTTTTCAGGTAAATAACTCAAAATTGCTCTTTTGAGGCTATTTTCTGGATCCTGTAAGTATGCTGCATTTATTTTATTTTTTTAATGTGTATTTTATACAGGCTGTCTTCAAGCTCCTAATTTTTCTGCTTGATCAATTCTGCTGAGAGACTGATGCATTTTTCAGTTTGTAATTGAATTTTTCAGCTTAAGAATTTCTGCTTGATTTTTCTTTATCTTATAGGATTCTAAATCTGTTTTCTGTGTTATCATAAAGTCCAGTGAACTTCCTTTAAACAATTATTTTGAATTACCTGTGTGAAAGGTCATATATCTCTGTCATTATGAGCCTAATCACTGATGCCTCATTTAGTTCATTTGGTGAGGTCATGTTTTCCTGGATGTTCTTACTGCATGTGAATATTCGTCAATGCCTGGGCATTGGAGCATCAAATATTTATTCTAATCTTCACAGTCTGGCTTGTGTGTACTCCTCCTTCTTGAGAGGCTTTTCAGATATTCAAAGGGTATTGAGTGGTGTAGTTTTTGGTCACGGCAGTCACACTTGCACTAGGGGGTGCCCCAAGCCCAGCAACACTGTGATTTTTACAGGTTAGTAGAGGTACCATCTTGGTAGCCTTGAGTAAGATCCAGGAGAATCTCCTGGATTATCAGGTAGAGTCTCTTGTTCTCCTCTCTCATTTTCCCCAAACAGAAAGAGTGTCTGTCCCTGCTGGGCCTCCTGGAGCTGAGGGAGGGGTCACACAAGAACCCCTGTGACCACCACATTAGGGACAGTACTGAGTTACGCCTGAAGTTGGTGTTACAGGATCTCTGGGGTGTTGAGTTTTCTGGCCAGAAACATCTGTGACTACGGTGCCTTTGCCTGAGTTCTTGTCCTGCGTCCAGGAAGAATGAGGTACTCAGACAAGTGAAGGGTGAAGAAGATAAGTTTTATTTAGTGTTAAAACACCTCAGAGGAGACCCAGAGTGGGTAGCTCCTCTCTGTAGGCAGGTCATCATGTGGAGTATTCAGCTCTCAGCAGAGAGAGCAGCTCTCTCTGTAGGTCTCTGAAGCTCTTAGCAGGGAGGGTAGCTCCTCTCTGCCTGTCTCTGAAGCTCTCAGCAGAGAAGGTAGCTCCTCTGTGCTGGCAGGTCTTCTCTGTAGCCCTCAGCTGAGAGGGTACTTCTCTCTGCAGATGGTCATCCCTGTAGCTCTCAGCAGAGAGGGTACTCCTCTCTGCAGCTGGTCATCCCATCATCTCTCTGAACTTTTCTCCTCTGGCCATCTTCTGCCCTGCTCTAGCTGAGCCCAGGGATTTTATGGACCTCAGAGGGGCGGAAGTGCATGCTGATAGGTCCATGGATGGCCTTGAACAGGCCCAGAAGAAGAACCATAGCTCCTTACTCCAGGCAGCACAACTGGCAGCCTGGCCCCCAGCCTTCAGACCCCTTCTTGGCCTGAACGTGGGGCCTTATTGGGGACCTGTCCCCTTCCTCCCAGGGCTCTGTTTGCATCCCAATGTCATTTGAGGCCTTGGGGCTTGGCCCCAAGCCTACTCCAAGATTGGAGCGGGTGCTGGAAGTGCAGAGAGGCCAGGCAGTCAGAGCAGACACCCCTGAACCTGCAGGGATGGAAGCAGGGAGGTCTTTCCTGGGGGTCGCAAGGGTACAGGCTGCAGAGATGCCCCAAGTCTTGCAACTAGGGTGGTGGCCGCAGCCCCACCTGGGAAGGCAGATGCTGCCTGCTCCTGGCCCTCCCCCAAGAGCACAGGGAGGTTCAAATCCACTGCTTCCATTTTGGTGGCTGTAGTGGCATGGGGGCTCCCACTCCAACTCAGAAGGGGCAGGGCTCCCACCAGCTCCATGGAATGTGTAGCCCCAGCCGTGCCTCCCTGCTGCAGCTGGAATGATGGCAGCACCCACTGCCATCATCAGCACAGTACTTGGTCTAGCTCATGGCCAATAGGACTACTGCATGGCTACCACTAGTCAGCAGGTGGTAAATCTTGCGAGGACTTTGTCTTTCTGTTCAGTGCAGCATGTTCCCTTCTAGCCCAGGAAGGGTCTAAAAATGCCTTTCAGAAGCTAGGACCTGAATCAGGGTCTTCAGGAATATACCTGGTGTTCTATTTTACTATGGTTGACCTGGTACCCAAGACGGCAAGACAGGGTCCTCTAGTCTTTTTTCCTTTCCACTGTGGAAGAAGTCTCCTGGAGTAGCACTGTCTAGAGTAAGGAGTGGAATGACACAGGCACTCTCTTGGTCACCACAACTGGTGTTTCACTGGGTTGTGTGCACTCTAAGTTCACTGGCTCTGAGCTCAGTGCAGCAGCACCAAATTTGCCAAAGGACTGAAGTCCCTGTGGCCTGGCTGCCCTTCAAATGTATTTAGGATTCCAGAATACTTTAGTTAGCCTGTGGTAGAGCTAGCTGCCATTTAGATTCCTACTTCCGCAGTGGAGGATCCACTCTGGCCTGGGCTACTTTCAATGCTTTCTCCACGGGCACCAGAAGAATTCTTTCCTATGTTTGTTCTGCTGAGAAAGGACAGCCCTGAGTTATAATGTGAAGTTGCACAGTCGCTTTGATCTCCCTCCCCCAAGCACACAGATTCTGTCTATGTGCACTGCCAGGGGATGGAGAAGGGGTGGTGTGGGCAATGCAAGACTCTCTTTCCTACCCTCTTCAGTGCCTCTTTCCTTGATATAATTATTAAAACTATGTACTGTAATTGCTTACCTGATTTTTAGTTCTTATGAAGGTGCTTTCTTGCATGAATAGTTGTTCAATTTTGTTTTCCCCCTGTGGGGGGATGATCACTGGAGGTTTCTTTTCAGTCATCTTATCGTGGCTCCTTTGTGGACCATTCTTCCAGACAGTTGGAAATAGGATGAACTAAAATCACAGGAAGAGTCTATGAAGAGTCTACACTGAATTAGTTTGTTATGCCAATATTTAAAAGAATATTTAGAAATATATTTTGTGATCTGGAGGCAAGGAATTCATACAGCACTAGAGATGCCATGAAGTTACAGGATAAAATTAAAAAGTTAGAGGTTGACTGTGGGTAGGGGTTCTGGAATGAAATAATGTGAGATTAGAAGTCTGTGAAATGTTACCCAATAACACAATATTAAAATATTCATAAAGTAATACAAACGTGAAATGGCTTAAAAACAAAAAACAAGAGATATTTTGTGGTTAGATACTTAACAAATTCTAGCAATTAAAACATAGACATAGGTTTGATAAGAAGGTAAATACATGGTCTACACGTGCTTTACCCTCTGGAGTAGCAAACACAAACACAAAGACTTGCACATTGCACATGTGCACACAAACACACACATGCACACATGCCTACCTACATGGATGTGTAGCAAACACAAACACAAAGACTTGCACATTGCACATGTGCACACAAACACACACACGCACACATGCCTACCTACATGGATGATGATAGAAATAGATATGTATTGAGTTAGCCTTGAGTTAGCAATCAAGACCATTGTGCAGATAGCCAAAATCAACTGTTCAGTTCCTTTTTCTGTAACTATACTTCTATATCCGTTGAGACTGCAAATTCATAACAGAAGCAGAAGTGTGCTGAATGGCATAATGAGAGATTTACTGCCCGAGAAAAATACTGTAAAATGGGAAGGTCTATGGAAAGTGACAGCATTTTTTTAGGATTCAAAATTGTATCAACTTCTAATTGGCAACATATTAGAATCCCACCTGTGGTGGAATAAAATCCACTCTACATTGAAAGTTTTTGGCAATTGAAGGATCAGCAGTGTGAGTCAATATTAGAATTAAGATAAAACAAGTATATAAGTATGTTTTCTACAGCTATGTTTCTGAAAGAGTAATTCTACTAGAATCCACTTGTTTAGTTTCCAGTGTGGGAACTGAGAATGAATTTTGTGAAAAAAAGATATGACTCTTTAGTTACCACACACAGTCTGAAATATATCACTTATATTTTAAGTATTAGTAAACAGTAAAAATGGAACCCTAAATGAGATGTGCTAATAGTTTTACAGTACAAGAAAGGAGGAAATGTGCTGAATCAAAAGTTAATAATAATTGTGATAATCCAATAACAAAATAGGTGGAAATAGTATTGCCTAGGTTTTCTTCTAGGGTTTTTATGGTTTTAGGTCTAACATTTAAGTCTTTAATCCATCTTGAATTAATTTTTGTATAAGGTGTAAGGAAGGGATCAAGTTTCAGCTTTCTACATATGGCTAGCCAGTTTTCCCAGCACCATTTATTAAATAGGGAATCCTTTCACCATTTCTTGTTTTTGTCAGGTTTGTCAAAGATCAGATGGTTGTAGATGTGTGATATTATTTCTGGGGGCTCTGTTCTGTTCCATTGGTCTATATCTCTGT
The DNA here is from genome assembly GCF_000001405.40 of Homo sapiens. Classification (NCBI taxonomy): domain Eukaryota; kingdom Metazoa; phylum Chordata; class Mammalia; order Primates; family Hominidae; genus Homo; species Homo sapiens. Next base: position 42,568,367 of record NC_000014.9, on the reverse strand, counting down.
TTTGGTACCAGTACCATGGTGTTTTGGTTACTGTAGCCTTGTAGTATAGTTTGAAGTCAGGTAGCATGATGCCTCTAGCTTTGTTCTTTTGGCTTAGGATTGACTTGGCAATGAGGGCTCTTTTTTGGTTCCATATGAACTTTAAAGTAGTTTTTTCCAATTCTGTGAAGAAAGTCATTGGTAGCTTGATGGGGATGTCATTGAATCTATAAATTACCTTGGGCAGTATGGCCCCTTTCCCGATATTGATTCTTCCTACCCATGAGCATGGAATGTTCTTCCATTTGTTTGTGTCCTCTTTTATTTTGTTGAGCAGTGGTTTGTAGTTCTCCTTGAAGAGGTCCTTCACGTCCCTTGTAAGTTGGATTCCTAGGTATTTTATTCTCTTTGAAACAATTGTGAATGGGAGTTCACTCATGGTTTGGCTGTTTGTCTGTTATTGGTGTATAAGAATGCTTGTGATTTCTGCACATTGATTTTGTGTCCTGAGACTTTGCTGAAGTTGCTTAACAGCTTAAGGAGATTTTGGGCTGAGATGATGGGGTTTTCTAGATATAAAACACCAAAAGCAATGGCAGCAAAAGCCAAAATTGACAAATGGGATTTAGTTAAACTAAAGATCTTCTGCACAGCAAAAGAAACTACCATCAGAGTGAACAGGCAACCTACAGAATGGGAGAACATTTTTGCAATCTACTCATCTGACAAACGGCTAATATCCAGAATCTACAAAGAACTCAAACAAATTTACAAGAAAAAATCAAACAACCCCATCAAAAATTGGGCAAAGGATATGAACAGACACTTCTCAAAAGAAGACATTTATGCAGCCAACAGACACATGAAAAAATTCTCATCATCACTGGCCATCAGAGAAATGCAAATCAAAACCACAATGAGATACCATCTCACACCAGTTAGAATGGCGATCATTAAAAAGCCAGGAAACAACAGGTGCTGGAGAGGATGTGGAGAGGATGTGAGATAGGAACACTTTTACACTGTTGGTGGGACTGTAAACTAGTTCAACCATTGTGGAAGACAGTGTGGCAATTCCTCAGGGATCTAGAACTAGAAATACCATTTGACCCAGCCATCCCATTACTGGGTATATATCCAAAGGATTATAAATAATGCTGCTATAAAGACACATGCACACGTATGTTTAATACAGCACTATTCAATAGCAAAGACTTGGAACCAACACAAATGTCCATCATTGATAGACTGTATTAAGAAAATGTGGCACATATACACCATGGAATACTATGCAGCCATAAAAAATGATGAGTTCATGTCCTTTGTAGGGACATGGATGAAGCTGGAAACTATCATTCTCAGCAAACTATCACAAGGACAAAAAACCAAACACCACATGTTCTCACTCATAGGTGGGAATGGAACACTGAGAACACTTGGACACAGGAAGGTGAACATCACACACCAGGGCCTGTTGTGGGGTAGGGGGAGAGGGAAGGGATCGCATTAGGAGATATACCTAATGTAAATGACGAGTTAATGGGTGCAGCACACCAACATGGCACATGTATACATATGTAACAAACCTGCACGTTGTGCACATGTACCCTAAAACTTAAAGTATAATAAAAAAATAGGTGGAAATATTGCATGGCATTTTTTTTAACAAAATAAAATAAGCATAGAGTCACTAGTAAGAGGCTGAAATGAATAGACAAAAAAAGAGATTAAAAAAAGAGCTAAGTAAAAAAGAGAATGCAGAAAAATGTAAAAATTCAGTAGTAATTGTCCCCAGATCACAGTGAGATTAAATAAGAAATCGTTATCAGAAAGCTAGCTAGAAATCTCAAACTACTTAATTTTGTTTGGTTTTGTGAGTTAAACAACACAGTTGTGGGAATAAAAAGAGAAGAAATTGCAGGTAAAGTTAAAATATTTTGAACTAAATAAAAATTAACATATTACTTAACAAAATTTGTAAGATGCAGTTCAGACAGAGCTCAGTGGGAAATATATAACATTGAATGCATATGATAGAAAAGAAGAATGGTAAAAAAAATCAATAATCTAAGCCTCCATTTTAGGAAACAAGAAAAAGAAGAGAAATTAAATTCAATGTGAATTTAATGATAAGAAATAATAGAAATTAGAACAGAAATCAATGAAATGAAAGCAGGAAATTAATAGAGAAGATTGAAACCAGGAGCTGATTATTTAAAAAGACCACTAAAATTAATAAGCCTTCAGACAGGGTAACTAAGAAAAGAAGACAGAAAACTCAAATTACTAATATCAGAACCAAAAGAAGGGGCATCACTACAAATCTCATGAACATTATATGAATAATAAGGAATAATGAATTATGTGAAAGACACAAGCTGCCAACACTTACACAACAGGAATAAATATTCTAAACAGGTTTATATCTATTAAATGAAGTAAATTCATGTTTAATAACCTTTGAAAATGAAAATCACCAGGCCCTTATGGGTTCACTGGTCAACTCCACCAAGTGTTTAAAGAGAAATTATACTAATTCTCTACAATGTCTTTCAAAAGATAGAAGCAGAAGGACTACTTCCTAACTCATTTTATGACTCAACATTCTATTAATACCCAAAACTGACTAAGACATTACCAGAAAAGAAAATTACAGAACAATATCTTGCATGAACATAGTTGCAGAATCCTCAACAGAATTCTAGAAGAGCCAATTCAACAATTTATAAAAAGAATCATACACCATGACTTAAGCAGGGTTTATTCTGGGTATGGAAGGCTGTCTCAACATTTGAAAGTCAATTAATACAATCTATTAATCAACAGAGTGAAGGAGACAAATCCCATAGTCATATTAGTAGATGCAGAAAAAGCACATAGCAATGCCCACTCATTATTAAAAAAAAAAGGTAGGAAATTTGGAATCAAGCGAACTGTCTCAATTTCATATGATAATCTACAAAGAAATCCTACAGGTAATATCAAATCTAATGAGAAAGAAGACAAGGATGTGCTTGCTTACCATTCCTTTTCAGTATCTTTCAGGAAGGCCTAGCTAATGCAATATAACAAGAAAAGGTAATAAAAGGCATGCAGAAAGAGAAGAGAGAAATCAGACTGTCATTATATGCAGATGACATAACTTTCTATGTACAAAATGCAAAAGAACTGACAAACAAGCTTCAGGAACTGATTGATTACAGCAAAATTACAGAATAAAAAGTTAATATGCAAAAGTCAATCGTTTTTATAGTCCCAGCAATGAAATAGTAGAATTTGAAATTAAAACTACACCATCATTGCGTTAGTCCATTTTTGTGTTGCTATAAAGGAATACCTGAGACTGGGTAATTTATAAGAAAAAGAATTTTGATTGGCACGTAGTTCTGCAGGGTGTACAGGAAGCATGGCACCAGCATCTGTTCTGCTTCTAGTGAGGCGTCAGAAAGCTTACAATCATGGCAGAAAGCAAAGGGAGAGCCAGTGTCATATGTTGAGAGCAGAAGCAAGAGTAAGGAAGTGAGAAAGATGGAAGAGACGCCATACTCTTTCAAACAACAGTATCTTATGTGAACAAAGCAAGAACTCACTCACTACCATGAGGATGGCATCAATACAGTCATGAGAGATCTGCCCCTGTGACCCACATACCTCCCACTAGGGCCTGGCTCCAACACTAGGGAGTATGTTTCAACATAAGATTTAGAGAAGACAAATATCCAAACTGTATCAAACATTTATAAAATAGAGAAAAGTACATAACTCATAATAGCACAAAATGAATACTACATTTTCTTTGAAAATGTTTTACCATGTCTTTATATGTTAAATTTTTCTTTATAAAATTTTACATGTAAACCTCTAATATAATTTTAAAGTTTATATGTTCCCAATTAATAGAATTTAAAAGCAAATTAAATATAGTTACATAGCAAAGAACATTTACAAATTGAAACTCTATGGAATTGTGATAACAAGAGACCATAATTAAATGGACTTAATTAGAAATAAACATCTCTGTTATAAAAACACATACCTGTAAGTTAAAAATCAATATTTAGTGTTGGTAATATAAGAGGAATAGAAGTGGTGATTTTAGTTATGCTACTGCCACTCCTCAAAAGACCCCCAAAATATTCAGGCTATTATTTTTTAAATGATCATTTATGAGATTGCCTTATCTACTCATAATATTTTCACAGACATCCAACCCTTTGATGTGAATGCTTACTGTATTTTTACCAAATACATTTCTTGATTTCACACTCCATCTCACTCCCCAATCATAGGTGATTGGGCCATTTGGTCATTTAAACACCTGACCAAAATAAATTAATCATGCTTTCTCTGTTGGAAATACTGAATTGATCTAAATGAGTTCTAGTTTTCTTTGGACCTGAATGGAAGACATATAAGCTTGGTTAACATGGAATGCTACTTTCTTTTCAGTGTGGATTGAGAGTAGAAAATTTTGATGTGAAAGGAAAAAAATAAAAGTCCATGCCTTTTCATAGGAGAAGTTTTTAAATTCCTTGTGAATTTCTAAATTCTTGTGTTAGTCCCTTTCTAAGGCTTGTCTGCAACACCTGCCATTATGTTCATGGATAATTGATATAACTATACATGTAATAAATACACAGAGCACTGCATGTCAAAATGATGTAAAGCTGTTGTGTTAAAATAGTCAACAATAAATGCCTCTGCTCTCATGAAGAGTGCTGTGTAATGAGGTAGACAAATATTAATCAAGTAAATAGATAACATAGTGGAATTTTAGGTAGTAATAAGAGATGGAAAGGAAAATAAAGGGAAGTTTGAGAAGAGTGTGGTGGTTGTAGGAAGACTGTTTTAGATGGTTTTTGAGGAAGTAATATTTGTGCAGAGATCTGGATATTGTGATAAAGCAAGTCATATAAAAACTGGAGGAAAGCATTCAGACTGGAAGTGGTTTATATAGTGAAAGAAGGGAGGAAGATAAAGAAAACAAGAGGTAATTTAAAGAGCATTAAGTACAGCATTCCACTTTAATATAACTTTAACAACAAGTAATGTATTAATATATTAACATTATAAAATATGCATGCAATGATAACATTAAAATACAAATATTGGATTCTATCTGTGGTGGCAATGTTACCAGAAAGGGGTCACAATCCAGACCACAAGAGAGGGTCCTTGGATCTTGCACAAGAAATAACTGGAGCAAGTACATAGAGTGAAAGCAAGTTTATTAAGAAAGTAAAGGAATAAAGAATGGCTAATCTACAAGCAAAGCAGCAGCAGGGGATGCTCAACTAAGGATATTATTGTTGGTTCTTGATTATATGCTAAACAAGGGGTAGATTATCCATAAATTTCCTGGAAAGGGGTCGGCAATTCCCTGAAATAAGGGTTCTTCCACTTTTTAGACCATATAGAGTAACTTCCTGATGTTACCATAGCATCTGCAAACTGTCATGGCACTGGTGGGAATGTCTTTTGCATGCTAATGTATTATAATTAGTGTATAATAAGCAGTGAGGACCACCAGGGGTCACTCTCCATGCCGTCTTGGTTTTGGTGGGTTTTGGCCAGCTTCTTTACTGAAACCTGTTTTATCAGCAAGGTCTTTGTGACCTGTATCTTTTGCCAACCTCCTATCTCATCCTGTGATTTAGAATGCACAATCTCCTGGGAATGCAGCACAGCGGGTCTCAGCCTTATTTTACCCAGCCCCTATCCAAGATGGAGTCCCTCTACTTCAAACACCTCTAACAGAAAGAAAGAAATTACATCTAGAAAAAAATGTATTCATTTTTTCAATTAATTCAATTAATTCAATATTAACTGCAATGTTGGTTCCTGTGTGCTTTTGAATTTTTCTCTTTAACTTTTTTATGTTTAAAAGTAATTATTAAAAATATCCTAGGCTAAGAATATGTTTAATGTGTTTGAGAAGAGTGAGAAGGCCAGTGTAAATAAAGAGGTTTAAGCAAGTTGGCAAGTAGTCAAAGATAAGGCATAAAAGATAAAGGCCAGTCCAAGCGCCCTTTGATCACTTTTGATAGATGCAGGAGGAAGGTAAGGAGGAAGGGGGCCCTGGAGAATCTCCGACTGACCAGTGCACTGGTAGCACATGATAGAGTCACAGAAGGTTTGGAAGTTGGTGCCCTTTGCAGGGAGGAGGAGCCTAGCCTCTTCAGTTCCTGTGTGGTGGCCTGGTATTCAATCTGCGAGGTAGGGGCCCGTTAGCAGGAACCCCTCTCACTTTGCTGAGAGTTTTGTTTTCTTTTTTAAATTATTTTTATTTGTTCCTTTATGCCCAATAAATTCCATTCCCCTCACCCTTCAGTGTGTCTGTGTGCCTAACTTTTCCTGGACATGTGACAAGAACCCGGTTTTAGCTGAACTAAGGAGCAAAGATCTACATCACATTCAGCTAAGGAATTTGGCTATAATTTAACTGAGGTGGGAAGACATTGCTTTTAAGCATTGAGAGACAAGATCTAAAGTATGTTTTTACAATCTGAGAGAAATTGAGGCAACACATTAAACAGTAGTCATACTCAAATGGGTGCCAGTCCATGAACTTTTTTACTGCTGCATGATTAGCACAGAAATGGAGAATAAACATTTGGGAACCTGTATAACTTTTACATAGTTGCAAGCTAGAAGCATGTTAATTTTTTTAATGAATTCACTGTACTTTAAGATAGAGATAGTGTGTGATAAAGTGAGAACAAACAAAGTTAGTTGTATACCATAAAGCGTTTGAGAAGCACCATTTGAGAATGCAAGTATGGAAACAGGGCGATCAGCATATTTGTAAATAGTCCCAACACTGGTAATATAGGAATATTGAAAACAAAGCCAGAAGAACTTGCCGAAGGATAGTCATAACGTCATAAATAAACTTTACATCTTTACAAAAATACTGTTTGTATTAACTATTTGAATAGATTTAACTTTCTCCACTTGAGCTGCAAAAGTTGTGACAAATACAGTTCATAGTTTATAAATATTAATATAAAAACTTAGAATAGATGAGTCATTTCTCAAGATAACCCAATTAGCGTATAGTAGTGCTATAATTTAAACCCATCTATTTTAAACAGTATTCAGACTTTTTTGCTATGTCTTATTTTTTTCATCATTTTCTGTTTAAAAATCTTAACATTATCACAAAGTAAATGATTTTTACTTTACATCTAATATTATGTTGAATAATATTTACTTCCTTATATTGCATTTTTCAGAAAAAAACCCAGAGATAAAATGCATAATTTAATGTCCAGTTAGTTTTTCTATTTATAATTGTCTAGCTTTTGTTTTGTTTTGTTTTTAAGCAAGCTTTATCCATCATTAATATCAAAGTTATATTGCTTCATAAAAGAAGGTTGAAAAATATATTTCTTTTTCTAGCTTCTGGAGCATTTTGAATTGACTTGGCAATATTTAATCTTTGAAACTTTAGTAACATTCTCCTAATAAATCAGTATATACTTTCAAAACAATAAAGTGTTGAGAGTAGCACTTTAATACCTTTTCCTATTTTTCTTTGGAAATCAGTTTGTTTAATTTGTTTCATTGCTGTATTTCTATTAAAAATGACTTTTTTCTAGAAAATAGTTTTATCTAAATTTGCAAATATATTGCAAATTGTTATGCAAAATTGTCATATACTCTATAATATTTCCTATGTTTGATGGCTATTTTTAACTTTTAAATAATTATTTTGTGTACTTGTCTCTGTACTTCTGCTTCAGTCTCCTGTAATTCCTGCCTTATGCAATATGTCAGTTTCTCTTTTGTGCATATATGATGGAATCCAGCACAAGATAAACAGATGTTCTTCAGCCTTTTAAAGCGTGCATGAAACATTGTTTTTACTGATGTAAGGGAAAAAAGAATAAAGAAAGTCTCAATAACTGTGATATAGTTTGACTGTGTCCCCACCCAAATTTAAACTTGAATTGTATCTCCCAGAATTCCCACATGTTGTGGGACAGACCCAGGGGGAGGTAATTGAATCATGGGGGCCAGTCTTTCCCATGCTATTCTCATGATAGTGAATAAGTCTCATGAGATCTGATGGGTTTATCAGGAGTTTCCGCTTTTGATTCTTTCTTATTCTTCTTCTGCCTGCTGCCGTTTAAGAAGCGCCTTTTGCCTCCCTCCTTAAATCTGAGGCCTCTCCCGCCATGTGGAACTGTAAGTCCAATTAAACCTCTCTTTCTTCCCAGTCTCCAATATGTCTTTATCAGCAGCATGAAAACAGACTAATTCAGTAAATTGTTACCAGGAAAGTGGGGTGTTGATGAAAAAATACCCCAAAATGTGGAAGCAACTTTGGAACTGGGTAACAGGCAGAGGCTGGAACAGTTTAGAGGGGTCAGAAGAAGACAGGAAAATGTGGGAAAGTTTGGGATTTCCTAGAGACTTGTTGAATGGCTTTGCCCAAAATGCTGAAAGCCATATTCCAGGCTGAAGTGGTCTCAGATGAAGATGAGGAACTTATTGAGAACTGGAGTAAAGGTGACTCGTTATGTATTGGCAAAGAGACTGGTGGCATTTTCTCCCTGCCCTAGAGATTTGTGGAACCTTGAACTGAGAAAGATGATTTAGGATATCTGGCTGAAGAAATTTCTAAGCAGCAAAGCACTCAAGAAGTGACTTGGGTGCTGGTAAAGGCATTCAGTTTTATAAGGGAAGCAGATCATAAAAGTTCAGAAAATTCGCAACCTGACTATGCAACAGAAAAGAAAAACCCATTTTCTGCAGAGAAATTCAAGCTGGCTGCAGAAATTTGCATAAGTACCAAGGAGCCTAATGTTAATCCCCAAGACCATGGGGAAAATGTCTCCAGGGCATGTCAAAAACCTTCCTGGCAGCCCCTTTCATCACAGGTGAAGAAGCCCAGGAGAAAAAAGTGGTTTTGTGGGGTGGGCCCAGGGTCCCGGTGCTGTGTGCAGCCTAGGGATTGGGTTCCCTGTGTCCCAGCCGCTCCAGCCATGGCTGAAAGGAGCCAACATAAGGCTCAGGCTGTGGATTCAGAGGGTGGAAACCCCAAACTTTGGCAGCTTCCTCGTAGAAAGGGGAACCGTCATACACTGTTGGTGGGAATGTAAATTATTAGAACCATTAAGGATAACAGTATGGAGGTTCCCAAAACATCTAAAAATATAACTATCATTTAGCTGACAATTCCACTGGTGAGGATATATTCAAAAGAAAAAATATATATCAAAGAGATATTTGCACTCCCATATTTATTGCAGCACTATTCACTATAACCAATATATGGAATCAACCTAAGTGTCTATAAACTGATGAATGGATAAAGAAAATGTTGTACACAAATGCAATGTAATATGATTTATCTATAAAACAGAATTGAAATCTTGTCATTTGCAACAACACAGATAGAACCGAAGAACATTTTGTTAAGTGAAATAAGCTAAGCACAGAAAGACAAATATATTTTCACTCATAGGTGAGAGCTACAGAGATGAATCTCACGAAGGTAAAGTGTAGAATGATGGCTACCAGAGGCTGGGAAGGGTAGTGGGAATGCGTGAATAAAGAGGGATTGGTTAATGGGAATAATAACAGAGTTGGATAGAAGGAATGAGATACTGTGTTTGGTAGCACGACAGGGTGACTATAATTAACGATAATTTATTGTACATTTTCAAATAACTAGAAGAGTGGAATTGGAATGTTCCAAACACAAAGAAATAATAAATGTTTCCAGTGACTAATATTCCAATTACTCTAATTTGATTATTGCCCACTGTATGCTAGTATTGAAATATCACATATGCCCTATAAATATGTATAACTATGTATCCATAAAAATTAAAAATTAAAAATCACTTTTGGGTCTATTAGGAGTGGAAATACATTTCTTATTATCCTGCTAAGTTCAGCTAAAAGCCTTGACTACTTCGTATAAAACAAACACAGAAGACCGAAAAGCAGGGAAAGAAGGCAGACTATCAAAGGTCCTCAGGACCCAGCAAACAACACAGAATTGAGCTCCCTGGGTTTTATTTCTAGGATGAGATAATACCTCATTGTGGTTTTGATTGGCATTTCTCTGATGATTAGTGAATTTGGACATTTTTTAACATACCTTTTGGCAGTATGTATGTCTTTTTTGGAGAAATGTCTATTCAGATCTTTTGCCCATTTTTAATCATATTATCTGGTTTTTTGCTATTGTGTTGTTTGAGCTTCTTATATTTTCTGGTTGTTAATCTCTTGTCAGTTGAATAGTTTATAAATATTTAATTCCATTCTGTAGACTGTCTCTTCACTTTGTGGATTGTGTTCTTTGCTGTACAGAGCTTTTTAGCGTGATATGATCCCATTTGTCTATTTTTGCATTGGTTGTCTATGTTTTTGAGGTAAGATGGCATTTGTTCATATGTTAGAAATACATACCAAGCAATGTATTTTTACATAGTAAATATATATATATATGTTTATACACAAACACATAGAGTAAAAGGATACATATTATTAATAATATGGTAGGTTACCTCTGTGGAGAAAATAGTGGCTGCATAGAATTGGAGACGGAAAAACATATTCATTTTATATTTAAAGTACTATTTGTTTTACATATACAATAAAACAGGGAGTAAAGTGTATTATTCATATTTTAACATTTTACTGATGACATACAGAATCTATCACAATAAAGTAAAAGAAAATGTATGTAGTACAGAAATGAAGCATTTAAGGCTAAATAATAAATAGAAAAAACATAAGGACAGTAGAAAAGTTGATAATAAAATTGGTTAAAAAGTAAAATGCAGATAGGTTATAGGCTGGAAATAATTGAACCCAGAAAAATCAGAAAACCTTCCTATTCATTTTTTCATTGGGTGTTTATTTTATGAGGAAAGTGTTTATATCATAAAAGAGAAAAAAATAATGCCCCATTCAGAAGAAAATATTTTTTTTCTAAAGATTTGCCACTGTGAAACCACCTCCTCTGCGCCAGGGATAACTCATCAATCTCAGTAACAAATTTAAAATGGCAGGGTGCAATGCATTCAAACATAAAATCTACCCTTTGCTCACCACTCTACCCATGGGTCCTAATTCATTCCTAATGTTGCAGTGGAAAGTCAAGCTTAAGAACTCTTACACCATCTGTATTTCTCATGCAAACTTTGTACATGGTAAAGTTGAAATTAATTCAATAATAAATTGAACCATTGCCTCGGTCTTTTTAAAAGAGCTGAATTCATCAATGCTCACACTTTATTTATGAAGGGCATTAAAATTTCTGCATATTTCTGTTGCATAATTGTTGTTAATTGAATAAATATAAACACACGTATTTCATGGCAGAAGACCTTCACATTTTTCTCTACTGAAGAATTTCATTATTTTAATGGATTTTAATATCTTAGGTGGATAAATATTTTTAAAAGCTTAAGACAGGGCTTTGTAATTATGCATAGCCACCTGCTCTGAGTCATATATTTAGTTTAGAATGCTAAGCCTACAGATTTACAGTTTTTTTCCATTTGGACTCTAAATTCTGGCCTGAATCTGTCACATAATTTCTAAGTAGTTTTGTACACAGAACAGTCTGAATCACAGTCCAAATCTCTAAGAGCAAGTCACTAGTCGAGGTGGAAGCTATTGTCTCCAAGTCAGAAGGGTTGTTATATGCTATTTATATCACAGCTTGTCCAGTGGCCGAGTCTATCTAATAGTGTGCCAAAAATGAAGTGGATAAATATATTTGCAATTTAATGGCCTTCATTTGAATTATTTTATTTTCAGTACTGTACTAAGGTGTAATTATTCTATTTCCCTGGAAAAATACAGAAATTAAGCTTGAGACAAACATGAACAAATAAATAAATTACAGTTTTACTTCTTTGTCTTAAAATGCTAATAAATCCTGAAATTTATTTCTTTTCAGAATAGGCAAATAACTAGAGAATATACTTTGCAACATAATTTATGCAGAAAATATAAGAGCAGAATGTGGATACATGTCAATACTTCATTTTAAAATTCTCTGATTTTACATAGAAAACTAAATTTTACCTTCTCATACAGATGAATACACCCTAAAATTGCTTTAATTTAGTTTAAAATTGAAATCGTTTTCTTTCTTGTCAGCGTTTTATGGAAGTCATTGAAGCCAAGATATCACAATCAAGAAGATCTTTCCATTTCAATTTGCTGAAGGCTGATGCTCATATTTTAATTTTATCTTCAGTATTATTTCAAAAATAAGTCATTTTTAACTGAACAATAAGTAAGGTAAAGTAAGGTAATGAGTTCTCTTAGTAAACTGACAGAAGACAGAAGCAAAATAGGTAAGATTCCAATTCGTTCTGTAAGCTGAACCATCCAGCGTTTCATCAAATATAGTCCATCTGATCTCGAAAAGCAGCATACAAACAAGTTTCTAGTTTAATACCACAAGGATAACCAAAATATTTCACTTTAGTGCACTTTGTGTTAAATCTTAACGCCATCTGTAACTCTTTCAAGAGTAGAAATGTCATTGTTATTTGTTCTCAGTCAGCTCCCACCAGCTATGCAGCATTATCTGTGAGTGATTCTTATATATGTTGTCCAGGATATTGTAGTTAGATGTAGCCCTGTGGCAAAGAGGTAATCATATTGATTTTTCAGTACTGCAGCAAATACTCTTGTGTCCAACTGCTAAGCTTTGGCAAAAAATGAATAAAACCACAACTATCAGATCTGCTGTTGAAGCAAGATTCCAAGTGCCTCCAAATCATCTGCTGCAAGGTCATTCCAGAAAGTATTGCCCTCATAACTAGGATGCCCTGGATAATACTTGCAGCTTTCCAGGCTTTCCACCGGCTGGTTATTCTGGGCTACGTTCTTCATGACTATTTTTATAGGTGTCAACACAAAATATTAGACAGCAACTTGTTTTATAAATCAAGATATAAGCAATATGTTTGCTATTCTTTGAGCACTAGGAAAATAGAGATAATAAGAAAATTGTTTGTTTTAGTTCTCCTAAAATAACTAACAAAATGTTTGAAAAACATTCAATAAAATATAACATATGAAAAGATGAGTTTTTCACAATGCTTTAAGGAAGTCTTGTTTTAATGTAGTCAGTGAAGAAGTTTTTCATTTGTTGATTATAAATGTTTTGCTTTGCTTTGCTTTTTTGGATAACTAATATATTGTTCAGAAATATAGATAAAATTAGATAATTTCCCCCTACCTGGAAATTATAGAATATGTTAGCAATTATTGCATTTCTGGAGTTTAGTTATCAATACTTGACAATAAATAGGTTTTTTGTTTTGTTTTGTTTTGTTTTTGTTGTTTGTTTGTTTGTTTTTGAGATGGCATCTCTCTCTGCCTCCAAGGCTGGAGTGCAGCAGCACAATCTCAGCTCACAGCAACCTCCATTTCCTGGGTTCAAGCAATTCTCCTGCCTCAGCCTCCCGAGTAGCTGGAATTACAGTCACCTGCCGCCATGCCTGGCTAATTTGTTGTATTTTTAGCAGAAATGAAGTTTTACCATGTTGGCCAGGCTGGTCTTGAACTCTTGACCTCAAGTAATCCACCCACCTCAGCCTCCCAAAGTGCAGGATTACAAGCGTGAGCCATCATGCCTGGCCACAATAAATAGTTTTTAATAAAATAATATCAATCATTGTTTGGGCCATAAATAGCAACATAACATTATCTCAACTTTAAGTCCCTTGAAGTTATAGTCGTTAATTCAATCATTTATTTATTCATTTTTTTAGCTCAAAATATACATCCGAGTGTACAGGATTCTGTGTTCCCTCAAGGAGCATTATATGTGGGAAGAAACATGGACATGTTAAGAAATAGTACTTTATCAAGTTAAACTGCAAAACCAAGATATGTCATGATAATGACAAATCATGCCACTCCTCTGTTTAACACATTCTAGTGATGACCTGGTGCACTTAAAGTCCACTTTCCAAGTGAAGTTCTACATGGTCCTACATAGTCAAGGCTCTGTTTACTTCTCTTGTTAGTCTCCAGAATCCAGCCACATGGACATTTCTTCTCCTCCACCTCCTCCTCATACTGTTCCTCTTCCTCATCCTCTTCTCCTTCCTTCTTCTCCTCCTTCCTCTTTCTTCTTCTCCTCCTATTTCTCCTTCTTCTTTAATCAATCATGACTCTTTTATTCCTCAGCGATACAGATCATGTGCATCTTTACCCAGATGGATGATGCTTTTTCTGAATCTTTTATGGTTAATAATCAGATCAAATGTCATCTCCCAAGGAAATTATGTTGAATATAGTCTCGCATTCTCCACTATTATCATATTATCCCTTTTAATTTCTTGTACAGCAGTTAAAATTATGAGATAATTCTATTTATCTGTCTTTCAATAAAATATCTAAATATTTTCTATCTATCATCTACCTCGATCAAACTGTTAAATATTGTCTGTCCATCTACTGTACATTAATCCCATAGAATCACCCACCTTATCTAGAATGTCCGTGACATTATCACTAGTGCTGGTAACAGTGCTCACATCAGAGTAGCTGATTAATGAATATTTATTAAAATAATGAATATATAACATTAAACAACAATGCTTTATATGCCCAGTACCAGTTATAACACTTCTTAATTACATTTACTTCATAGATGTTAAATTGAACTCCACTTTTAGAGTATACATGAAATATTAGCCACCCTTTCAGGTTTCATAAGACTTTAACAGACAGATAATAGATAAACAGACATGACAGGAAGATGAAATAACATATAGGGAAATACAGAGCCATTAATGATTTATATAACTTGCAGCTCTATGTAAATTTATATAGCTGAGACATACAGTGAAATTTTGGAGTAAAACAATCTTGGATAATGAACTATGGTGTAAGAGAAAGAGGAAACATGAACATAGAGGTTCTAATATATAATTAAAGTAAATTTGAATTTTATCTGTTGGTTGACAGGGATTCATAATCAAGTAAAAGGCAAGGAAGAATGATCAGGAATTGTTATTTGTATATTTATTGATTGACTGTTTTACTTTTGGCTGAGAAAGAGGCTGGAAAGATTATTCTCCTGGCACTGTGGAGAAAATGAGACTAGAGGCAGAAAGGCCAATTAGAAGCCTACTATAATAGTCAAAGAAAAAGATGGTTGGAGTCTGAACTAAGGCATTGTCAGAGAGGAGACTTGAATTTCAGATATATTTCTGATGTAACATTAACAAGATTTAGACAACCTATTATAAGTAACATAGAAAAATTGAAGACAAAGCCCATGAATTGTTGCCAGGTATATTATGTTATAAATGAAAAGAATATACTTAGAGAATAAAGAATGATAAATTTATTCTTGATATCTTTGAGTTTGAAGACCTGTTGTTAAGTCAAAATGAATATATCCAGATATCAGTAGGTACCAAACACATTAGAAAATACATTTCATGGGAAAAGGGCTGAGGCCTTCGTTGAGTCAATGTTGTTATCCCAGTGTCCTATATAGCTTTTGGGACATACTATGGGATCAGTAAGTATTTGTTTTGTGTAGCTAAGTCATAGTAGAGTTTACAGGGATAAATGAGATCATCTCAGCAGATTATACAGAGTGAAAAGGGAAGAACCTCGGAAAATGTCATCATCTGTATTAAAGCACACCATTGTCCCCTAATATTGGCAATGATTGATCACATATTTCTCAAAAATAAAGAAAAATAATTTCACTAAGTTACTATGCAAACTTACTTTATCACTATAACATTTTTAGGAAGATTTCTAATAAAAATTAATTTATAAAATTAATAAGATTAGTAAATATAGTCAAATGCCATTATACAATATATAATTCATTATTCAATTTTATGCAGAAACTTAAGGACATGGCTAAATGTCCCTTAATTTTGATTATTTCTGGAATTGATATAGATAAAATTACATTCTAATGAGATACACTAGACATATCATGTGGAACCATAACACACAGCTAGCAAAGAGGTTTCTAATGAACTTTATTGCCTATATCTTGGAATGGGATTATTCCCCAAATGATGAGAATGACACTTTAGGGGATCTATCCCCAGACATCTCCAATGACTCAAAACTTGAGCAGAATGAACTACAGTAGAAGTCTCTAAAAGAATACATATAATAAAAATTTATGGAAATAATGCATGTATAATATTTATACTATTTAAACTTGATGTTGTGAAAAAAGGAAGATTTTCCTTGGAAACTTTTGTTTCACTTCCATGTCCTGTACTTACAAATCTAATACTAAAAGGTAGTAGTTTTTTTTTTAATGCAAGTCTTCTGAAGAAATGTCAATGAGAAAAATTATAGCTTTCTTCCCTAGTCAGAAAAGAACTTTGCAAATAGAAAGCTACAAAGTAAATTTTATTTGTTGACCTTATGTTGTATTTTTCTACTCTCATAGAAACTCAGAAAAAGAGTAACCAACAAAGAACTTGAGGTGAGTAAAAAAATTCCAGACTTTCTTATCAACTCAAAAATACACCTCCT
This sequence comes from Homo sapiens, assembly GCF_000001405.40. Classification (NCBI taxonomy): domain Eukaryota; kingdom Metazoa; phylum Chordata; class Mammalia; order Primates; family Hominidae; genus Homo; species Homo sapiens. The sequence goes on along the minus strand of NC_000014.9, from coordinate 42,551,876 downwards.
AAAACCAGTCTCTATAATGAACAGTTGTTGGAAGCTCATGATTTATTGCTTCGGTTGTTTTTAATTTAGCAACAGTAGCCTAATAGCCATCTATTCTCTCCTTAAACATTGTTGTATTGCAGTAGAATGAAGAATAGCTTGAATAGTCTTTACAAGTAGAAAGATTGGACCTCAAAACTTGTGTCTTTTGGAAGAAGATGCGGAAGGAGCCACTGTTGATTTAAATGACACCAGTAACAACTACAAAGGTAGATTGATGAATGCATTCAATTTGATATAGACAGAAAAAGGAATGGACATATTCTATTGTGAACAATTCTACCGCTGGATATACTTTACCAAAATGAGTGCTTATGTAATCCAGAAACATGTACAAAAAAGATTATGGGAAAAACTGTTCACTGATAGAATGGTTGGTTAACCTCTTGTATAATCAACGGAATACTACACAGCAATAAACATGAGTGAATGAAAGAATTACATACAACGATATTTCATAGCATAAATTTTTTAAAAGGTAGACATGCAAAATAATATATATTGTGTAATACCATTTATATAAAATTTTTAAAAAGAGAAGAGAAAAATTTCATTTAGGGGATAAATAACTGGATAGTTACCTAAAATTTAAAAGTTCCCTAAAATTTAAAAATGGTTTTCTTTTTTTTTTTTTTTTTTGATATGGAGTCTCGCTATGTCGCTCATGCTGGAGTGCAGTGGTGCGATCTCGGCTCACTGCAACCTCCACTTCCCAGGTTCAAGAGATTCTCCTTCACCAGCCTCCCAAGAAGCTGGGATTACAGGCTCTGGACACTACACCCAGCTAATTTTAGATTTTTAGTAGAGGCAGGGTTTCTCCATATTGGCCAGGCTGGTCTCAAAACTCATGACCTCAAGTGATCCATTCGCCTCAGCCTCCCAAAGTGCTAGATTACAGGGGTGAGCCACCATGCCTGCTGCAAAAGGGTTTTCAATTAAACTTAACTACCTAATTAGGAGGAACTAGTGATTAGGAAGAGTCACACTGGGGAAGGGGAGCTCTGGGGTGCTAACAATACTCTATTCATTGATTTTAGTGGTAGTTATACAGTTGAATGTTTTGTTAAAAATACATTTATGGCTGTATGTACTCTTTAACATGTGATTTATTCCTCAAATGAAAATGGTTACTAAGAACAAGAAGAAAGAAAGTCCTGATAAGAAATAAGAAAAATAAACAACTTAAAATTGGTATTTAAGAAAGAAAGAAAATAAGTTCAAGGAAGATTAGTCTCAAATATGATAAAGAGGGACTGAAAATGATCTGGAAGTGTTCTCCATCTGTGGGTAGTTTTGCCTTGCCAGGTTCTGCTCAGTTTATTTCTTTTCACATAAGCTAGTTATCTAAAAATATACTGCATGCTACAACTATCAGGATGCTAAATGTAGAGTCCTTGTAAGACACATGGCTGGCAAATGTAAAATAAAGTAGTTACTTGCATAAAATTGGTGAGAAATTAAAGAACTATAGTATGAAGGAAAAGAAAACTAATCAGAGAGAAAATTGCATGTAAAAATTAACAGTAGAGTCTAAACTAATTAATGCAAATTAAGAGAGTAATTACAATGCCCTTAATTGACCATGTTTAAATATTTATAAGAAATTTCTAAGAATCTAAACCTTCTCAAATTCCATGATACATTTTTTTTGCAAATATAGATTATGAATATTATAAATGTCACATGGTTGACACTGTCTTTATACCTGAATATAGAGAAAAAATATTGTAGGCTTATATTTTACCAAGTTTTTATATTTTTTATTATGAGAAGAATTATTTCTAGATTTCTTAGTGTTCATATGTATTTTCTATTGCATGAGACAAATTACCAGAATAATTACTAGAACAACTCTGAATAATGTGGTCTAAACCAGCAGTCCCCAACCTTTTTAGCACCAGGGAGCAGTTTCATGGAAGTCAATTTTTCCACAGACTGGTGGGGGATAGTTTTGGCATGAAACTGTTCCACTTCAGATTATCAGCATTGTTTACTATCACTTCCCTACTGTACTATTGAATACTAGAACGTACTCCTTCTATCTAACTGATTCCTTAGTAACTGTTGTTTTAGAAGTGTTTAAGATTCATTTCTGACATGATTTGGATGTATTTTCCCCTCCAAATCTCATGTTGAAATGTGATCCCCAGTGTTGGAAGTGGGGCCTGTTGGGATAAGTTTGGGTCATAGGCGCAGATCCCTCATAAATGGCTTGGTGCCCTCCCTACGATAATGAGTGAGTTCTGACTCTGTTAGTTCACATGAGATCTGGTTGTTCAGAAAGCCTGGGACCCAACACCCCTACCTTCTCTCTCACTATGTGATATGCTGGCTTCCTGTCACCTTCCACCATGATTGTAAGCTTTGTGAGCCCTCACCAGACGTAGATACTATCATGATGCCTCTTGTACAGACTGCAGAATATGAGCCAAATAAACCTCTTTTCTTTATAAATTACCCAATCTCAGATATTCATTTATAGCAACGCAGAACACAGAAAATTGGTACCAAGGAGTAGGGCATTGCTATAAATATACCTGAAGATGAGGGAGCAGCTTTGGAGCTGGGTAACAGGCAGAGGCAGGGAGAGTTTGGAGGACTCAAAAGAGTCAATTCTTAGACTTAGAAACAATTCTTAGAGAATTTTTAAATGGTTGTGACCAAAATGCTGACAGAAATATGGACAGTAAAGGAGAGGCTGATGAGGTCTCAGATGAAAATTTGGAATTTTTTAGGAATTGTAGTAAAGATCACCCTTGTCATGCCCTAGCAAGCAGCATGGATGCATTATGTCCATGTCCTGGGGATCTGTGAAAGGTTGAACTTAGGAATGATGACTTAGGGAATCTGGTGGAAGAGATAGCTAAGCAGCAAATCATTCAAGATGTGGTCTGACTGCTTCTAACAACCTATGATCTGATACAAGAGTAAAGGAATAACTTAAAGTTGAAATTTATCACTAAAAGAGAAGCAAAGTTTGAAAGTTTAGAAAATTAACAGCCTGGCCATGTGGTAGAGAAGAAAAGAGAATTTTCTAAAAAGAAATATAAGCAGGATGTGGAGCAACCACTTACTAGAGATATGTGCATGACTAAAAGGAAGCCAAGTACTAACAGCCAAGACAATGGGGAAAAAGCCCTCAAAGGCATTTCAGACATTTTTGAGGAAGCCTCTCCCATCCCAGGTTCAGAGGGCTGGGAGGAATAAATGGTTCTGGGCACCAGACCTGAGGCCTTGCTGCCCTGTGCAGCTTCAGGACAGGACACTTCTCCCAGAAGCCTGACAGCTCTGGCTTCAGTCACAGCTCAAAGAGTTCCAGCTACAGCTCAGTTCACTGCTGCAGAAAGCACTAGGCATAGCATTGGAAGCTTCCTTGTGTGTTTTATCTGAAGGTGTGCAGAATGCAAGAGTGAAAGGAGACTTGGCCTCCACCAAGATTTCAGTGGATGTACCAGAAAGCCTGGGTGCCTAGGCAGAAGCCTGCCACAAGGGTGGAGGCATGGCAGAGAACCTCTATTAGAGCAGTGCTACAGGGAAATATGGGGTTGAAGCGCTCACACAGAGTCCCCACTGGGAAACTGCCTAGTGAATCTGTGGGAACAGATCTTCTGCCCTCCAGAACCCAGAATTTTAGAGACACCTGTAGCTTGCACCCTGAGCCTAGAAATGCCACAAGCATTGGACTCCAATCCATGAGAGCAGCCGTAGATGCTGCACACTGCAAAGCCACAGGGCTAGATATGCCCTAGACCTGGGAAGCCCACCCCTCACACCAGTGTGCCCAGGATGCAGAACATCGAGTCAAGGATTATGTAGGAGCTTTAAAATTTAATGTCTGCCCTGCTGGGTTTTGGACTTGTGTGGGGGCTGTTGCCCCCTTTCTTTTGGCTGATTCCTCCCTTTTGGAATGGGAATGTTTATCCACTTTCTGTACCACCATTGTATCTTAGAAGTAAATAACCTGTTTTGATTTTACACGTTCATAGGTGGGAGGAACTTGCTTTTAGTCTCAGATGAGACCTTGACTTTTAAGTTAATACTTGAAATGAGTTGAGACTTTTGGGAACAATTGGGAAGGGGTAACTATATTTTGCAATGAGGGAAAGATATGAGATTTGGGGGGCAGAATTATGTGGTTTAGATGTTTGGTCCTACCCAAATCTCATGTTAAAATGTGATCCCAGTGTTGAAGGTGGGGCCTGGTGGGAGTTGTTTGTGTCATGGGAGAAGATGCATCATGAATGGCTTTGTGTCCTCCCCATGATAATGAGTGAGTTCTGACTCTGTTCGATCACATGACAGCTGATTGTTTAAAAAAGCCTGAGACCTTCCGCCTCTCTCTTGTCCATACTCTCACCAAGTGATACACTGACTCCTGCTTTGCCTTCCACCATGTTAGTAAGCTTCCTGAGGCCTCACCAGAAGCAGATTCTGGCACTATGCTTCTTATATAGCTTGCAGCACTGTGAGCCAAATAAATCTATTTTCTTCATAAATTAACCAGTCTCAGGTATTCCTAGATTGCAATGCAAAATGAACTTACACAATTTGCCTGAAAAACGGGAATATAATACCATTGTTTTGAAAAATGAGGCTTGATTTAGGTATTCCTATCCTGTAAGTTTTCTAGGAAATTCAAACATATCTCTCCCTATTATAAATTTAATGACATAATAGCATGAATTATCTTTTAATCAGGCATCACATACAATGATCTAGGCATTAGGTTTCATAATAATAACAATATCACTACTGAACATAACCAAAAGAGCCCTCAATAATTTCAAATCTTGTAATAGTAATTTGTTTTTTAAAATGGAGGAATGATTCAATAACTTTTAAATGTAAAATTAATATTTATTAGTTTTACATCAATTTTCTGTATTTTATTAATTAATATTTTAAAATTTATAACTGCCACACAATAATTGTACATATTTTGGGGATACAATGTGATGTTTCATTGTATGTATACATTGTATAATGACCAAATCAGACTAATTGCCACATTCATCACCTTAAACATTTATCATTTCTTTGTGGTAATAACATTCAAAATCTTTTATTATTTCTGTCTTGAAATATACACTACTATGTTATTAGCTATAGTCACCTTGCTGAACACCAGATCTTATTCTTCTTGCCTAACTGTACTCTATTGGAATCTGTTGATGAGAAACCTAGCCACAATTATTTTCTCTGATTATATTTTATAGAAAAGTTTTACAGTATTTTTTCATAAACATATATACTTTCTCTAAATGAAGAATTTTGAATTTCAAGTTTTTAGAAAAAACAAAACTTTTCCCCTAAGCAAACATCTGCTTTTATATCTGATGACAAATGTGTGGTGTGAATACTATCCAACACATGTTCATGTTTTGTACTTTTATGTCCCTATTTATTTTTCTCCACTGTAGTATTTATTACATGGTAGTATTATTCTGAACATTTATCTTGGCATTCCTTAAAACCAGCACAGTACCTCATGCTCATGTTATTTATTAAATAGCTACAATATTAAAAATACCATATTAACAGTTTTACCAAATTGTTAATGACTCATAGGCAGTATACCATCAAGGCACTACCCAAGGCAAATAAAGTAATGCTACTAAAATATCTGTCTCTTTCCCAAATTATAACTATTATTATTTTTAATTAAAGGTCTCCAAAGCATTAGCTTAGTTTTCTGCACGTAATAAATGAGATAAGAGCATGGCTTTCTGGTAACTCAATAGTTACCAGTTCTTCGGAAGTCTTTAATATCCAAGTTAATACTAAATGTAAAATAGTTATTACCTCATAAACTAGAAACACCTCCCATTATTACTGAAGTCCTATGGTGCCTGTATTGGAAGGTTTCAATTATTAACAAAAGTTGCTGCTGAACAGAGCACAAACAACTTTGCTGGACAAAAATTCAGTAACATATGAGTGACCCAATTGCTAGAATAATTTCCCTAAGGAGAAATATTTTCCATGAAGTTAGCCAAAGAGCTCATGTCTTTTTTATGTTGTACTTATATTCCATAGAATATTTATTTCTATATTAACACTCAGAGCTCGACTTCCTTATAACCATGCACGTGTGTTTCCATCTGAAGTGCCACTGAGAGGGGCTGTGCACTTGAATAATTTTCTCTACTTCTTCTGGGCTCTCCTTGAGAATAAACACACATACATATTTATGGTGTAGGTTCATTCATTTTAGGAATCAAAAATAGCTGCATAATAAAAGCAAGGATGTGTTTAAAAATGAATAGCAAATCTCAGCATCAGATGCATGCTGTTAACCCCCAATCCTTAAGCTTTATGGAAGCATCCTGATCTCATCATCCTCATAAGGATAAGATATTTAACTTTATGCCGACTGACCTGAATTTAAAAACAGAGGATGTAAGAAACATTAAATTGGCATGGTCCTATCATATATTAACTCTGAATTCTGTAATTTTTGTCTCTGAAAGTGTACATCGTTACATATTTTCATGAAAGTAAGAGACTTGAAGCCACATTTAGTCAGAAGTATGAACTTGGTAACCTTATTTTCAGTTACCTTGCCTTCATTTAAGCATTGCACACATCTAATTTTATTTGAACATTAAAAATTAGAAATTTTATATACTTGTTTTTACAAAATTATTTCATCTTATACACACAAAGCTTAACTAACAAAATAAACAGGAATGGCTGAATTCAGGCTTCAGGAGCAGACTAATTTTGTTGTTGTTTGTTTGAGTATGCTTCCCTCAAAAAATTACACACATTGAGTCATATGTTCCAACAAATGAATGCTTTATTAATATAACTAGCTTGTCTCTGGTGTTATATTATACAGTTATAATTCACATATTAACTAAACTTTCCTACAGAACATTATTACTTTCGATATGTAGCGTTGTCCAATAGAACTCTATGTATTCAGTCTTTGAATGAAAGGAATTTCTGTCTTTCTATACTTTTTATTTAATCTGTTTCTCTGCAAAATGCATCCAGACCATGCCAGCCTAAATAAATATACAGCTGATTTAAAATACCACAATAATACTTTTGAGGTCTTATAATATAAAATATCAAATTTTAGATAATATGTGTAATTCAAAGAAAATCCTTACATGCTTCTTCTTATAAAGAAGTTTGCTTGATAATTGTTTTATTGGGTCGAATATGGTAAATGTCAAAGAGTAGAGACAAAAAATTTTGAGGGAGAGACAGAGAGAGAGAGAGAGAATAATATTTCTTATTGGAGTTATAACAAAGACTTACTGGATAGTGTGACATCTTATTTGGTCTTCACAATAAGTAGAATTAAATTGTGACAGAAGAGACAGTTGGAAATAATATTACTTTGTAAACCAAAAGTCTGTAAATTATCTGCAAATTCAATGCAGTTCTTATCAAAATTCCAAAGGCATTTTTCACAGATATAGAAAAAAACAATCCTAACATTACTATGGAACCACAAAAAATCCCCAGTAGCAAAAACATCCTTGAGAAAAAAAGATGACAGTGTTATAAAATCTTGATATCAAGCTATATTACAAAGCTATACCAATTAAAACAAGACAGAGAGATGAATGAAACCGAATAGAAAGCCCAGAAACAAATGCATGCATATGTAGTCAACTAACCTTTAAAAAAGGCACCAAGAACATAACGGGAAAGGACAGTCTGTTCAGTGAGTGATGTTGGGAAAACTAAATGTCCACATACAAACAAATAAAAATAGGTATTTATCATATGCCACTTATGAAATTAATTCAAAATGGATAAAAGACTCAAATGTAAGACCTAAAGCCATAAACAAACAGAAAAACCTCCTTGACATCCATCTTGGCAGTGATATTTTGGATACCACACCAAAAGTACAGTCAACAAAAGTAAAAATAAACAAACAAGATTACATCAAACTAAAAAGCTTCTGCACAGCAAACGAAACAATTAACAAAATAAAAAGATAACCTACAAAATGGGAGAAAATATTTGCAAACAATGTATCTGATAAGGGATTAATGTCCAATATCCAAAATATGTTAGAAATACATACAGTTCAATAGCAATACATAAATAAAAATGAAAACTCAAATAATTTGATTTTAAAATGGGCAAATTCCCCAAATAGACATATTTTCAAAGAAGATATACAAATGGCAAATAGGTACATGAAAAGTTGCTCAACATCACTCATCAGATAAATGCAAATTAAAGCTTTATTGACATATCACCTCCCACCTGTTAGAATGGCTATTATAAAAAAATAAAAAAAGATAAATGGTAAGGTTTTAGAGAAAAGGGAACATTTATACATTATTGGTGGGAATATAAATTGATGTAATCATTGTGGAAAATAATAGGAGTGCTTCTCAAAAATTAGAAATAGAGCTACCATTTCATTCAGCTCTTCTACTTCTTGGTATATAAACAAAGAAAATGAAATCAGTATATCTAAGAAATATCTCCATGCCCATATTCACTGCAGCATTTTTCACAATAGCCCCGATAGGGAAACAAGCTGTGTCCATCAGTGAATTAATGGATATGGCATACATTACTCAGCCATTAAAAGAGAAAAAAAAATCCTACTATTTGCAACAACATTGATAAACATGAAGGACATTACACTAAGTGAAATAAACCAGATACTGAAAGAAAATACCACATGATCTCACTTATACATGGAATCTTAAAAAAAAAAAAAAGTGGAACTCAAGAACAGAGAACAGAATAAATGTGAGGCTGAAGAGAGAGGACAGAGATAGGTGAAAGTTTACAAACTTTTAATTATAAGATGAATATATTCTGAGGATTCAGTGTACAGCATGGTGAGTAACTATAGTTACTGCCTCTGTATTATATGCCTGACATTTGCTATAAGAGATCTTAATCACTTGCACCAAAAAACATAAGGAAAGAAACTATGTGAGTTGAAAAATTAATTGACTTGATTGTGGTAACCATTTTACAATATATGTGTATATTTATCATATCATCAGATTGTACACTTTGAATATATACAATTTTTAATTTATTGAATATGCCTCAACAAGTCGATAATAAATGAAGTGCTGGCCATCAAGAACACCAATAACATTATTTTGTGGGAGTACACCACACTGTGGAGCGAAAGTTTAACAGGTAATTGAGAACCAAATAATGCGGCTCACTGACAGTCATCTATGGAATCTGAACTTTATTTCAAAGTCAATAAAAATCCTATTTAAATCAAATTATATACAATTTAAAAAAGAAAGAAAATTATAATATGGTCATTTTTACAAACTTTATTTGTCCTAGGTAGTAGGCGTACTTATTGTAGTGAAATAGGAGGCAAAACAAATAACTATAAAAATATTGTCCCATATATTAGTAAGTACTGTGAAGAAGAATATACTTTAAGAAAGAAATAGGAATAAGTGGTCGAGAGGAAGTTATGTTATGGGAGTGAGGAAAAATTCCTAAATTAGGAGAAAAAAATTTCTATGTGATATATAAGACATGAGTTCACTAACAGAGATATAAATTTCGGATTCTTCCAGTATAAACAATAATTAAAGCCAAGTGACTGGATGAGCTCTCTAAAGGAAGGATCAACTAGAGAATAATGGATTGAAGGCTGGGGACTGAGACAATCCAAGGAGCAGCGTTAAGAAGGAAGTCAAAACACAGCCAGTGAAGGAAAATGGGCTGGGGCCTCCAGTGAACTTTGAGGAAGATAATCAAAATTGTATTTAAGGCAATCAAATTGGTTTTTTTGATGCAGAGTGACCAGCTGATTCAATTGGTGTTGACTGATGAAAAATTAATGGTTATTTAAAATTTCCTTTGAATTTGGCAAGCTCATGGGTGATTGGTAACTGAAATTTGTGAGTCGTAAGTGTAGTTGGACTGGATTCAAGAAGGAATGTGAGATGCTCTAGGGTAGATCTAATGCAGACAATTTCTCTACTGACTCTTACTATAATGGAAAAGATGGTATTTAATGATATTTTTGTTCTTTTATTACTATTGTTTTATATACACGATTGCAGCATACTTTTGTGTTGTGAAAGTGAACTATTATAGAGAAGGGGGAGAAGTATAGCTTAAGGGAAATGTTCTCTAGGGAAATGTTCTGAATTAAGACAGTCTTTTTGTTTTTGGTTTTTTAAGCTCTACGGTTACAAACTCTGACTCACCCTTTGCCATCAGTGCACTTCTGACATCATATAATTCACTGATGATATGCAAAGTAATTTATAGGTTTTGTAAAGGATCCAAAAATGAGTAAATGCATAGCCTCTGAAAATGAACACAGCTCTGTGGTGAGCTAAAGCACATATATAAATTACAATGCAATCCGAATAAAGGAAATGTGTCTGTAATAATTTCCACTAAATATATTTCAGACTTTATATTCCTATTTATGATCATTCTCATTCTCTTTTCTTTACTATGTACATAATCCTTTGGTATCTTCTAAAAAATGTTAGAGTTAATGGCAAACTCTGGTGAAGATTTCTATTTAAACCATTTTATAAAAAGGAGAATTACTAGAAAGTACTCTTAAGTAAGAACAAATCTACAAGTAAGAACAAATCTATGTAAGTATCTAAGTAAGAACAAATCTATATCTAAGTAAGAACAAATCTATGTCTAAGTAAGAACAAATCTATGTAAGTAAGTAAGAACAAATCTATGTCTAAGGCACACAGAGAGAAATATATGTGATAAATACATTTTCATATTTTTCTGTTTCTCAAATGTTACCTTCCAGAGTAACTGTACTTCTAAAGATGTTAATAATTTTATCTTTTACCTTACAGTCTCTGAAAATAATAACATATAATCAGCTCCATTATAAGCCATACGGATGGTAAACTATATGTTTACTATCTCACATATCTCTTTCCATGAGATGTTATTGTCTTACTACCTCATTTATTTCATTTTATTAAGAGTCACAATATTATGTTATGTCTCAGACGCATATTTAAAAACTAAGATTTACCAGATTTAATGTTTATAATTTGTTAGTCTAGGTGAATACATTTTCATTTTAAATGATTTCCTGAGAATTATTGTCTTACTTTGAGACAGGAAGAATTTCCGTTACCAAGCTTTCTCTATTTATATTTTACATAATTAAAATGTTCATGCTCAGAGAACAAATTGGATCCCATTATTAAATTAAGCATTATTATGTGTAGAATTGAAAGAGAAGTGTGTACTGCCAATGGGCATTTCAAATTGCTAAATTCTGATGACATTCCAGTTACTAAAAACATCCAAAATTAGAGCCATATAAAACAATGTATTTTTGGCAAGGATAGCCCAAATTAATGTTTTCATTTGTAAGCACTAAGTAAACACATTTCATCATAATTGCATTTTATGCATAATTGATATTGCATTGAAATGATACTCTAGTCAAAACTGTAAATAACCCACTCTGAAATGTTCAGTGAATTGAATGGCTTAGATTATCAATCTCTGAACAGATATGGAAGCCGTAAGGCAATCATATAAGGAAAGCATAAATTTTAAAGTATATGTGTGACTAAATTAAAGTTTCTCTGCTCTATGTATAATTGACTGACCTGAAATGACTGTAATTCATTTTAAACATTTCAGTATTTCATTCTGCAGATTGGCGTGTGACAGAAATAGATAAAGTGATAAGTTCCTACCTACTCTGAGCTTCATTGAAGCAGGAGAGAAGGGGCATTTTTAATGACTTTTAAAGTATGTGTTTAGCCTTAAATAGAAAGTCTTTGGTAGTGCAATAATATTTCCAGATCCATTCAAACTATACAAATAGTAGCTTATGTTTATGTGTACCACAACTCATAAATCATAATTTTCTCAAAATGTTACTTAAATACATCCAAAAATAATATTCCAAACTATTCCAATTTTTTCACATCTAAATGTGTCTAATACATGTATAGAACCTTTTATCTACTGCTAAACATTCCATAAACATTTTAATATTTTTAACACTTTCTCATAGTAAACATTTTTATTGCCAGCCAGCTCTGTGAGAAGATATTGTTAAATTCATCGCCCAGTAGAAACAGATTCAAGTATGCCGTTGCCGATTTATTCAGAATTATTTATAATTTTTTTCTTTGTATAAAACATGATAATTTAATTTTTTTATTTTTTGTTTAGGTCAGTAGTTTGTTTCTCATGAATATTTGACAAGCATCTAATTTCTTCTATTTCTACAGAATTCAGTTAAAACCTCAATGCTGTTAAAATTAGAGAGAAATTGATGTATAAACAGTCAGTGGAGACTAAGTATTTTCTTAGAGATGAAAACCCCATAAGAGTGATAGCACTGCAACAATACTTCTCTAAGCGCCTAAATAATGTAGTCTTAGCAATATGTCACCTGAACTCTGGAGAGCCTAAGACTATGGTTTTATCAGTAAAGGGCACTCTGGGGTTAGTATCCTTATAAGAAGAAACACCGGACAGCTTGTTTACTCTCTCTCTCTCTCCAATATGTGAAGACACAGTGAGAAACTGGCTATCTGCAAGCCAGGAAGAGAGCCCTCACCAGAACCCAGCCAATTCTGGCACCCTGATCTTGGATGTACAGCCTTTAGAATGGTGAGAAATTAATTTCTGTTATCTATCTGCCTCCACCATAAAAGAGCAGAATCCATCAAGAAAATGTCGCTACTCCAAAATTTTAAGGCATGATAATATCAAGATCTACATTAAAAAAACATTATGTAATGAAACATCTTCTTGTCATTTGACTGAGCTACTAAAGAATAGAAATTTTAGTGTCATTTACTATTTTGACACTCATAAAAATTTCTTTATTTCCATGCCTGCTTTACAAAATTATATAATTGTTTATAAATGTGAGTCTTCCACACAAAGTTATGCCTAATGCTTATTTTGGGTCCATTATAATTAAGACAATACTTTAATTTTGAAATTATTTATGGAATAATAATAAAAAGCACAATTATACAACATTTTTGTTATAAAAATGCCAAACTTTCTTTACTCTATTATATGTTTTATTTTACACTTGCCCTGGTGAGGCTGCATCTGTATCTCTAAATATTTTGCCTCTACTGTCTTCAACTCCATTTAATTTTTCTTTCAACTTTCCCACTATTACTTCAGACAGATCTCATTTTCAAGTGATTTTTGCCAAATGAACTCCTCTATTTTTTGTTTTTAACAGCCAAAGACAAGTCTAAGTTTAAATTCTAATTTTGCACATATGTTCAACATCTGCCGTCTCCCAAACTCAGCTCTGACCCACAAGTCGGGAGATGAAAGGTAGGAGAACAGTCAGCTTTTTCCTTACTCTGACTTCAGTCCTATTAAACTATATTCCACTTCCCCTAGTTTTTTGCCTTGACTTTTGTTACCTTATTCCCTGTTTGTACCTAGCAAATTTCACATAATTTAGCAGCAGTTGATGCCATTTTCTTTGACCTTTCTCCAGTTCCTGTTGACTTTTCCCGTATGAAAGATGCGCACAAGTAGAAAGGTGAAGTTTTGTTTGTTATAGATGATGGGGCAAATGGATATGGGTGTGGTCATGTGCTTTACTCCAGCATATATCTGCTTATCCAATAGACATCCAAAATTAAATAACTTCCTTATACTGAGTACTATTAATCATTTATTTTATAAAATGCATTTTTTCTATAAGATCAATTTCTAGTTTATTAATAATATTGATACTATTTCTTCAGAATGAATAATATGACTTTATGATAAGTGAATATTTACCTCTTCTTTCCCTGAATTATATTGCAGAACATCATACTAAGAGACAAATTACAGTTTAATGCCCCAATTGCTACTCTAATTCGTGGTCTCCTTCCAATAGGGGAAATTTTATATCTCCTTTCCATTTTTGTGAATCAGATAGCTAAAATAGTTTCAGGGACCCTATGGAGAGTATTCTATGGTCAGAAACAAATTAAAAAATAAGAAATAAGTAACAAAACCACCACCAAGAAAACAACACTTGTGTATGCCAAATTGAATTTATCCCTCCACTATCAGTTTGTGAATACAATTGTGGAACTATTGTGCAAACCAGGCATAACTTTTATATACTACATACATGTTTTCTACATTAGAGCTTCACAATACATTGTGTAATATATAATCATAATGTATCACCTGTCACAATACTGTTTTTTTAAGGCCTTCATCTTTTTTTCACCAGTGATTTGAGAGGCCACATTTGTCATATACCAAATTCCATTTGTATTTTCCATGTGTTACTGTGCTTTTTGTACAATTTCACTGTTAATATGACTATTCAGGCATCAAACTCATGCTGCTTAAATTAAACAAGCTTTTTGGTATGTTTTTATATATGAGAAAGCAACTTCTCCCTTCCTTATTTCTGTTCATTTTCAATGTTTTCATGTGTTCTTTGTTCATTTATTTGCTAATATAAAATTTTAATCAACTTACCTAGATAGAAAAAATAATTAGCACTGTTAGTTGGATGACATTAAATTTACACATAAACTTGGAGAGAAGTGATATATTTTTCAAATTAAGCTATCTTCTAAGAATATGGGATGGCCTTCCATTTGTTCAAGTCTGTTTTGTATTTTTCAGTGGATTTTTAATTTTTTCTTATTTAGCTCTTAAAGACTCCTTAAGATGTCAACAGCACAATCAACCAAAGCAAAAAAGACAGCAAAGAAACAATAAACAAAGTGAACAGACAACTGGCAGAATGAGACAAAATATTTACAAATTATTCAACTGACTTAGGATTAATAACCAGAATATACAAGTTACTCAAACAATTTAGCAAAAACAACCCCCAAATAACCTGATTAAAAATGGGCAAGGGATCTAAATAAACATTTCTCAAAAGAAGACATATAAATGGCCAACAGGTATGAAAAAATGTGCAGCATCACTAATCATCAGGGAAATGCAAATCAAAACAACAATGAGATTTCATCTCAGTCCTTTTAAAACAGCTTTTATAAAAAGACAATAATTGATGTGGGTGACAATGTGGAGAAAGAGGAATTCTTATATATTATACATTGTTGATGGGAATATAAATTAGTAGAGTTACTGTGGAAAAGAGTATGATGATTCCTCAAAAAATTAAAATAGAGTTACCATATGATTTAGAAATCTTACAGTTGAGTATAAATCCAAAAGAAAGAAAATCAATGTATCAAAGAAATAGCTGCACTCCTATGCTTATTGAAGCACTACTCACAATAGCCAAGATATAAAGTCAACCTATCAACTGATGAATGGATAATGGAAATGTGGTAAATATATGCAATGGAATATAATTCAGCCATAAAAAGAATGAAATCCTGTCATTTGCTACAACATGAATGGAACCGGGATGAAATAGGCCAGGCACAGAAACAAACATATCTTACATCCTCACTCATATGTGGGAACTAAAAAACAAAAACAAAAACAAAAACCTAATGGAGTTAGAGAGTAGGATAACAATTACCAGAGGCTGGAAAGGGCAATGGGAAAGGGAGCATAAAGAGGGGCTTGTTAGTGGGTACAAAAATACAATTAGAAAGAATAAGATCTCGTGTTTGGTACCACAAAAGGTGACTATAATTCACAATAATTTGATATATTTTCCAAAATAAATAGAGGAGTGAATCTGCAAAGTTCCCAACACAAAAAATGATAAATGTTTGATATGATGAATATTCCAAATACCTTGATTTGATCATAGCACATTGTATGATTGTATTAAAATATCCTCTCTCTATATATGTCCATTACAAATAAAGTTTTTTTGTCAATTTTATTTGTAGATACTTTATTTTTTGTTGCATTCTAAAAAAGTTTTCCCTTTCAATCGTTTCTGTTTCTGTTTATATATATGGAAATCATTGCTTGATATATTAATTACATTATCTACTACCTAACAATTGTGTTTTTGTTGAACTCATTAAACTTCTTTTGAAATTGTTTCATATCTTTCTATTTTCCTTTTGTCTTTATTATATGAATTATTATTTTTCTCCACCTGAAATGAATGCTTAATTTTGTCAGTTTTGATAATTGTGTTAAAGAACATGTCTTTCATTAATTCATTAATTTTATAATTTTTCTATATTCAGTATTCAAACATTAATTTCTGTCTTATGTTTCTTATTGCTTTTCTTTTTTTTTTTTTTTTTGGCAGGGGGAGGCTGATTCTCACCTTATTGCCCACGTTGGAGTGCAGTGGCGCCCCCTCAGCTTACTGGAACGTCTGCCTCCAAGGTTCAAACCATTCTCATGCCTCAGCCTTCCTAGTAGCTGGGATTACAGGTGTGTGCCAACACCCGGCTAATTTTGGGATTTTTGGTAGAGACGGGTTTTCGCCATGTTTGCCCAGTTCGTCTGGATCAAGTGATCTGCCCACCTCCGCTTCCGAAAGTGTTGAGATTACAGGCAGGAGCCACTGCACCTCGCCTTTATTTTTCTCTTTCTTACTTCCACTTTCTTTTATGGTTTGTTTTCGTGTTATCTTCTTGTTATTTTTCTTTCTTTTATGGTTTGCACAGCCTAAATTTTAGTCTGATTTATATCTTAAGAGTTTTACTTATTAAATTAATCCCTTAATTCAATTGTTACATAGTTTTTACTGAATTGCATTTGTTTTATATTTGTATAATTTTATATTTAGTTTTAAATGCACAGACGGTAAAATGTTCAGAATTCAAGCATATAATTCAATAAATTATTAAAAGCATGCATCTCACATGTTGGCTTAAAATATTCCCATCTCTCCAGAAATTTTCCCCAAGTTCCTTTCTAGTTAATATTATATCTAAGACTAATTTATTTTCTCTAAGTTTAGAAATTTTTGCCCTGACTCTTCAATATTTGCCAATGTAAAAATCCTCAATAATATTTTCCTTGTTTTTAAGTTACTGTTAGCTTTTACATTTAAATTTGTATGGAGCAGCAATTTAAGGTTGGTTTTGTTTTCCATATATATACATGGAAAAATATATTACGTGATATACAGAATATATTTGGAATATATATGGAAATATAAAAATATATATGAAAATATACATATATAATTTTTTTGTAGAATCTTGTGTTGAAAAGACTTTTTAAATTTCCCATTGAATTGCCTTTGTCACAAATGTAAGCAACTGGTCATGTATTGTTCTATTTCTGTTCCAGTAATTTATTAATTACTTTTTGTTGCTTTACAAAATTCTCAATTTTTTTTTTTTTTTTTTTTTTTGTTTTTTGAGATGGAGTCTCGTTCTGATGCCCAGGCTGGAGTGCAGTGGTGAGATCCTGGCTCACTGCAACCTCCACCTACAGGGTTCAAGCAAAAATTCTCCTGCCTCAGCCTCTCCTAGCTGGGACTACAGGCACACGCCACCACGCCCAGCTAATTCTTTGTATTTTAGTAGAGACGGGGTTTCACCATTTTGCTGAGGCTGGTCTCCAACTCCTGAGCTCAGGCAATCCGCCTGCCTTGGCCTCCCAAAGTGCTAGGATTACAGGCGTGAGCCACCACGCCCAGGCTACAAAAATTCTTAAAATCAAATAATGTAAGTTCTACAAATTTGCTGTTTGATCATTCTAGGTCATTTACATTTCCATAAACATTTTAGGATCAACTTTTTAAACTAAAAAGCAAACAAACAGCAACAAGAAATAAGCCCTGGAGATTTTGACTGGGAATCAACTGAATCAGGAAATCGTTTGAGCAGAACTTATATCTTATCAGCATTGGGCATTCTTCTCAATGATTGTAATATATTTTTGCATTTATTTATTTGTTCTATAATTTCTCTAAGCATATTTTGCCAAATTTGGTTAAAATTTGTTTTTCAATATTTTTACTCTCAACTGTTTTATGTTTTTAGTACTATTGTAAATGGTATTGTTTTTACAGTTTCATTTCCCAATCATTTATACTTAACACATATAAATGATATTATTTTATATCTATCTTGTATTCTGTGACTTTTCTAAATTTACTGATTTGTTCTTGTAGCTTAAAAAAATTTTCTTGTGAATGTTCTACATAATGATGTATTTTTAAAAATACATAGTTTGAATTCTTTTTCTTTTTGATCTGTATGCCTATTATTCCTCTTTAATGCCCTGCAGCATGTAGTAATACCCCCAGTATAATGTTGAATAGAAGTGGTAATAATGGACCTCTTTGTCTTATGCTTGACATTAGGGGAAAACATCCAGTAATTCACCATTAATTATAACATTACTGCAAGTTTTTATGGATTCCATTGATCAGTTTATGTTCCTTTTTCTTTCTAATATGCTGAGTTTATTTATTACAAATGAATTTTTCAGTCGGGCAAATGGCTCATGCCTGTAATCTTTGCACTTTGGGAGGCCACAGTGGGTGGATTTCTTGAGCTTAGGAGTTCGAGACCAGCCTGGGCAACACTGGCGAAATCCTGCCTCTACAAGAAAAAGTATACATATACAAAAATTATCTGGGAGTGGTGTCATTGACCTGTAGTCCCAGCTACTTGTGGGGCTGAGGCGGGAGGACCAGTTGTGCCAGGGAGGTCCAGGCTGCAGTAAGCCAATATTCACACCACCACACTCCAGTCTGGGAGACAAAGTGAGACTCTGTCTCATGCATACATACATACATACATACATGCATAGATTTTCAATTTAGTAACAGTGCTTTTTCTGAATCTATTGAGATTACTATGTGATGCTTGCTTAAATCTATAAATATAATGCAATATATTGACAGATTTTTTTGAACCTCAAATTAACCTTGTATTCCTGGGATTAAAACCATTTGATCATGATTTATTTTTCTTCTTATATATTGCTAAATTTATTTGTTAATATTTTATTAATATCCATGTCTACACGTGAAGTCTACTAATCTGTAAAAAATTCTTTAAAAGGTTTTTATATCAGGTTTATTCTAGACATGTAAAATGAGTTGGAAAGTACTTATTCTTTTTTTCTTCTTATTTTACCTTGATTCTTTTGTAAAAATATAATTTATCTATCAGATATTTAATAATATTCACCAGTAATGCTATCAGAATCTAGGGTTTATATGGGGCAAAAGAAAGACATTTACAAATACAAAGTGAATTTTATTTTATATAAGATGACTTAACTTTCTCTATTTCTTTTTTTTTTTTTTTTTTTTTTTAGACTTAGTCTAGCTCTGTCACCCAGCTAATTTTTTGTATTTTTAGTAGAGACGGGGTTTCACTGTGTTGGCCAGGCTGGTCTTGAACTCCTGACCTCCTTATCCACTGCCTCGGCCTCCCAAACTGTTCTGTGATTTTTGTTCCCCTTCTTATTTTCTTCCTCATCTTAGTAATTTCCTTTCTTTCTTTTTCTTCCTTTCTTTCTTTCTTTTCCTTTTCTTTCTCTCTCTCCCCATTCCTTCCTTTCTTTTTTTCTTTCTTTGTTTCCTTCTTTTTCTTCTTTCTCCCTCCCTCCTTTCTTTCTTTCTCTTTCTTTCTTTCTTTTTTTCTTTCCTTCTCTTTTTTCTTTCTTTCATTCTCTCTTTTTTTTTAATTCTACTTTAAGTTCTAGGGTACATGTGCCCAACATGTACCTTTGTTACATAGCTATACATGTGCCATGCTGGTTTGCTGTACCCATCAACACGTCATTTACATTAGGTATTTCTCCTAATGCTATCCCTCCCCCAGCCCCCCCATCCCCGACACGCCCTAGTGTGTGATGTTCCCAGCCCTGTGACCAAGTGTTCTCATTGTTCAATTCCCGCTTATGAGTGAGAACATGCCGTGTTTGGTTTTCTGTCCTTGTGATAGTTTGCTGAGAATGATGGTTTCTAGCTTCATCCACGTCCCTGCAAAGGACATGAATTCATCCATTTTATGGCTGCATAGTATTCCATGGTGTATTTGTGCTATATTTTCTTAATCCAATCTATCATTGATGGACATCTGGGTTGGTTTCAAATCTTTGCTATTGTGAATAGTGCCGCAGTAAACATATGTGTGCATGTGTTTTATAGGAGGATGATTTGCAATCCTTTGGGCATATACCCAGTAATGATACAAGCCATTTTACCTCATAAAATGTGCATTGTCTAGTATGTCTTATATATGTTTATAAAATGATTTTTAAAATAATCAGCTTTTTAAATACATTCCATAGATTTTTAGATGCAATGTTCATTTTTTATTTTATTATGTGAATTGTGTTTATATTTCTCCCTTGACCCAAATATAATTTTGAATTTGTAAGTGTTTAAATATCTTTATTTGCTTGTTTGCTTTATTATATTACCTTATGCTTGTATTAAGTTGAGATAATAATATGTTGGATTTTATTACTTATTCTTCATAAAACTGGTGCTTCCTTCCTGGATTAGGATAATGTGAGTATTAAGGCATGTTTAAAGTAAACTTGGAAAAAGTTTATTCTCTATTATCAGCACATGAACTTTGATATAGATCCAAAATATCTGCTTTATATAATATTTCATTTAACAATACAATATCGTTAGTTATGTCTGTCACCTAAGCTGTGCAGGAATGCAAGAGGAGTGCTAAATCTCTTACTGTCAATGTGTTCCTATTTATTTCTTCTTAGATCTAATAGATTAAAATATTTAATATTGTGATTTTCTCCCCCAAATTGGTTGTAATACTAATTAAAATCTCAGCAAATTTCTTTCTGTGGAAAATAGTACACTGGTTTTATGATTCACATGAAAATTAAAGGTTTTAGAATAGCTGGAAAAGCAAAGTTGAGAAACTGTGCAATGTTTTTCAAGACTTTTTGTAAAGCTACACTAATCACAACAATGTCATATAGGTATAAACATATAGAAAAATGAAAAGCAGTTAAGAAAGTCCGTAAATAGGTCCATACATGCTCTATTAATTTTGACAAGAGTACCAAGACAACTCAATGTGGAAGAAGTTTTTTTTCTTTCAAGAAGTGTTGCTAGAACAATTTAATAAAACCATTGCAACTGTCTTGCACTGCTTGTCATGTAGTGCCAGAATGTAAGATGCTTGCATCTTAGTAAGATGGCATAATTACTTTACAAAATAATATGGTAGCAAAGCCTGTAACTACCATATGGCTCAATTATTTAACTCCTAGGTATTTACACAAGGTATATTAAAATATATGAACACACAAAGATTTACATATGAATGTTTATAGCAAGTGAAGGCATTTAATTGCACAAAAAAAAGCAACAGAAAAACAAAAGCAAAAAACTTCAATGCTTGTCAACAGATTAGTGAATAAACAATAAAATACCACTTAGCATAAAAAGAAGCAATTGACACATGCAATATAGATGAATCTTAAACTGATTATATTGACTAAATGATTCCTGACCAAAACTAAACCAAAACAAAACAAAACCCTACACATTCTACAATTCCATTTATATGAAATTCTAGATATTATAAACTAATATATTATGACATAAAGTAACCAGTTGCCACCTGGAATGAAGGAGTGTATGGATTATAAAAGAGCATGAAGAAACTCTTGCAGGAAATCACTGTATTTATTATCCTGACTGTAGTAATAATTTCCTAGGATTACACATATATCAAACTCATCAAAATATATATTTTATCTATGACCAGTTCATTTTATATCAATTACACATTAAAAAAACCCACAAACAATGAAGCTTACCCCAAACTCACCCCCTTCAGACCAACCACTTTTAAGAAGATTGTTGCGCTAATGTGAAAGGTAAAACACTGCAGCTACTAACAGAAAATATCTCTATAGCCTTGGGTAGAAAAGTATTTCTTGAGTAAGACAAACAAATTGCTTAACACAAAAAAATGCTAATAAATTGACAAGGATATCTGAAAATGCCATAAATATTCTGAAAAATCAATTTAGATAATAGGAAAATATATTTGCGTAACATTTGGCCAACTAGAAGATTTTATTCAGATTTAATAAAACACAAAATATCAATTTAAACAAGACAGAATACCCAATAGGATAATGGAGAAAAAGTATTGAACAAGAACTTCAAAGAATGGAATATTTTAAGGACTAATAAATTTATGAAAACATTTTGAAACCAATAAAATCTTACCATAAATCTGCTTCTCTATGTTATAAACTAAACATTCAACAGAATAATCAGAACAGAAAGGCCAACAAAAAGACTGAAGGACAAGTAGCGGCAAAAGCAGCAGAAACTCTCATATACTGCTGGTGAGTACATAAATTGCTGCAACTATCACTAAAAATTTCTTGGAATTTTCTACTGAATTAAAAATATACATAACCTCTCACCCAGTAATTTTACTTCAAAGGTTATACCAAACAGAACTACAGGTATATATGCACCAAAGGACATGTATAGATTATCATAACAGTATTCTTTGTAATACTTAAAAGCTTCTAACAGCGCGAACATTCATCAATAATAGAATGGATATATAAAATATGATCTTTGCATGCAATGGAATACTGTATTCCTGTATGCTACAGTATATGCATAAACTATTCATGGTGAACATAGATGAATGTCACAAACATAATTTTGTACAAAGAAAGCAGACAGAAAGAATGCAAACTGGAAAATGCTAATTATTTATAAAGAGACAATCCTGGAAAGACTAATCCAGAATGTCAAAAGACAGAATTGGGGCTAACAAATTCAATTTATTTTATTTTATTATTATTTTATAATGACTTTATTATATCACATATTTTTAATTTTAGGCTGCAAAAGGGTTAATGATGGAGGGGGCTTTCTCAGAAAACTTTTGGGTTTTCACTTCTCTCAGGTCTTAGTTACCTTGAGTATTTGCTTTGTGATAATTAATTGTGCTATACTTTCATGTTTTGTGCATTTTTCTCTGTGTGCATTATATTCAATAATAAGTTAAACTAAAACCAATAAACCAACAAACAGAGATTAAACATGGTTAAAGCAGTGCACTACTTTGGGAGATATCAGGAATAAAATAAACCGTGAAGCATTGACTTTTTAATATAATTTTATCTTTGCAACAACAGAGGGAGAAAGAAATCAGAGTAAGAAAACAATGAGCAGTTTCCAAAGAGAACACAGCACATCTCTTGAGTCATTAAGAAATAAAATAATGCATAGGAAAAGTGAATTTGGAATATTTTGAGCCGAAGTCCCCATGGACTTGAGGAGATTAACCGATTAATCTTCTGTGGAAATATTTCTTGCCCCTATTTGCAAAGAGGGGAATAGAACATTAGCATCATGAACTCAAAAATATTTTTATTATGAGCACAAGAGCAAGGTTTATGAAATCTATTTCTGCTTTATCTTTCCTCTTCTCTCTAATATTCACTGACCTTCCTCCCACACCATTTTTAAAAATTATTTATACTAGATTACATTCTTCAATTTCAAAGTGATATGCAGGGAGTTGTTTAAATTGGTGATTGAGTTGTATTCATACATCAGACTCAGTGTATGCTTTATTCCAGGTATACCTACCTGCACTTCCTCCTACAGGCCTTGGCCAGTTGTCTTACTTCTAAGCCAGAGAAGTCCTTCTGATGGCTCATGCCATTTAGTAGTAGGAAAGCCACAACTGTTTTCTGTATTGCTGCAGCCACCATAGAACTAGTAGCCCCTCACATACCGTGGCAGCTGACAAGAGACCATCTGCTTTCCCTCCTGCAAAACTGCATGCACAAGCTCTGACTTCTTCAGCGGATGCCTGGAAAGGCTGCACCACAGAACGTAGAAGTGCTAGGGAGGTAATGTCTCTTGGAGTGATTCTGAGCAACCTAGGACTACCCAGAAATGGGATGTTGCCATAAACATCTATGGAGACATGACACTTGACTGACAAAGCAGATGTGCTTATTGGGAAGCTGTAGCCAACTGGTGAACACACCACATTGTATTTTTCTCTTCCCTGCCTTTCTTTCCAATTTTGCAATCCATTTTTTCTGGGTTTGCTTCCCTCCAATAAAGCATTATCATGTAAGCTTTGGCTTCAAGCGTTGTTTTTTTTTAAGGAATCCAGGTTAAATCAGTCTTTCATGCCATTTGTCCTAGTCTCTTCTCTAAACAATAACAGGGTTAATGGGTAAAGCTTATGTTAAAATGGAGATTTTCTTTTTTTTAGAAGCAAATTAATCTATATAGTGATAACTCAAACCCTTTCCTCATTATCTCATTAATTATCTGTATCAGGTGACTAAGCTAAATGATTCAACCAGTTATGAATAAAATGTAAAAAATAAGATAACTGAAAGAAAAAAATCCTGGTACTTGGCAAGAAATTAATATGGAAAAAATGCTTGCATGAATTAATTACATTACTACACCTGGTTTTTCCTCCTAGTGACATGTTTCCTAGTAGTACAATATTATTGTTAGCCCTACATTATCGTATAGTCAAACATAATGCATTACATTTTATAATGTACTATAGTCCTTTTAAGCAAAAACTGGACAAACTTGGGACAAGTCTTAAGAATATGATTTTTATGGTGCTGTCTTTTTAAAGGTTTTTAGAGCATTAAGAATTGTGCTGACCAAGGCAGAAAAAGATGACATAAAGATCAGTGGCAGCTCACTGGCATTAAGTCATTTATCAAATGCTGACAAATTACTGATAATTTGTATTGATTCTCTAGCTGGGCTTAGTGAACTGAAAAGCCAAATCCAACTACACGCTGAACTAGAATTGGAAACTTGACTGCCTCTATCAAATCAAAGTCAAGTTAAGCTGAAACTTTACCTTATTTCTGTACATTCAGCTCCCCACTTTCTGTTAAATTGAACAAAACATTTAGCTTAATTGCTGTAGACTCAAGATAGTTTTTGCTGTTAGGTACCAAAATATTGCCAAGAGTTTTATATGCCAAGAGTCACAATGGATTCCAAATTTGGATTTTTGCAATGGAACCTTTCTACCAAGGCCAAAGTTTCATTGCTTGATACCAGCAAAATTTCGCTTGTTTAAGCATGGTTTCAAAACACATCTTTTGAAATTCTTGTTGTTTTTTTTAAACATGTGCTATAAGGTGCTATATTTAATATTTCACATAATACTGAAAATAAACTCACACATGTTTATGTTTTTTTGCCAGAAATCTATTGGTTTGCATGTACATATAAAAGCTCTCATGTTTTGTATATTGGATTATGTAATACAATAGTATTGCACAGAATATGTATCCTTGGATTCAATAGTTATAACACAAATCTATAAGAATTAATCATATTCAAATATCAGAGGAAAGCTAAGCTCATAAATTAGTATCTCTTAAATAAATATACAATGAAAATATTTATCTATGTCTAGTACTCAACCAAAACTTGTCTCTTTTCTGCTTTACTATGCTAAAAATCTATTTAAAAAATTATATAATGTATACTACTATATTTGTAAATATAGTTATTCTCTCCTATATGTGGTCTGTGTTCCTGGAGATACACCTAGAAACACACTTCATATCTGAAATGCATAATTTTAAAAAATATTAATCAATGCCATTAAAGTCCATGAAATAACAAACTGTGGAATATGACTCTTTACTTTCCCTATGTAATAGATGGTTCTATTGCCTTAGCACTCCTCATTTAGGTCATAGGCCTATCAGTTGGTTGCTTGTGAAAACACTGGCTTTGAATGACAAAAAATTCAGTCTTTTATTTATTAATCACCATTTATGGTATTAAACATTTTTAATTCAAAATACAAATTATTTTAAAAGGCACTTTTTGCATATTGAAAGAGTCATGAAATATTCCCACAGGCTTTAAACTGCATGAAATTGCATGTGGGTATGTAACACTGTTGTTTACTTTCTTGGCCTAAAGTATCATAAAATAAAAGGCAGCAATGTTTTCATTAAACAAATAAAAAAGAGGTAATTCACATAAATATGAACCTGAAAGAACTTAGCATCT
Source organism: Homo sapiens (assembly GCF_000001405.40). Lineage (NCBI taxonomy): Eukaryota > Metazoa > Chordata > Mammalia > Primates > Hominidae > Homo > Homo sapiens. Next base: position 42,525,961 of record NC_000014.9, on the reverse strand, counting down.
TTTGACCTTATTAGGCAGAGCATAAGCTCTCCAGGACTACACTTGGTCAGTTTTTCACTTGCATAGACACTGAGGCATTTGGATTTATGAATTCAGATTTCTGCAATAAAATTTAGTTTTACTATAAGTACTATTTAATTTAAGGAGTAGTTGAAGGATATGGCTTGTATTGATTATCTTCATACAAAGGGTGAACACTACTACTATTCTATCAGATTATTTGTGGGTTTACTTTATTTCTTTAATAGAAAACATCTGTGTATAAAGTGACATTTTTAATAACAGAAAACGTCTCCCTTCCGGTGGTTTTAATGCCATCGAGAATTTATGTCTTTGAAACTCATTACAATTTTTAAATACTGTATTTCTTGAAAATAGGAACATTCCTCCAAAGTGGTAATGTGTATAGAATTAAGAAAGAATGCACATTTTCATGGATAGTTGGTCCCTTTTAGAGCTACCATCTGTCACACAGGGGTTTGGCATGGGTTAAGAAAGAGGCTTTTTTGGGAAAAGGGAAATCACAAGGCCAGGTCAACATGAAGATCCTCCATTCTCCAGTCTCTCCATTGACTCACGGATGGGGTGCCAGGACCAGACTGACCACTGGATATGGGGTGTTTTTATTCTTGTGAGAAAGACCCTGTTTCACTGTGAGCTCCCCTTTAATATGTCAGCTGAGGGCAAGAAACTTCACCAATTGGAGGATACACTGATAGCTCGATATTGGGCAGTATTGATTTGGGTGGCAGCTGTTCATAGGGGCTGTATGGAAGACCAGCTGATCTGCATCTGGGAACTCAGTAGGAGTCAGACCCTTTGAGTACTGGTGGTTATTGTTACCATATCTGAGTTGAAGAAGCCAAGATTACTGGGGGAAACTAAGCTTGGTCAGCAACACTGAAGTTGAAAGAAGTGAGACCCACGTCTCTTGTCCACTTGTTGTCTAGGCAACTCAAGATTCTCACTGGAGGTCATTTTTCAGAAAATCTTCTTTCTTGCAAAGCATATTTTAGCATACTGATAAACACACTGGAATTTTAAAAAGCTAAAGAGACAAAGCTAAGCTCTGGGAAGATTTATTAAGTGTGTTTAATTTAATTTATTTTGACTGTGACCTTTACAAAATAGCTGATGATTCAAAACAAGCAGGGAAAAAAAAAAGTGTAGTACATTTTGAAGTGTGATAAGCTTAGCTAGTTGCTTTAGAAATAAAGGGAGATTATGATTTTGTAGAAAGATAAGCATTATTTTGTTAGTTTTATAATAAATGATGTTATTTTGCAGAAATTAAGAAGATTGTTATAAGAAGAATTTTTATAGAGAAATATTTGTTTTCAGAAAAATGTTCTAATTTTTGTATTTAGCTTGCAAATATCCCAAGGGAATTATTATTCTAACCAATTACTGGTTTCTAAGATTTTAAAGAAGATGAAACAGCTATGATATCATTATATTAAAATACCATTCTTGTCAAATCAGAATTTATATCTTCACTACAACTTCCTGAATACAAAATATGCAAATTCATATAGTCAACAGATGAAGAAAATATTTATCTTTGAAATGCAGAGTTCAAATATTTATCTTTGAAAATAAAAAAAAAGAAATGTAAGAGAAGGTATTCAAAGTCTTAGTAATTTTGCTGTTTGTGATTTGATTTTGCCACATACAAGTACCTTGGATTAGAGATGGGTTTTTCACAAACAAACCTAGTGGCATTAGAATAAAGGTTTAAAGAACAAATTGTTACAGTTTAAGTTTCTAGCTCATTTTTTAGGGAATTGCTACTTATTTATGTATTTTAATTGTATGAATTCAAACACTTGAATTATAAATTAATGTAATGATAGAAGAGTCATTCTCTCTGAAATAGGTTTTGTTTTGGCTTGCTGTAAAAAAATTCATGTGCATAGAGCTGTATACCAGCTCTTGCAAAACAACAGCTGTTTCACTCATGGGCTTCTATATAAAATCCATGAGAAATGAAAGAGCTGTGACATTTGGGCAGAGTTCAGTCCAAATATATTTACATGACAAGGACTCTTACTTTCTGTTTCTGTTGACACCAACCATGCAGAGGCACAATTTAGTCACTTTCCCTAAAATAGAGCATTCATGTTTATAGAATACCACAGTCCATGTGTGGTCGGAGCATTTCCATGAACTGAAGCCACATGCCCTACAGCCTGCTGCTTCAATGACTGCCAATATTTTGCAATAAGAACGAAGTTCCAGGTGCATCCACATTACACTACTAATTCTATATCAACCAGAAGGAAAAAAATGCAAAAGTCTCCAAATTACCCTTCATAATTGCCACAACGATCACATTTATTCCCGAGTATCCAAGTTCACCTCAAGAGACCAATACACATTTAACATTTCTATCATATACAAAAGTCTTCATTTGCTAATGAAAATAAGTCCAAAACAAGAAACTTAGCTTACTATAACATATGTAACTGAGCCAGAAATTCTGCTTTTTAAACTGTGAAACAAAACTTTTTAATACTGTTTGTGGAGTTAAAGCTATCATATTTTCTGGCCAAATATTAATGATTTTTTGTAAAGTAGTTAAAACATAACACAAAGTAGAAAACAAATTTAAAACATTTAACTTCAGGAAAATAAATGCCTATAGCTTGAAAATCAGATATCTAAAATATTGGAGATCGTAGATTTAAGGTCAGTTTTAGAACAAAGCATCCACAACAGTCTGAATGTATTACAGCCGACGTACAATTTCCAAAGCATGTTCATGTTGGCTAATAAAATAAAATATTTTAACAATATTATTAGGAAGGTATAAGTACCTAATGGATTCAAAAGTAATATTCGGAGAGGCTAAGTTTATCTTCCATGGTTACAAAATTTTTACTCAAAGCCCTTTTCTCTTCTTTTTTTTTTTTTCTCACTTTGGTTTTTTTGTCTATTGTTAGCCCTGCCTTTTCCAAAATTTCCCAGGCAAGATTCAAAAGCCAACTGCTTTAATTCATTCAAATATATGTCACCCCTGCCAATTTTCAAGAAAAGTAATTTCATTTTCTATACCTTTTTTCTCACATTCAGATGCTTGAAACATTTGTTAACTCCCATTTGATTCCTTTTAAGTCACAGGTTACTAAACTGCATGCAATTTACTTGTTAGGACTTAGAATTGGACAATTAAAATTTCTAATCCATATACACTATTCATTTATTTATGTCTTCTTCAGTTTATTTCATTAATGTTTTACAGTTTTCAGTGTACAGATCTTTCACCTCCTTGGTTAAATTTATTCCTAAGTATTTATTTTTTGTGACTATTGTAAATGGGATTGTTCTCTTGAATATTTTTTTCTAGAAAGCTCATTACTAGTGTACAGAAATGCTACTTTTGAGTGTATATTGATTTTGTGTACTGCAACTTTACTGAACTTGTTTATCGGTTCTAACAGTTTTTAGGCTCTCCTATATATATAACACCATGTAATCTGCAAGTGGACAATTTACTGTTTCCTTTCTCATATGGATGACTTTTATTTCTTTTCTCCTGCCTAATTCCTATTCCTAATTCCTATCCTATATTACTTTCAGTAATACAGTGAATAGGAATGGTGAGAGAAGGCATCTTTGTTTTGTTTTGGATCTTTGAGAAAAACGTTTCAGTTTTTCTTACTATATATGGTGGTAGCTGTGGGTTTCTCATGTATAGGCTTTTTCGTGTTGAGGTACCTTTTTTTTGCACCTAATCTGTTGAGAGTTTTTATCATAAAAGGATGCTGAATTTCATAAAATTCTTTTTCTGCCTCTAACAAGATGATCATACGATTTTTGCTTTTCGTTTTTTAATGTGGTATATTTACTGATTTGTGAATTCTGAACCATCCTTGCATCCCAGGAATAAATATGACTTGATCATGGTGAATGATCCTTTTAGTGTGTTTTTGAGTGTGTTTTGCTTGCGTATTGTTGAGGACTTATGCAACCATATTCATCAAGGATATTGGTCTGTAGTTTCAGCGATTTTTTGGTTTGTTTTTGTGATATCCTTATTTGGATTTGGTATCAGGGAAATGCTGGCCTCATAGAGTTTGGAAGTGTTCCCTCCCCTTTGATTATTTGGACGAGTCTGAAAAAATTGATATTAATTCTTTTTTAAATGTTTGGTAGAATTCAGCATTGACATCAGATCCTGGGCTTTTCTTTGATGGGAGACTTTTATTGTTGATTTAATCTCTTCACTCATTATTGGTGTGTTCAGATTTTTCATTTATTCATAATTCAGTCTTTGTAATATGTATGTGTCTGGGAATGTATTCATTTTTCCTAGGTTATCTAATTTTTGTTATATAATTGTTCATAATAGTCTCTTATAATCACTGTATCTTTGTGGTGCCAGTTGTGATGCCCTCCTCTATCCATTCTAATTTTTTATTTGAGTCTTCTCTTGGTTAGTCTAGCTAAAAGTTTGTTAATTTTGTTTACCTTTTTAAAAAAATCAAGTCTTAGTTTTGTTAATCTTTCATATTGTTTTTCTAATCTCTATTTCATTTATTTCTGTTCTGATCTTCATTATTTATTTTCTTCTGCCAATACTGGACTTAATTTTTTCTTTTTCTGTTTCCTCGAGGTATAACATTAAGTTATTTGCAATTCTCCTTCTTTTTTGAAGTAGATATTTATTGTTATAAACTTTACTTTTAGAATTGCCTTGGCTGAATCCCGTAAGTTTTGTTTTATTGTGTTTCCTTATTTGTTTGTCTAAAGATATTTTTAAATTTTCTATTTAATTTCTTTATTCACTCATTGATTATTCAGGAACATATTTTTTATTTCAATGTATTTGTGTATTTTCCAAAATTCCTCCTGCTATTGATTTCTAGTTTATGCTATTATAGTCAGAAGAGGCATTTAATATGATTATAACCTTCTTACATTTGCTAAGACTTGTATTTTGGCCTAACATATGATCTAGCCTGGAGAATGTTCCATGTGCACTTGAGAAGAATGTATATTCTCTTGCTGTAGAATGGAATGTTCTCTATGTGTGTTAGTTCTATTTGGTTTAAAGTGTTTAACTCCAATATTTCCTTATTAATTTTCTACCTGGATGATTTGTCCAATATAGAAGGTGGTGTACTGAGGTCCCCTACTATTACTATATTGCAATTTACCTCTCCTTTTAGAATCTTTAATATTTGCTTTAGGTATTTAGAAGCTTCACAGTTGAATGTATATATATATTTACAATTGTTTTATTCTCATGATGAATTGATCTTTTTAACATTATATAATGACTGTCTGTCTCCTTGCATAGCTTTTTTTTTTTTTAATTTAAAGCTTATTTTCCGTGATATAAGTATCTGTCATCCCTGTTCTTTTTTGGTGTCCATTTGCATGGAGTATTTTTTTTTCCCATACCTCCAATCAAGGGCTGAAATATTTTTCCATTTCCCTACTTTCAGTCAATGTATGTCCTTAAAACTGGAGGGCAGCACTTGTACATAGCATGTATTTGTTGGGTCTTGTTTTTTCATTCATACATTCATTAGCTTTATGTCTTTTTATTGTATTATTTAACCCATTTAAATTCAAGGTAGTTGTTGATACATAAGAATTTACCACTGCTATTTTGTAAATTGTCTTCTGTTTTATTACATAATTTGTTTCTTTTTTATCTCTTGCTGACTTCTTTATGGTTTGGTGGTTTTCTGTAGTTGTATGTTTTGAATATTTTTCATTTTTGTTTTATGTATCTTATGTAGATTTTTGCTTTTTTATTACCATAATTATTACAAAGAACATCTTAAAGTTATTATCAGTCTATTTCAAGCTGATAACAACTTAACCTTGATTATATACGACAACCTTATACTTTTACCGCCTCCTCATTTTATGTTTTTGATGTGTAAATTTACATAATTTTATAGTAAGTATCCCTTGATTATATTAGCAATAGTTGTTAATAATGTTGTTATTTCACCCTCATACTAGGTCTAAAAATACTTTACAGTCCTAGATTGTGCTGAATAATTCTTGGTATTACTCTTTCTTTTGAGTTTTTTGCATTCTTAAGTTTTATGTTATTAATTAGTGGCCTTTTTTTCAGGTAAGGAACTCTCATTAGCCCTTCCTGTAAGGGAGACCTAGTGGTAATGAGCTCCCTTAGTTTTTATTTCTCTTTGTTTACTTCCTCAAAGTTTTCATTTCTATCTCAATTCTGAAAGACAACTTTGTGGGTAGAGTGCAATTCGCTGGAAATTTTCTTTTTTCTTCAGCACTTCGAAGATATCATCCCACTCTCCACTGACCTATAGGGATTTGTTAAGAAATCTGATGATGGTCATGTTGAGATTCCTTTGCGTGTGAAGTATTTATCTGTTGCTGTACTCACAATTTTTTAATCCTTGATTTTTGATAGTTTGATTATATGTTGTGATGAACTAGTCTTTGGGTTGAATTTGAATGAAGATCTATGGTCTTCCTATACCTGGATGTTGGCCTATTTCCTCAGATTAGGATATTTTTCATCCACTATTAATTTTTAAAATATGCTTCATGGCCTATATTCTTCTCTTCTCTTCCTTTAATTCCTGTCTTGCATAGTTTTTTTCTCTTGAAGGTGTCCCATAATTCCTGTAAGCTTTCTTTATTCTTTCTCATTCTTTTTTTTCTTTTTGCTACTCTGATAAAGTAATTTAAAATGTTCTGTCTTCATGATCATTAATTCTTTCTTCAGCTTGATCAAGCTGGCTATTAAAGCATTTTTCTGCATTTTAAATTCAGTCTTTATGTTTTTCATCTCTACAGTTCCTATTTCTTTATTGTTTCTACTTCTTTTTTCAACCTGCTTGTTTCTGTTCATGTGCCATTTTCCAATTTTTATTTAAATAATTATTTTTCTACTCTTGGAGTTTATTAAAACTCTTGAGAATTATTTTAATATTTTTTATCATCTTATGGATTTCTCTTTCATTGGAATCTATTGTTGGAGTTCTGTTAGTTCTTTTGATGGTGGCGTTATTTCCTTAGTCTTTGTAATCCTTGTGTCCTTGTGTTGTTGTTTGCAAATTTCTGAAGACAACCTCTTTCCTTGTTTTGAAAGATATTCTTTGGCAGGGATAGACCTCCACTATTTATTCTAATGTATGATTCCAGATGTGCTAGCTAGCAGAGACCATGGGCAGGCAGAGCTTGCTTTTAGTTTTTCTGGCTGGCTTACTACCATTGCTCTAAATTTGTGTTGGTTAGGTTCTGCTCTTTGGCAAGACCACTGGTTCAGCCACACAATTAGATTGAGTTGCTGGATGCACGCTACAACTGTGATCTGACTAGGTCACAGTGTTTACTTCTTGTTCAGAAGGTACCACTATTTGAGTTCAGCAATTGGATAAAGTTGCAGGAGGGGCCTCATGGTTAAGTAGATCAAGATGGATGCACTAACTGTTATACTCAATAGAAATGCATGGTTGAAATTTCTCTTCCTGAGTGGAGTTTGGGGGTGGCTTTGAGGTTGCAGCAAGTGCTGGTTGAACTCCTAGGAGTGGCAGAAGTAATGCTTGCTTGTTGTCATAATTTAATCAGTGGTCGTGTTTCTCCCTGTGTGGGCCCCTGGGCCTGAAATTTGTCTATCTTGGTGTTCTAGCCAGGCAGCATGCATCAGCTCTTCTGTAGGTGACAATCTCGGCTTTGTGGGTGGGCTATGTGATCACAAATGATAGCTCTGATTTAGCACCACTGCAGGCAAGTAAGCTGAGGTTTCACTAAAGTTTGCATGGTGATCTCTGTGGGTTCCACTTTTTTGCTTCATTTTTATCTGGCCCCTGCAATCTTTCCATTCACTTCCTCATATGTTTTTCATTCCCTGTTAGGTGACAGTGCATTGAGCTCCCTGTGAAGTATCTCAGAATGATAGGGAAGCTGGGTGTCCACCTTCCCAGTTCTCTTTTTCCACTGTGGGAACCATGGGCCCTAGGGATTCATTCCTCTCTGTGGCACTTTGCCAACTTGAGGGAGGGAGTGGTGCAATGCAGCTGAAGTGAGACTGTTTCTCTTTTGCAAATTTTTATTCAATCCAGTGAAACATGCAGGTCCCTCAGGCTCATTCCCATCTTTGAGGTTTAAACTTGATATTTTTGTCTGTGAATAATTTCAAGTTGATCTTTTATGTCAGAGAGAGTGAGCCCTGGTACCTCCTATTCTGCCATCTTGCTGATGTCACACTAAGAAGCCAAGTTTTATAAAACATTTTCATAAGCTAGAATGATGCTAAGTAGTTTACATGTACTACACATTGAATACTCATATGGTCCATTTTTCAGATAAGAAAACTCAGGCAGAAGGTAAAATATTACTGACCCATACCACATAGCAGGAACAGCCAGAATTTCAATTCAGGTTCAAATGACTCCATCACTTAGTTACATGCATCATCCACACTCAAGATTAATCGCAAACCTTGCGCTCAATAGCCTTCCTCTTGCACCTTCTGCCTATTTACCACTTGCTATCAAGGAGTTTGTGGAACTATAATTTCTGTGGTCTTCATTATGTGAACATTTTATATCCTTTATGGTTTAGAAAAGTGTGACATTCAGAAATTCTTTCAAAATTGCATCTCCTTCCTTTGGCACACCCTTTTGAAAAGCATCATAAGCCAATTTGTATGATGAGAATTAGCATAGTCACTTCATTTAAATCAAAAATTAAATTTAAGTAATTAACAATTATAGTTTGTCTTCTTATTTCATCAAGAAATTTCACACCATACACATTATACACCATATTTCTCAAAAATTTTGACAGTTGTAAAGACAAGCAATCATTAAACTATGGTTGGTAATCTTTCTCTAAAAATTAATAAGTAATGAAACTAAAATATATTTACTATTGTTTGAATCACATGCTAATAAAACTTACTAACTTCTGACTAATGAGTGCACTAGTTAAAGTCATATAGAAAAGTAAAGTTATTGACCTTAATTACTATCATCTTACTATAAAATATAGCTCTAAAGACATGAAAGCAGCATTTCTTGACATATTCATCCCACTCCAATATTGTCATTATTTTCAGCAAACACAAAACTGAGTTTGCAGGTCCTTAAAGTAAAGCAGGTAAAGGTGACTTCAACTTGTTTATGCAGTCTAAAACACACAGAGCCGTCTATCCATAGACAGGAATAGTTCAAATTACAAACAATAAAACATGTAAACACTGACATTTGTATCAATAGCTTTTCTTTTTCTTCTTTCTTTCTTTCCAATTTTTACCCTTCTATCTTTCTTTTTATGGTATTTAACTAGAAATGAAGAGTGCAGAGTTTATACAACTGATACTGATAGGAACAGGAGACGGGAATACTGGGTAGAAGAGGGCGGTTCCCTGGCAAAGGTCCCACCCTCAAGCCTGGATACCCATGGCCCAAAATGAGAACAGGAATTCCTGTTTTCACACCTCAAAAGTTGCCTTTTGTCCTGCCACGCCCCTATCCTGAACTCATATAAATCCCAAACCCCAAGCTCCAAAGCTGACCAGCAGGCGAGGAGATGAGGAGACAAGCAGATGGAAAGCAGAACAACACGGCAGAGAAAGAGAGAAAAGGGACGTCTGGGTGCGTCTATTGCCGGCTGCTGTCTACTGGTAATTTTTTTTTTTTTTTTTTTTTTGAGACAGAGCCTTGCTCTGTCACCAGGCTGAAGTGCAGTGGCGCGATCTCAGCTCACTGCAACCTCCGCCTACCAGGTTCAAGCAATTCTTCTGCCTCAGCCTCCCGAGTAGCTGGGACTTACAGGCACGCGCCACCATGCCTGGCTAATTTTTTTTGTATTTTTAGTAGAGATGGGGTTTCACCATGCTGGCCAGGCTGGTTTCGAACTCCTGACCTCGTGATCCACCCACCTCAGCCTCCCAAAGTGCTGGGATTACAGGCATGAGCCACCGCACCCGGCCGGTAAATATTTTTGGATGTATTTAAAAAATTGGTCCTAGGCTGGGCTCAGTGGCTTATGCCTGTAATCCCAACACTTTGGGAGGCCGTGGGGGTTGGATTACTTGAAGCCTACAGTTAAAGAATAGCCTTTAGTGAGACCCATCTCTACAATAAATAATAATAAGTCTGACATGGTGGTGCCTGTCTATAATCCTGGCTACTCAGGAAACTGAAGTGGGAGGATCGCTTGAACCCAGAAGTTCCAAGCTGCAGTTGAACTATGATTCTGCCACTGCACTGCAGCCTGGGCAACAGGACAAGACACAGTCTCAAAAAAAATACATAAAAATAAAAATAAAAATAAAAATGTTCCTAACAAGAAGGTGATTGGATGCTATAAGTATATGTATAACTATTCCCTTTTGTTTTTACCCTCTGAATTTCAGATAGAATCTTTCCAACAGCATTAAATACATTCCATTATCTTCTATTCAAAATAACAAATCCCTCCTTGATTCCAGGTTTCCCCTCCAGAATTCTATTACACTTCACTGCCCAACTCTTCTGTTTCTTTTATTTTTACTGAGACTGCTGTCATTAAAACCAATATACGGGGGAGGAGAATCGCAAAACTTTTTGATGTTGTTGATTTTTCCCGCTTTTAGTAGGTTTTGCAATGTACACATGGCATGTAAATAAATATATACTTAGTTACATCCAAACTCTTTACAGTGTATTTTTCTAAGATATCATTTTTTTTTGTAAGTTTTTTTTCACTAGTTGGAATTTCATTTTGTTAACCTTGTATCTCCTGCCGTCTTATCTTTTATTTCAAATAAAAGAGAAAATTAATTATTCATAATAGTTGGCATTGTCTGAACAATTATCTCTCCTTTTCTTTTTTTTTCCTTCCTTAACATTTATTAAAAGCTTTCTATGAACTATGTGTTGAGGATGCTGAGTAAAATCACCTACCATCAAGTAGTGTATTATTTGGTTAAGAAAACCATGTTAAAATTAAAATTGTAAGCTGGAGTAAGATTATTTTTACAGAAAGATTTTTCTGATAACTTTGTAGAGAAGAGAGACAAAACTGGACTCAGGGAGGCTAGTTCAGAGACTGTTGAAATTATTTAGGAAAATATAATGCAGGAGGGTTGAAAAATGGAATAAAAAAGAAGTTAGAATGGAAAGAAAAAAAGAAAGATGAACATGGACAGCACTAATAATGACATCTGAAGTGGGCAGAAGAAGAATCAACCTAAGATAGATACTTGCATTTATTAGAGATGTAAGAGGGAAAACATGACCAAAAAGTGTCCTGGAAACTAAGACAAAGAAGTGTCCTGGAAGCTAATAGAATGCAGAGAAATATCAACAGAAGCAAGAGGTACAGCGATAAGGTAGGATAGGTAATGCAAAACAAGTGCCAAAATATTCTGTTCAATCAGATAATTAAAACTTATTGTTTACTTTTTTAACAAATAGTTCTGTGGTTATTGGTAGTTTAAGCTGATTACAGTATTTTGAAAAGTAAATGGAAGGTGAGAAAATGAAGACAACATACTATGCGCCAGCAGATAACCCAGCAGAGAAGCTGTATTAATCTTTCTTCCTTCAAAAAGAAGATAAAAAAATCAGCTGTTAACAGAGGTTACTTTAAAGATCAGTAAATGTTAATTACTTCATATCATCAAGCAAATATTGAATCACTGCCATTCACTCAAAACTTCTTTATTTAGGTTCTATGATATGTCCTGTTCTGTTCTAGTTGCTGGGATCAACATTCCAAGAACAATGAACACTACAGAGAAGGTCCTCACTTTCATCAGAATGAATAAGGATACAAGTTAGTGTACAATATAATTTCAGAAACTGATGAGTGCTGTGGGGGAAAATGTGCTAGAACTTGACTGGGGAGTAGGTGAATAGTTCAGTTTGGTGATCTCTGTAGGGCTTTTTGAGGAAATGAAATGTTAAGCTGAGGCCTGAATGAGCAGGAAGAAGTTATGTAAATGTCATATGCAGGCATTCTAGGCAAAGGAAATAGCAAATAAAGAGGCAAATTGGTGTGTTTGAGGAACAAATGTAAGTCATTTTGAAAGGAGTAGGATCTGGATTTTCAGAGATGCACAGACATCCCTCTTACTGCCACTTCTTTCTTTAGTCTAATTTTACGAATACTCATTCAGCAAGCAAATGTCAACACCAAGAGTTATGCACACATCAGCTAAGGCAATAACCGTTTTTATTACTTGCTCACCTACTTATTAGTTTAATGACAGAAAATATGTTAACACAGTAGTATAAACACGTCTCCTTATTTCACTAAAATGTCTCTCTCACTTGACTCAGTCACTGAAATGGAAACCATTGTCCAATACTAAGGCCATCCAGTCCCCCAAGTACTGTGCAAGAATTTCTGACCCTCTGAAGTTATAGAATCCTAAAAGGAAATGTTTCCCTGTTGCTTCTAGGAGTTTGGGTACTTATCTGGGCCAACCGGGTTTTTTAAGCAGGGTGAGCCAGGTTGCCTTTAGCCCAACTACCTTTCTTCTGAAAGACACTGTCTCTTTTTTGTATAAATTTAAGATCGTTGTGAAAAATTTCAAGAGTATTTGTAATATTTCTATGCTCCAAGTGTGAAGCCTCCAGCTCTGTTCTTTGTTTTCAAGATTGCTTTGGCCATTCAGAGTCCACTGTGGTTTCATATAGATTTTAAGATTTTTTTTTTCCTATTTCTATAACAAATGCCATAGGAATTTTCATAGGAATTCTACTACATTTGTAGATCACTTTGGGTAGTATGAACATTTTAACAATATTGATTCTTCCAATTCATGAGCATCTTATATTACTATATTTATCTGTGTCATTAATTTCACACATCAATGTTTTACACTTTTCAATATACACGTATTTTACCTTTTTAATTTTATTCCTAAGCACAGGCGTATTTTATCACTTTTTTGCTATCATGTATTGGGTTGTTTTCTTAATTTCTTTTTGAAATAGCTCATTGTTTATGAAAATATCATTGATTTTTGCATTTTGACTTTGTATCACACAACTTTACTGAATTTGTTTATTAATTCTATCAGGATTTTTTTGTCATTAGGGTTTCATAAATATTTATCTCTGCAGATTATATAATATACATAGGAATGAATATATATAAGCTACAAACCAATTATACACATGTATATGTATATGTTTATAATCTGCAAACAGATTTTATAACTGTCTCTCTGATTTGAATGTTTTTCATTTATTTTAATTGCCTAATTCCACTGACTAGGACTTCCAGTACTTTATTGAATAGATGCGGTGAAAATGGGCATTTTTGATTTGTGCTGAATCTTAGGGAGAAAATTTTCATTTTTTCCACTTATTATCATTTTGACTGTGGGCTTCTTCTATCTGACCATTATTCTGTTGAGTTAAATTCCTTCTATACTTATTTGTTGAAGATTTTAACATAAATTGATGTTGAACTTTGTCGGGTGTTTTTTCTGCATATACTGAAATGATCATGTATTTTCTTTTATTTTTTTCAATGTGATGTATTACATTGATTGATATGTGTATGTTGAACCATATTTGCACCCCAGGAAAAAATACCACTTAAGCATGGTCTATGACTCTTTTAATGTGCTTTTGAATTTGGTTTTCTAATATTTGATTCAGGAATTTTTTATTTGTGTTCATCAGATACCTTAGCCTGTCATTTACTTTCTTTATAGTATCTGGTCTTGAAATCAGGGTAATGATGGGACCATAAAATGAGTTTGAAAGTGTTTCTTCTTTTATTTTTCAGAAGATTTTAAGAAGCATTGATTTTGATCTTATTTTGAATATTTGGTAGAATTGACCTGTGAAGCCTTTTATTGAAAGTTATTGAACACTAATTCAATCTTTTCATTTGTTATTGGTATTTTAGGCTTTCTGTTACTTCATAATTGAGTATTGGTAGGTTATATGTCCTATCAATTTATTCCTTGTTTCTAGATTATTCAATACATAGGCATATAGTTAATAATAATCCGTTACGATCCTTTTGATTTCTGAGTCAACCATTGCAATGTATCTTTTTTCATTTCTGTATTTTATTTATTTGACTCTTCTTTTTCTTAGTCTACCTAAAAGTTTGTTGATGTTTATCTTTTCAAAAAGTCAACTTTTAGCCATGCTTATTTTTCTCTACTTTTTTTTAGTTCTGTCTGATTTCTTTCTTTTCCAGTCTACATTATTTCCTTATTACTGCTAACTTTGGCCTTAGAATTTATCTTTTTTTTCTAGCTCTTTGAGTTATAAAATTAGGTTACTTGAGATTTCTTTCCTTTTTAATGTATTTATTTATTGCAATAAACTTCCTTCTTGGTAATATTTTCTCTGCATCTTATATGTGGTGGATTTACTTTTCAATTACACTTGTCTCAAGATACAGTTGTAATTCTTTTTTGATTTCTTTATTGACATAATGGTTGTTTAAGATTGTGTTACGTAGTTTTCACGTATCTGTTTTTTTCCTGTTTTCTTGGTGTTATTGATGCCTAATTTCATTTTATTGTGATGAAGAAAAAATTTGGAATAATTTAATCATATTGAATATGTTAAAAATTGTTTTATGATCTAACACGTGATCTATTGTGGAGAATGCTGTGTATGCATTTGAGAAGCCATGTATACTTACACTGTCGAGTAAAAAGTTCTATATGTGTCTCTAGGCTATTTGGTGTATAGTACTATTCAACCCACCTATTTCTGTTATTGATTTTCTTCCCGGATATTGAATCAGTTATTGTGAGTAGGATTCTGAAGTCACCTGCTATCCTTGTATTGCTGTCAGTTTCTCCTCTCAGATCTGCCAAAAGTTGCTTTATATATTTAGGTATTCTAATGATGGGCGTGTATATATTTATATTTTTTATATCTTTCTATTGAATTTACTGGTGATTGCATTATATAATGACCTTCTTTATCACTAGGCACAGTTTTTGACTTAAAATTTATTTTGGCTATTATAGGTGAGCCACCCGTGCTTTTTTTTTGGTTACCGTTTGCATGAAATATTTATTTCCATCTCTTCATTTCAGTCTACATGTCTCCTTAAATCTAAAGTGAGTTTCTTGTAGAACATATCATTAGATTTTGTTTCTATTTTAAATTTTGAAATAGCTCTGTTCAAGTAATCTATGCCTTTTAATTGAGGAGTTTAATCCATTTGCTTTTAAGGTAATTATTTACAGGTCAAGACTTATTGCCATTTGTCAGTTGTTTTATGTTTTCCAGTTTGTTGTCCCTCTTTCTTTTTTGTTGTGTTCCCTTATTCTTTGATGATTTTTGTAGTAATTTGTTTTAATGATTTCCCGCTTATCTCTGCTGTATTTATTATAAGCTTTTCTTGTTAATTTACACAAAGCATTCATAAAATACCTTACAGTCATAAGTATGTATTTTAAGTTAATAACAGCTCAGCTTCATTAACATACATGAAGTTTACATTTTACTCCTCCCAATATTGTGTTCTTATAGTCAGTTTTTTCTCTTTATACTGTGTATTCACTGACAAATTTTTATCTTAATGTTTATGTTAGAATATAAAGTAAATTATGCACTCCATTTCAATTTTTCATTATTCTGCACCTATGTACATATTTACATTTACCAGTCAGTTTGACTCTTTCATGTGCTTTTGCTGTTAACCATGTGTTTCTTTGTTTCTTTCTTTCCTTTCTTTTTTCCTTCCTTCCTTCCTCCCTCCCTCCTGTCTTTCTTCCTTTCTTTTTTCTTTCTTTCTCTTCCTTTCTTTCTTTCTTCTTTCCGTGTTTCTCTTTCTCTCTTTTTCTCTTTCTCTCTCTCTCTCTCTTTCTTTCTCTTTCTTTCTTTCTTCTTTCAACTTTTATTTTAGGTTTGGGGGTACATATGAAGGTTTGCTACATAGGTAAATTCATGCTACCAGGGTTTGTGGTACAGATTATTTCATCACCCAGCAATTAAGTCCAGTACTCAATAGCTATCTTTCCTGCTTGTCTCCCTCCTCCCTCCTTCCACCCTCAAGTAGACCCCAGTGTTTTATTCCTTTGTGTTTATAAGTTTTCTTCATTTAGCTGCCACTTACAATTGAGAACATGCAGAATTTGGTTTTCTGTTTCTGTGTTAGTCTGCTGAAGATAATAGCCTCCAATTTGATTCATCTTACTGTAAAAGACATTCTTTTTTTATGACTGCATAGTATTCCATGGTATATATATATATACCACATTTCTCTTTATCCAATTTGTCATTGATAGGCATTTAGGTTGATTCCATGAATTGCTATGGTGAATAGTGCTACACTGAACATTCAGGTGCATGTGTCTTTATGGAAGAATGATTTATATTTCTCTGGATATACAACCAGTAATGGATTGCTGGATCAAATGGTAGTTCTGTCTTAACTCTTTGAGGAATCATCACACTGATTTTCACAATGGTTGAAATAATTCACACTCCCAACAAGAGTGTATAAATGTTCCTTTTTCTCCACAACCTCACCAGTATCTGTTTTGTTTTTTTGACTTTTTAGTAATAGCCATTCTGATTGGTGTGAGATGGTATCTAATTGTGTTTTTGATTTACATTTTCCTAATAATCAGATCAATGATGTTTAGCTTTTTTTCATATGCTTGTTGGGCACACATGTCTTCTTTTGAAGGTGTTTGTTCATGTTCTTTGCCCACTTTTTAATGAAATTGTTTTTCTCTCGTAAATGTGTTTAAGTTTCTTACAGATGATAAATATTAGACCTTTGTCAGATGCATAGTTTGCAGCTATTTTCTCCAATTCTGTAAGTTGTCTGGTTACTTTGTTTGCTGTGCAAAAGCCCTTTTGTTTAATTAGATCCCACTTGTCAATTTTTGTTCTTCTTGTGATTGCTTTTTGTGTCTTGTCATAACCTCTTTGCCTATTCGTTTGTCCAGGATGGTATTGGCTGGTTTGTCTTCTAGGATTTTTATAATTTTGGATTTGACTTTTAGGTCTTTAATCCATGTTGAGTTGATTTTTTTACGTGGTGTAAGGAAGGGGTCCAGCTTCAGTCTTCTGCATATGGCTAACCAGTTTTCCCAGCACCATTTATTGAATAGGGACTCTTTTCCCCATTTCCTTTTTTTTGTTTTGCTTTATTTTGTTTTTTAGCTTTCTCAAAGATCAGGCCGTCATAGGTGTGTGGCCTTATTTTGGGGCTCTCTATTCTGTTCCATTGGTCTATGTGCCTGTTTTGGTATTGGTACCATGCTGTTTTGGTTAGTGTAACACTGTAGTATAAAGTCAGGTAATGTGATGCCTTCAGCTTTGTCCTTTCGGCTTAGGATTGCCTTGGCTATTCAGCCTCATTTTTGGGTTACATATGAATTTTAAAATATTTTTTTCTAGTTTTCTGAGGAATGTCATTGGTAATTTAATGGTAATAGCATTGAATTTGTAAATTGTTGTGGGCAGTATGGCCATTTAAATGATATTGATTCTTCCTATCCATAAGCATGGGATGTTTTTCCATTTGTTTGTGTCTTCTCTGATTACTTTGAGCAGTGTTTTGTAATTCTCATTGTAGAGCTCTTTCACCTCCTTGGTTAGCTGCATTCCTAGGTATTTTTTTCTTTTTGTGGAAATGGGATTGCCTTGCTGATTTGGCTCTCAGCTTGGCTGTTGTTGGTATATGGAAATGCTAGTGACTTTTGCACTTTGATATTGTATCCTGAAACTGCTGAAGTTGTTTATCAGCTGAAGGAACATTTGAATCAAGACGATGGGGTTTTCTAAATATAGAGTTATGTCATCTGCAAACAGAGATAGTTTGACTTCCTCTCTTCCTATCTGGATGCCTTTATTTCTTTAACTTGTCTGACTGCTCTGGCTAGGACTTCAAATTGCTCTGGCTATGCTGAATAAGAGTGGTGAGGCCAGGCGCGGTGGCTCACGCCTGTAATTCCAGCACTTTGGGAGGCTGAGGCAGGAGGGTCACGAGGTCAGGAGATCGAGACCATCCTGGCTAACACGGTGAAACCCAGTCTCTACTAAAAATACAAAAAATTAGCCGGGCGAGGTGGGGGGCACCTGTAGTCCCAGATGCTCGGGAGGCTGAGGCAGGAGAATGGCTTGAACCTGGGAGGCGGAGCCTGCAGTGAGCAGAGATCGCGCCACTGCACTCCAGCCTGGGCGACAGGGAGACTCCGTCTCAAAAAAAAAAAGAGGTGTGAGAGAGGGCATCCTTGTCTTGTGTTGGTTTTCAAGTAGAAGGCTTCGAGCTTTTGTACATTCAGTATAATGCTGGCTGTGGGTTTGTCATACATGGCTCTTATTATTTTGAGTTATGTTCTTTCAATACCTAGTTTATTAAGAGAATTAGCATGAAAGGGTGTTGAATTTTATTGAAAGGCTTTTCTTTGTCTTGTAAGGCAGGTCTATTGGCGATGAATTTTCTTAGTTTTGGTTCTTCTAGGAAAGATTTTGTCTATTTTTAAAGGATAATTTTTATCAGGTATAGTATTATTGGTTGAAAGGTTTTTTTTCTTATAGTATTTTGAATATGTCATATCACAATTTTTTTTTTGACAGTTTCACTCTTGTCACCCAGGCTGGAGTGCAATGGCATGATCTTGGCTCACTGCAACCTCCGCCTCCCAGGTTCAAGAGATTCTCCTGTCTCAGCCTCCAGAGTAGCTGGGATTACAGGCATGCACCACCATGCCCAGCTAATTTTTGTATTTTTAGTACAGATGTGTTTTTGCCATGTTGTCCAGGATGGTCTTGAACTCCTGACCTCAGGTGATCCACCCGCCTCGGCCTCCCAAAGTGTTGGGATTACAGGCGTGAGCCACCACCTATTTCCTCACCTGATAGTATTTTCTGGGAAACTCACTGATCATATTAGGAGGATTTCAATATATGTGATGTGTAGCTTTTCTCTTCCTGCTTTTAAAATTCTTTGTCCTAGATTTTTGAAAATTTGATTATATAATGTCTCAGCATAGCATTCTTTGTATTGATTCTATTTGTGATCCTTTGAGTTCTTGAATCTGTATGTTTATAATTCTTTCAAGATTTGTGAATTTTTTAGCTATTGTGTTTTTACATAAGATTTCTGCATTTTTCTATGTCTCTTACTCTTGGACTTCTATAATGTGGATATTGGTTTGTTTGATTGTGTCCAATAAAATGCATGAAGTTTCTTTATTCTTTGTTTGATTGTGTCCAATAAAACCCACAGGCATTTTTTATTCTTTAACATTCTTTTTCTCCTCTTACTGAATAATTTCAAATGACTGTCTCACAACTCACAGATTCTTTCTTCTGCTTCATTGAGTCTGCTGTTGAAACTCTCTATTGTTTTCTTTTAATTAATTGCATTTTTCAATTATATAACTTTTGCTCATTTTTTTATAATTCCTATTTCTTCATTGAATTTTGTTTTGTTAATATATTGTTTTCCTTATTTTTGCTGTTGTCTGTGTTCTGTTGTCATTTGCTGAGAATTTTATAAAACAATAATTATTTTAGATTACTTTCCAGGCAATTCATAGATCTCCATTTCTTTGGGATTGGTTCATGGCAATTTATTGTATTCCATGGGTGGTGCTATGTTTTCTTGACTTTTCTTATTGCCTGTAGCCTTGCATTGATATCCATGAATTTATGTAATCATCTATTTCACATTTTAGAAATGATTACTTTGGCGGAGAAAGACCTTCACCTATATTATTAATTCAAGTGTTGTTATTTGGGTGGTGTGAAATTCTTCTGGCTTTATTGGGGAGGGGCACAGCAGCATGGATTCCAGGCAGTCCCATCAGCTAGGGTCAGTATTGGCAAAAACTGCAAGGATAGTCAGTGGTGAAAGCTCTGAATGTCCTCTGAAGCAGCAAAGACTGCTGGAGTCCTTGGTGGAAAATGGTCTCTTTTTCTCCACTAGAGGAGATCTCTGCCAAGGATATCCCTCTTGGTGCCAACATGTGCCATGCTGGTGGATGGACTGACACAGATAGAGTGCTTCTAATGCTTCGCTATGTAGTCATCTTTCATTTTTGTGATCCATTTTGTTGCTGCAGCTTAATTATACTTTGGATTTCTTAGATTTATTTCTGTTAATAATTTGTTATTAAATTGTTGTTTTGTGAAAGAATAAAGGCTGGGATCTTCTAGTCTGCCATCTTGCTGATGTTACTCCCTGTGTGTCTCTTCCCAACTCTATATTCAATGACATCACTTTGATAGGTTGAAATAATCCACGATGCAATATTGACACCCATGAATTTCAAAGCACTACAAATCAACACTCCATACCTCCATTCCTTCGCTGTAAGCCAGTTGTGAGTAACCATTTACCTGAGCATCACTGCCTATATTTTCCTGATTGTTCCTTCTCAATTTCTTTTTCATCTTCATCTTTTTCTACCAGATCTCTCAATTAATTTATACAACTCCGGCTTTGCCCTCTTTCCTAGTTCTGTTTTTATATTAGAACCTCAATCTGATGCCATGACTTTATATAAAATTTATAAGCTGAAGAAAGCCAAATTTAAATAGATAGATATAGAGACATATTTATATCAACAAACAGATATATAAGTATATAGATAATAGATATACAGACATATATTTCCAACTCAACTTTCTCAAGCATAATATCTAGCAGCTTGGGAAATTAGTGTTAGATGCATTATAGCATCCACTTTAGTGTTCCTTGGATATGCTAGGTTTCTTACCATATCTAGGCCCTCAAATTTGCTTTTTATTTTTATTATTTTTTTAAATTTAGAAGCAGTATTTCATTCTGTTACCTAGGCTGGAGTGAAGTGGCATGATCACAGCTTACTGCAGCCTCGAACTCCTAAGCTCCAATGATCCTACTGCCTCAGCCTCCCAAGTAACTGGGACTATAGGTATGTGCCACCGTACCTGGATAATCTTTTTTGTTTGTAGATATCAGGTCTCACTATATTGCCTAGACTTGTCTCAAACTTCTGGCCTCAAGTAATCTTGCTGTCTCCACCTCCCGAACTGTGGGGAATGCAAGTATGAGCCACCACACCTAGCTGTTTTTTACTTTTTATAAAAGTTTTTCTATAGATCTCTACATAGTTAATTTCTTCTCATCTTAAATATCTTTTATAAAAGATGTAGTGCATTTCTTTACCTTCCTAAGAGCCAGCTCCTCTTCATCCTCTTCATTTTTGTGATATGTTCGTTAAATATGATTATAATTAGCTTTATAATGTTAATTTTTTGATGATTTCTTACTATGAAATATAGAAACTTTATGGCTTATAGAAACTTTATAACTTGTTTACTATATCATCCCAATATCTAGATGAGTCCCTGGAAATGTTAAGAACTCATAACAATGTATTGTGCAACTAATATATTGCACCACTATGCCAGCATTTGCTTAATAATTCTATTGCTTCACAGTATAGGAATAAATATCTTTATTATTTTTGGAAGAGAAAATTAAGTGCATTGTCATTGAACTGTGTACCAGAGTAACAGCTGTGACATCATCAGGGCAATTTTAAACAATATTTCAATAATAATAGTGGGTGTTACTACTCTAGATTTCTTCAATTGACATATCAATTATTCAGCAAAATATCAATTATGCCTATGAAAAACTATATACTATGATTTTACAGAAAGAAAAAAGGTTCCTAGTAAGTACAGTCCTCATCTCAAAGATTATATTCTTTCATTCCTTTGATTTCTGACAAAATTTATGTGTTTAACCATTGAACTGGATTCCTGAAAGTTAGAATTTATTTGATAAAATTTATGAAACAATTTTTCACAATTTCATAGCCTTTCTTTGCCAGTTAGCGATATACTTTACATAAGGTAATGGGAATTGTTTCAGAGTGTTGGAGAATACTTTAATCATGTAATGGTTATAGATTTATACTAACAGAAATACAGTTAGTGTTTGAATAGCCGGATATTTTCTAACTGCTATAATTGCCTTGAGACTAGCATAGCTTGAAGTAGTTATCAGCCATTCAAATTGTTTCATTTGTTTTTGCCATGCTCCATTTGGTATTGTGTTACAGGTTACACATATTCAACTTGTAAATATGCCATTTATGTCTTCAAGAAAAAAAACTGACCTCTTATGAAGGTTACCTCCAGGGAAGGAGAAAGAACTAGGGCACAACACATTCACAAACATGTAGCCTCTACAGTACTATAGCAATTATATGACTATCTGAATATATTATTTTTTCATTATAGCAGGGGAACCTTCATTTGCTACAAACAAAAGAAAGAAAAGACCTTGGTATTCCATATTGGCACATATATGAAATGTCTTAGTAGCTAGGTATTAAGACAGAATGCTTTTCAACTGAAAGATAAAATATGGAATGAACAAGAGTATTACACAGGTGTTCAATTCCTCATTCAATATATTCAGTGCAGGATGGACCTATTTACAAAATACTAGATTTTAAATAATTTGAAATGCTATTCTGTACATTATGTATATTATCATCCTGTTTTTGTTACTAGGAATAATGGGAAGCTCAAGATAAATTTAGAATTCTACAGGCCAAAAATCATCTTACAATAGGTACAATTTAGAACACATTGAAACAATAAATTACAAAAAAAAAGACATTAAGTGAGTAAAATTTCATGTTATGGATATGAAGTTTTGTTTTAAGGCAGTTATGTAAATAATTCCTCGTCAAATTATTTAATATCCATAAATATTTCATAATTCCATTTTAACATGTAATGACTTCTAGCCCCATTTAAAGATGATAAGAATAAAAATAGGTGCTTATAGCTAAACAGTAAATAATTTAAAATTTAGAGATATTCAGTTTTTTCCTGTCAGAGTTAATTCTGTGATTCTATTTATTGGTTTTATTTGCTTGTTTATTATTTATTTATTTGAGGCAGGCTCTTACTCTGTTGCCAAGGCTGGAGTGCATTGGCACAATCATGGCTCACTGCAGGCTCGACTTTCTGGGCTCGAGCTATCTTCCCACTTCAGTTTCCCAAGCAGCTGGGACCTCAAGGATATGCCTAGATGCCTGGCTATTTTTTATTATTTTTTTCTAGAAATGGGGCCTCTCTGTCTTGCCCAGGATGGTCTTGAGCTCCTGGGCTTAAGCAATCCTCCTGCCTTGGGTTTCCAAAGTGTTGAGATTACAGGCATGAGCCACTGCGCTTGGCCTGTAATTTTATTTAGGAAAAAAAAAAAATTGTTTATACCTATGTTACCAAAAGCCAGATAAAGATTTGGATTTGTGAAAGCTTTTGTTCTTCAACAACTATAACAGTTTATATACATTTATGAAGGCTTGGAATATTTTGCTGTGAGGACTGAACATTTGAAGCTTACCACCATTTCTTCAGCAAAAATTGGCTACGTCACATTTTCATGCTCCATCAAAATGAGACTGTTTAAAAGCATCACACTGATATCAGGTCCTTCCTCTGAGTTTTTGGTTCATCAGGTAAAATGACACAACTTTTAACTCTTATTCAGTGACCTATATGAGAAGGTAGTTTGTGTCTACCTTTTCCTTTCCAGTATACTTTCTTAATGCTTACTACAAGCATATAAGTAAGCCATTGATTTAGGTATCATTCTTTAAAATAAATTTAATTAAGTTTTCTTTGTAATTCTTTAACCTGTGGATGGATCAAAAGTAGAAATGGGTATTAGCTTCTGTATTAGGATTTTATCTCTAGAAAAACATTGTTTATATTATCCTAATCTTGAAAAATACATGAGTTTTAATACTTTTAAACATAATTTAGTTCACAAGATTGGAAAACATTAGTGCTGCTTTTAAATTGAATATATAAAGACACTTGTCAATCTTATAAAATAAATATGGTGTAGAAAAGTCACTCAAATTGAGGTAATTGCTAATTAAAAATAAAGTTTAATTCAGATTATGATAGATATATTATCAGGACATTCATCCAAATAATTTATACTCTGTTAATATCACAACTTATCTGAACCAACATTTCTTCATATGGCTACCAATTATAATTGATTTGAATTCCTGTCTTTGCAGGCATCTTAAAAATGGTTCTATCACAATTATCCTCTATCTCTACACCAAACAATTAGTAAATAATTATAGTAAGGTAAAATAGTGTTTTCATTCATCACAATATCCTACAATATTCTTGCACTAAAATGTTGTGGGTATAGCACATAATAAGATAAATAAATCAAAGTACTACTGGAGAATCCACAGTTAAACATACAATATTCAAAATGTAATAAAGTTATATTTTTTACTTTTATTTTTAAAATTAAATTAAATTGAAATTTTTATTATTATTTTAGATTTGCAGGTACATATTCAGGTTTGTTACATGGATATATTGCACAATGGATACATGGATATATTGCAAAAATCACAAGCATTCTTATACAACAACGACAGACAAACAGAGAGCCAAATCATGAGTGAACTCCCATTCACAATTGCTTCAAAGAGAATAAAATACCTAGGAATCCAACTTACAGGGGATGTGAAGGACCTCTTCAAGGAGAACTACAAACCACTGCTCAAGGAAATAAAAGAGGATACAAACAAATGGAAGAACA
Organism: Homo sapiens; assembly: GCF_000001405.40. Classification (NCBI taxonomy): domain Eukaryota; kingdom Metazoa; phylum Chordata; class Mammalia; order Primates; family Hominidae; genus Homo; species Homo sapiens. The sequence continues at coordinate 42,501,436 of NC_000014.9, read as the reverse complement.
TTCCATGCTCATGGGTAGGATGAATCAATATCATGAAAATGGCCATACTGCCCAAGGTAATTTAGAGATTCAATGCCATCCCCATCAAGCTACCAAAGACTTTCTTCACAGAATTGGAAAAAACTACTTTAAAGTTCATATGGAACCAAAAAAGAGCCCGCATCGCCAAGTCAATCCTAAGCCAAAAGAACAAAGCTGGAGGCATCACACTACCTGACTTCAAACTATACTACAAGGCTACAGTAACCAAAACACCATGGTACTGGTACCAAAACAGAGACATAGATCAATGGAACAGAACAGAGCCCTCAGAAATAACGCCACATATCTACAACTATCTGATCTTTGACAAACCTGAGAAAAACAAGCAATGGGGAAAGGATTCCCTATTTAATAAATGGTGCTGGAAAAACTGGCTAGCCATATGTAGAAAGCTGAAACTGGATCCCTTCCTTACACCTTATACAAAAATCAATTCAAGATGGATTAAAGACTTAAACGTTAGACCTAAAACCATAAAAACCCTAGAAGAAAACCTAGGCATTACTATTCAGGACATACGCATGGGCAAGGACTTCATGTCTAAAACACCAAAAGCAAAGGCAACAAAAGCCAAAATTGACAAATGCGATCTAATTAAACTAAAGAGCTTCTGTACAGCAAAAGAAACTACCATCAGAGTGAACAGGCAACCTATAAAATGGGAGAAAATTTTCGCAACCTACTCATCTGACAAAGGGCTAATATCCAGAATCTACAATGAACTCAAACAAATTTACAAGAAAAAAACAAACAACCCCATCAAAAAGTGGGCGAAGGACATGAACAGACACTTCTCAAAAGAAGACATTTATGCAGCCAAAAAAACACACGAAAAAATGCTCACCATCACTGGCCATCAGAGAAATGCAAATCAAAACCACAATGAGATACCATCTCACACCAGTTAGAATGGCGATCATTAAAAAGTCAGGAAACAACAGGTGCTGGAGAGGATGTGGAGAAACAGGAACACTTTTACACTGTTGGTGGGACTGTAAACTAGTTCAACCATTGTGGAAGTCAGTGTGGCGATTCCTCAGGGATCTAGAACTAGAAATACCATTTGACCCAGCCATCCCATTACTGGGTATATACCCAAAGGACTATAAATCATGCTTCTATAAAGACACATGCACACGTATGTTTATTGCGGCATTATTCACAATAGCAAAGACTTGGAACCAACCCAAATGTCCAACAATGATAGACTGGATTAAGAAAATGTGGCACATATACACCATGGAATACTATGCAGCCATAATAAAGGATGAGTTCACGTCCTTTGTAGGGACATGGATGAAATTGGAAATCATCATTCTCAGTAAACTATCGCAAGAACAAAAAACCAAACACCACATATTCTCACTCATAGGTGGGAATTGAACAATGAGATCACATGGACACAGGAAGGGGAATATCACACTCTGGGGACTGTTGTGGGGTTGGGGGAGGGGGGAGGGATACCATTGGGAGATATACCTAATGCTAGATGACGAGTTAGTGGGTGCAGCGCACCAGCATGGCACATGTATACATATGTAACTAACCTGCACAATGTGCACATGTACCCTAAAACTTAAAGTATAATAAAAAAAAATTACATTAAATTGAAATTTTCTGTTATTATTTTAGATTTGCAGGTACATATTCAGGTTTGTTACATGGATATATTGCACAATGGATACATGGATATATTGCATAATGGTGGTGTTGGAGTTTCTAGTGTACCCATCACCCAAACAAAAACTTTGTACCCAGTAGGTGATTTTTCAACTCTCACTACCTTCACACCCTTCCCCCTTTTGGAGTCCCCAGTTAAAGTTTTATTCTAGGTACTTTTTATACTTCCTTGAACCTACTTTATTTTATTTTCCAACTATGACAGATATGCATGGTTGGTATGAGAATGACTTTTTATTTAAAGTTTTCAAAAAGTCAGATGAAATACCTGAAAAAGGAAAGAAAGGGAGAAGAGAAAGAGACAATGAAAGAAGGAAGGAAGGAAGGAAGGAAGGAAGGAAGGAAGGAAGGAAGGAAGGAAGGAAAAGAAAGGAGAAAGAAAGAGAAAGAAGAAAGAAAAGCAAGAAAGGAAGGAAGGAAAGAAGGAAGGAAGGGAAGGCAAGGGAAGGAAGGAAGAAAGGAAGGAAGAAAGGAGAAAGAGGGGGTACAATATTGGCTCTTACTATTCTAATCCCTTGGGAGTATGTTTTCCTTTAGGTTCATCTTAATAAAAAGACTCATATTTTGGCATCTGTTGCCTAAACTAGAATAATGCCTGGTACATAGTAGGTGTATTAGGTCACTCTTGCATTGTTATGAAGGAACACCCAACACTGGGTAATTTATTTTTTTAAATAGGTTTAATTGGCTGACAGTTCTGCAGGCTGTGCGAGCATTGCAACAGCATCACTTGGCTTCTGGGAAGGCCTCAGTGAGCTTTTACTCACTGCAGAAGATGAAGTCGGAGCAGGCAAAACACATGGCAAAAGCAGGACCAAAAGAGACAGTGGGAGGAAGTGCCACACACTTTTAAATGGCAAGATGTGAACAGAACTCACTATCAGGAGGATAGCACCAAGCGGGTGATACTAAACCATTTATGAGAAATCCACCCCCCACGATCTAAACACCTCCTGCCAGGCCCCATCTCCAACAGTGGGAATTACAATCCAACATGAGATTTGGGTGGGGGCACAGATCCAAACCATATCAATAGGTATATCTGTTTCTTAATATATTTCTCTCTGGGTCAGTGGTGGTCTTAATCACTACTAAGTCACATTGCTTTTGAATACATTGTCAAAAATCCTTCAAAAAAAAAAAAAAGAACACTTTGAGGGCTCCATTTGACAAAATAAACAATAAAGGCAATATAGTCTTTGAAAATGTAAATTCCAAAAGTTCACACATCTAGAAATGGAGTTTGGATTTAAAAGCATCATTTTCTCACACTAAAGCTTGTTTTTAAAACTATTTAGCTGTACTGCTTTTTCTATTAGGGGAATGGTATAAAATATCTAGTGTCTGTATAAATAGAATAGTGAGCCCTACAATAAGAAACCTGGCTATGACAAACAGATATATAAAGCTCTAAAACAACTTAAGCCCTTTTCATTTACTAGCTGATGACTTTAGTATAAGGATGTACTTTAAAATGAAAATGTTTCTGGGAAAGAAGACATTCTCACTATTATTACACATGCAACCCTGATCGTAAAATAAACCTTTATATATACATGAAAGAGAGAGAGGCTGAGAAAGGTGATTTGAGTCAGTCAACCAAAATAGAAATACTTAAGGAAGAACAATAGAAGAAAAAAAAGAGTGTGAGCTATGAATTTCAAAGCACCCAAACTCCAACTTTGATTCTATTACTTACAGATTTTGTAATTGAGGAAGGTTAGATTCACTCTATTAGTATTCAGTGTTTCTCAGTAGTAAATATGAATTACCAAAAAAACACTGAAGACCTCAAAGTGTCTTCAGTGGATTAAATATGTTTATGTAATCACAGTTCCTCATATGAAGTAGAAATGCATTAAAATTTAGTTTTTTCCCCTCATACAAGTATCCATTTATTCCAATTTCTTCATGTGGCATTATTACTAGCATACTTATCATGCCCCTTTGGAAGCTGCATCTAATGTGTAATAATTACCAAAAGTTCTATAAGCTGCAAGTTCAAAATATGAAAGTTGTCAGGTAATGGATGTAAAACACAGAGGTATGTCTTAACATTGTAATATTGATGTTCCCAAACAATTTACTTGGCATTAGTGAAATACTGTACTTACAAATGAAGTTTATATATACATTGTGTTCCTTTTTGTTGACAGCCAAAGACATTTTGATTTGTAAAATGCCTTAACTAATAAATTTCATCTGCATGGTTATCATTTATTTAGCAATGAAAACAAATAATATATCTCTACTGCTTCTTTGTGTCAAATGCATTATCAACATTTCATAGGAATAAGGCTAAAGAGTACACTGGTTTATGAATGATGGAAGATGGCACATATATTTCCCACAAAGTAAGGTTTGATAATTTTCTTAAGATGCTTTTTTGGCTTCAAATGTAACTCACACAAAATAATTGAGGACAATAAAAATAACTTTGAACTTATTAGGAAGTTGGCATGACTATGAAATCACCAAAAGCAGAAAATGACTATCAAATTAAATTCAGATCTAAGATTACTTAATTCCACAGAAAGCAAGGTTACAGAAGTATAAATAAAATGTCTATCTCTAACAAATAAAAAAAGTTTAGAGCTTTAAAAATTATACCAATTTACATTCCTTTGTAATTTTATTCATATTCCTTCTAATTTTATTAGAATTTTGAAAACTTATGTGAAATAGTGAGTCTAGAAGCCCAAAGTAATAATGTTCTAAAACAATTTATAAAAGAAAAATGACCACAAGCAAGGCAAGCATTCTTATAAAATATATATTCCTCACTTATTAAAATTAATGCAGATGTGGTCAAAATTAGAAATAAGATCTTTACCAAAATGCCAGAACAAAAATTATTTTACCAAAAAGAAGATGAAATAATTAAAGCACTTAACACTGACAGCTAGAACGTCAAATAAAATGAGTTGCTAGTTTAGGTAGAGTAGCCTTTGTTATACAATAGTTTGACGATTTGAAGTTGGAAAAGAAGGTGTCAAAAAAATAGTACTTGAAAATATTCCCTGTGCTCACTGAGAAAGGTGAATCATCAGATTGTACAGGAACATCAAAAAGTAGATGAGAAGGAACCTGGGAATGCCACTGGCATGCTCATAAACGGAAAGAGCAGAAAGCTTTTGAAGGCTTAAGGACATAAGAATGAAATGAGATCTAACAGGGTAGGTCAAAGCACTGTACTGAAAGATGTTCCCAGCCAGAAGAATCATTTCCAGGTGATTTTTATTTTTATCAAATCAAGTCAATACATGAAATGAGATAATATCCATTACTTCTTTTTTAAAAACAGTTCTCACTAGTTTAGAGGCATAGTTCATGAATGTTTACATGTGGTTGGAGGCTGTTTGTTATCTGGGGATGCACAACAAGAAATATGTTAGATGTACTGCTTGTGGAAACAAACAGAATAAATATACCATTCTAAATATGTTATTAAAATATATTAACATTATAACGTGCATTTTTGAGTGTGGATTCTAAAGCATGCAATACCTAGTCTTAACATTTTAGAAATATAATGCTTTGAGCTGTTCTCAGTACACTTTAAAACATATAATTATAGATATGAATATATAAAATATTTACTACTGCATTGTAGTAAGATTTTGTTTCACTTTGAATTAACAAATATTATTAAAACTCTTAGTTATAAAATTAGTTTTGATTATACATTGGTATTTTTGCTAAAAGTGAACAGATATTGAGCATGTAATTGCTATCATAACACTTAGTCCTGGGAATACATCACTGAAAAATAAAAAGACATGTGATATCTTGCCATCATAAAGTTTACCACCTAATAAAGAAAAAAATATTCAAAGCTAATGATGACTCACATTTATTAATACATATACCTATTTTCCTGGGTCGGAGAGTCCATCTCAGTGAAGCATCCACCCTTTTCCATGACATATCTGATTTAGTATTGGCTGTGTTCAATTTTAAACCTCAAGACCATTTTAAATATTTGACATATATTTCACTATAGCACATACAATTCTATAACACTGTGATTGTTGACACATTTTTTTCTTTATAGTTGACCTCACATAATTTAGAACAGCCCCCATGTTTTAATTATCTTTATCTTTCCAGCATAAAGTTTTAGTTATGCTGGATGAATAAATTCCAGAGCTCTGCTATACAACCATGGTGCCAATAGTTAACAATACACTATGGTACACTTCAAACTTTGTTAAGAGGATTGATCTCACGTTAAAGGTTTTTACCACAAAACAAAACATGTAAGTACACACAAAGACAAAAAAGACACAAGGAAACTGGAGGGTGTTGGATATTTTTATTATCTTCATTCTGGTCATAGTATTGGGGTGTTTATGTACATTCAAATTTATCACATTGTACAGATCAGATATGTCAGATATGTGCAGTTATTTGTATAACAATTATAGTTCAATAAAGCTGTTAAAAATTGTTACAAAATTGTATTTGTTAATTAGATCTGAGTAAAGCTTGGATAGAGTATTACTAAAGTTCTTTTGTAAAATTATAAGACATAAGTTTATGTATTCCACAGTTTAAAACAGAATACCTCCTCCTAAGAGATATAATATAGTCAAAGTTTGGAATAACAGATTTTTAGATGTAAAGAACGAGGTATTAGAGACATTCAGTGCCTGGTTCAAAGTAATAAGCCAAGTTTAGAAACAAGACACCCAACTCCAAACTAGGTGATCTTCATATTACATCAATTAAGATAAAATATTCAAATTTGTAAATAAAGCAAAGAGATTGTAGACAGTTCTTTCCGTTTTGTGCTGGGTGTTATTTAGCAGTTCCAAATGGAGATTATCTGATTTTCTAGAGGTGTATACCTTTGTTTGATTTTTTCTATTCATTGATACTAGTAGCAAAGCAACTGATTCAAGTCTAATAGTAATTTAATAACTCTTGTCTAATAGAAAAGATAAAAGTTATGGTTTATAACTGTAAGAGATTCACTGTAAATTATTATAATTAAAAAATGTATTTCTGTGTGCTATTTTGATGTATTTATACTTATTCCAGCTCCTCAAATGATATTTGAATCAGGTTTACCATCTTACTATTCCCCTCATTAACAAGAGAATATATCTTTGAAAAGATGTTTATTTTTTTCTCTTATCAGACTCACAATTCTTTTTGTAATTTATACCTTGATATCACATTTGGAGCTGACTTTGTCCAGGAACTCACCCCTTCCTTCGAGAATTGCTTTTTCCCCACTCCAATCATGTCACTGGGGTAGGGCTGCCTTTACAGTCTACTGCTTTCCTGGCCATACGTGTAGGCCCATGTTGCAGGAATTCCAGTTATAATATGACATTTTATTGGTATAATATTGCTCTTGTTAAATTAAAACAGATCTTTCTTTTTCTTCGAATTTCCCTTTAAGAGCTCAAAAAAAAAAAAAAAAAGGCCAATTGGGTCATAGCTATAGCTAGCTGAGTAAGTATCAAGAATTCCCACCACATTTTCCTCACCACATTAAGAAGTAGAAAAGAGAAAGAAAGGGTGAACAGATTTTGATGATTTCTTTAACTTTCTGGATCAATTTTTGCCCAAAACCGTATTATTTCTAGTCTTCTAAAATCAGGAGAAAAAAATACACATTTGCTAAAGGGAGTTTGATTTGTTTCTCTATTTCTTATAGCCAAAGAATTATAACAAGACAGTAAAGCAAATACTGAAACATATATTTAGAAAACAAATATTGTACATATGAACATAGTTTGCATAAAGTTATAAAGGCCTAAAAATCATAGTTAATTTAATTTACTAGAATTGTCTTAATTCTTTGAAGAAATATTCAAAATGAACATTTTATTACTGATACTTTACTGGAAGATCTTCTGTCCAACAACACAATGACAGGTAGTGAGATTGCTTTCATATTAACAATTTAGAGAGAATACTAGAAAATTTTACTGAAAATTTAGAAACCTAATGGCAACAAAAATTAGAACAAGTAAAATAATAGTTGATAGCTCAGGAAATTCTATGTTTGCTAAATATTTTAATCTAACATTGGAAGTAAAATATACCATTTTGAATGAAAATATACCCAATATATTCATGAAGCATTTCATTTTTAACAGCCCAAGATTTTGTATATAGTAAAATTTTGAAGCTTTTGAAGTTATAACAGTACAGAGTTACTTAGGAAATATTAATAAATAGAGTGTATCATGAAAATAAAAAATGTGTTTAAAATTATTATGAAGACATATTTTGTTCTTTTAAGAGACCATTTTGCTTCTGTTACAAAACATTGGATGAATAATTATATTACTATAAAATTACATATAGTACATTTTATTTTATATGAAAAATGAATGGAAAATTTTATCTGAGTGAAATATTTTAAAATGTGGTTATTATATTTTCTTTAAAATATGTTGAAGGTACCAGAGCTTTCATAACTGACCGTAGTGTCTTTTTACATGGGGTGCAGCTGAAGTTTTTGTTTTTGTTTTTTTACCCTTGTTACACAAAGTATATATGCTAGAACTGTCTTCTTTACCTTTAATTGGTGCCTAACTTTTATCATATATTCATGTGGTCTTTCTTAAGAGTAGAGCAGGAAGTAGATATTGAGTGAATAGTTTCAATCACTAAAATCTTTATGACTGTTGTTCTTTTCTCATTATCCTCATTATCATGAAACATTAACATGTGGCTTATAAAATATACCACTCTAAAGTTTTGACATATGACTTTTATTTTATTAGGTTTTTGACTTTTAATTTTTAATTTTATTATTATTATTATTATTATTTTTGTGGAGAAAGCGTCTCACTATGTTGCCCAGTTTGGTCTTGAACTCCTGGCCTCAAGCGATTCTCCTGCTTCAGGCACTTATCTTTAAAGCACTTAAACTGTATTATGGTGATTAATTTGCATGAAAGACTTTCATCACATACTGATTTCTGGAGAGCAGAGACAAAATATTACTCATCACTTTTGCCCACGGGGCCATGCACTATGTTATAAAAATATTAAATCTATCTACTTTAATTAATTAGTTAAATAATATAATAGTTCTTCAACGTACTCTTCTCTGAGGAAATGAGTTCAAAATAAAGCCAACTTCTAATTGATCCCTATCAATACTCCCTATGTTACACTTAACTCTTTTCCAGGTATACCATTCTATTGGCTGTTTATACGGTATTGCATAAGTTATATTAAAATGATAATTATACTACCTCTCAAGAATTTATGTGTTTTTAACCCATTGCTACCATGCTATATTTTGTAGAGGTTTTTCAGTTTGCATAAGAGAAACCTCTACAAAATATACGCAGGGTGAAGAGAGAGTAGGGAAAATTCACCATTACACTTTATAGAAACTCTTTCTGAAAGCTTGGGCTGTCAACATTAAATTTTTTGGCCAGGCGCGGTGGCTCACGCCTGTAATCCCAGCACTTTGTGGGGCCAAGGCGGGTGGATCACCTGAGGTCAGGAGTTCGAGACCACCCTGGGCAACATGGCGAAACCCCGTCTTTACTAAAAATACAAAAATTAGCCGGGCGTGGTGGCAGTTGCTTGTAATCCCAGCTACTCGGGAGGCTGAGGCAGGAGAATCGTTTGAATCAAGAAGTTTCTGCATTCTCTATGCTAGAATGCAATCTCTCCAAGAGCAAGAGTCTTTGTTTAAATCACTGTGGTATGAACAGAATTAAATAAACATTTGTGGAATTAATAAACAGCTGAGATAAATTCTTACAGACACTAAAGTTTAAAATAATTTGAATACAGAGTGTGTATCTTCAAAATAATAAATCTCTACTCTCTCAAATTAAAAGAGATGGGGAAAACTGTAGAAAATATATAAGATGATTTGAATAAATAGAAATAGAGAAAATTACATTATGCATATTTTAAATTTTGGAAATACAATATTTTACCCTAAAGAAACCCAGATTAGAAACTATGGGGAAAAAAGGGAAAAACAAAAAAGATGGAGTTTTTTAAGAGCTGTCTCTGTTTTTTTGGTGTGAGGAGAGGGCAAATCTCAACTATTGAGCACCTCCACCCGCACTCTCACCCTACCATTCATTGGAGGCTTTGCCTTATCTGAAAAACTTTAAGATGCTAAGAAACATAGTTTGAAACATGCCATATTAAGAATAGAATGATTTACTAAAAACTACAGGAAAAGTTGAGTGAAGATAATGATAGGATAGTTAGCTAAAGTCAGATTTTGAAGAGTTTTAAGTGTATGGCTCAGTAGATTTAGACTTTAATAGCACAGGAACCATTACACTCTGTTGATGGGAATGTGAATTAATGCCTCCGTTATGGAAAACAATATAAAGAAGCCTCAAAACATTAAACTTATAACCAACGTATGAACCATCAATTCCACTAGTGGATATCTATGCCAACGAAACAAAATCAGTATTCAAAGAGATATCTGCACTCTCATATTTATTGCAGCATTATTTGCAAGATATAGAAGGAACCTAAGTGTGTCCATCATCAGATGAATGGATAAGTAAAATATAGTATATAAACCCAGTGGAATGTGACTCAGCCATTACAAAAGAACAATATCCTGCCATTTGAGACAACATGGATGAAGTTGAAAAACATTATATTAAGTGAAATCAGCCAGGCCCACAAAGACAAATATCTCTAACTTGTTAATGTGGACTACACAGAAAAATAAAAAACACTGTATTTCTCTTACCGAGACTTTCCCTAAACGCATCCATTGCATGCCTTTATATCAGAGCAGAATATCAAAATATAAGCAATAGATCTTCAACTTTATTTTAATTCTTATGTCTTAAAGTTATTACATAAATTAACCAGTAATTCCCAGCATTTGAACTTCCAAAATCACATTCAACTAGGCCGACATCCAAAAAGCAACCAGACCTGATTCATATTTCCTTTAGGGCACATATACTTGCAGTGAACATTTTATTCTCTGACCTTTCTATTAGCTGTTCTTGGTCTAAACATATACAAATGAGCTATGACATGGCTAAACTACTCATTTTAGCTACCTTAGTCATTGAACTGGACCACTGAGTGATTGATTCAGTTGCAAAATATTTGTATAGGTTGAGTGGGGAGACCAATATGAACCTAAATTACCTATGCTAGCATCCAACCAAAACAGCTCTGACAGTTCAATGCAGATTAGGCAAATAGTGTCACGCTCATATGTTTTCATTCAAAATATTGAACCATTATTTTTATTAATACGCTTTTTAGTACAATATGAGGCCAATTGCATGGGTGGCCATTCAACTCATAAAATTAACAGTGTGAAAAAATCACCTGACCTTATGCTAAAACAAAAAATGTTAATGATTAACAGCAACATGAGAATTTTCTATAATCTATGTTCAGGTAAAGTAACTGCAAAATGAAATACTGATGAGCAGAATTCCCTTGTTTAAGAGGTTGATTGACTTCACTTTTGTGCTCTCTCAATGGTTTATGTAAAACTCGAAACTGCTTCTTGTATAGCTCAAAGGCATATTATTTATTGACTCATACAGCATTTCAATAAAAGTGGAATTTTTATATTTTACATTTTAAAAGATAATTTATTCTAATTTTATCATTGCTACTAATGCAAATTGATAGTGTAACAAGTTTGCACATATACTAATACATTATTTTTATATATGATGTAAAAATTCAGACAATGTTAGAAAAAAAGAAACTCAAATTTTCTCAAATAGCATATTTTTTACTTTCAAAATAATACAGGCATAATCTCTGAAAAATGGGAAATGCCTAAAATATATAAAATGAAAGGCCTGAATAGATATAGTAATATAATTTTAATATATTTTTATATTCTATATTATTTTAAATTTATTACAAGGCCACATCACTGTTATCACTAGCAGTTTGAAATTAAGCCAATTTGATGACATAATGATTTCTACTGTGAAACAGGAAGAGTTTTATAAAACTAAAGATTATTAATAATATATACATTCTTTTGAATTAACTGAGTTAATACAATTTTACTAAACTACTGTATTCAAGAAAAAGCAGATGAAATCTGGAAAAACATGGTTTGTTTCTTGATGTTTCAACCATTCTACTGCTTTTAGATAACTTCATTTATGCAGTAAATTAGTAACTATGACCAAGGTTTAATGATAAATTCAAATTACATTGATGCATTGATTGTCATACCAATGGAATCTCATGATTACTTTTATTTATCTAAGACTCCACCAGTATGAATATCCTAGGAAAGTTTACAAAAATTTCAGGTACATAAATGCAATCTCAACCTGCCAAATAGTCAGATCTCAACATTTCCTCTTTTGGGCATTTCTTTGGAATACACTTCCCAAAGTGAAGAGCTGAGTTTTATTCCTAATTTAGTAAACTGATCATGCTTTCACTTTGTTTGCACTCTTACCATCCTTGTCAGCTCCTGCCTGAACTGATAATTTTGTTTCTGAAACTTGCTGCTTAGCTTGCCTGAAGTAGTGTTGCATGTTCCGCTGTGGTGCTCTCCTGGGAGCTTCCATCTCATTCATCTTTGATGTAAATCTGCAATCCTTGGAGCAGCCTTTCTCTCTGTTGTTGCTGACTAAGATTTCACATAACCTCTCTGAGTCTCTCTCAATTTATTACCATCTGAACTGCTCCACACTCCAATGAAGACTTCCTTCTTGATGATAATGTATTTTGCACATGTAGTCAATGCTTAAGTTGTTTGCTCTGCCAGTAAGTCTATCATTTCTTCTTATGGCCACTGAATGCAGAGTTGTTCAACAGAGTTTATTCAATCACTAGTAAAGGATTCTTGGTTTCACTACAGAGAGAGCTCCTTGAGCAGGTAAGTGCCCATAATCAGGTAGAATCTTTCTCTCACACTTTTGCTAAGTCTGATCCATGCAAGAGTTCTCAATATAAGTGATTTTTTTTCCTTTATGAAACCTATTATTCCTCCATTCAACCATCTTTCCATTGTGGACTTCAGAGTCCATTAGACTCCTCAGACTTATTTATACATATTTAAGAAGCAGAGAAGAGTAGGGTAAGATTCATTCCCTTTGTCCATGAAAATCGGAATATGTGACAAGATTTGTGTTATTGGTATATTTAAGCCTTAGCTTCAAACCAACCCATAACCATGATACGTTGATTTAAACTATTCCAACTTATCATTTACCAGATGGACACTTTAATAAGGCAGCCTTGATTAGTGCTATAATAAAGTTGCAAGTGATACGTTAAGCAAAAGTATTTCCAGCTGTGTGTCAGAGGCAGCAGGAGGAGAAGAGGATGGTGAAGACTCTTGAAATAATTTCAAGGGCAACAAACATTTATTATTTACTTACTGGTAATAAGTTTTAGTAAGATGAAGATAAATGAAGTATTTCCCACACCCCAAGAAAACCCAAGTTGTAGAACAAAAGGAAAAAGCAATAATACCTCAAAATTAGGACAATGATGTATTGCCTAGCCATGTTTCTGATGTATTTATAACTTGTGTTAGTAGAGAATTAATATACGCTACATCTTAAATAAGAATAATAATAAAAACACAATGATAGTTATTGGAAAGTTAAGTATTAAATTGTAAGCTCTTTTATCTTCCTGTCTCTCTCTTCTTCCCTCTGTTACCCTCTCTCCCTTCCTCTCTATCTTTAATCCTATTTTTTGTGCCTCTTGACTACTGGAAGAAATCTAAGAAGTACGAGTTTACTTTAGATAATAAAAAATTTAAGTTTATGAACAAGTTGAGGCTGAGGTTAGAGTGAGGTGGCGAATAATAAAGATAATGGGTTTCTGAAAAAACTTTAGAGGAAATAAATGATTTGGAAAACAATGTCAGAAAGAATAGTAATTTCAGAACAGTTAGAAGAGAAACTTTCTGGCAAGATTTACTTTTCATTATGCTGTAAATTTGTCAGAATCCACAGGAGATCTTCAGAAAATTCTTAGAATGTTTATCAATTATTTCAGATGTAATTTACGCACACTACAATTTATGCAGAGTTTAAAAGTACAGTTCAATAACTTTTTACAAATATATATACCCACACGACTAGAGCCAAAGTCAAGATACAGGATATTTCCATCAATCACTCAAAAAGATTGTGAAGCTAATTTACAATAAATTCCATAACACTAACAGACCTCTGTAACCATATCCCCAACACCATACGCCAACTATAGCAAAACAGTGATTTGCTTTCTATCACTGTTAAGTTAGCTTTGCCATTCACAAAATTTTATTTGGATTAAATTATACTCCTTTTTCCTTCTTTACCCATCTTAATGATTTTGAGATTCATATGTTTTCATGTATATCAACAGTTCACTTTCTCTTTATTGTTTTTATTTTTTCACTAATAAAAATAAAGATGGAGAAAATAGTTCATTAATTTTTAATTGTGAAGTAGTATCTCCATTATGGTTATACCACAATTTTTCTATTAATTTTTCTTCCAAACATTGATTTTTTCCCCTAGTTTCTGTCCATTATGAATCTTTTATGATCTTTCATGTTCAAGTTTTCATGTAGTCATAGGTTTTCATTTCTCTTGGGCAAATACCTATGAGTGCAGTTGCTGGGCTACATGGTAAATTTATGTTCAACTTTATAATAAACTGTTAAACCATCTTCCAAAATATTTGTACCATAAGAATTCCAGTTGCAGTATATCTTCACCAATACTTTATATGGTCAGATTTTTTTTCCAGTTTTAGCTATTCCAAATAATGTGTAATGATGTTTCATTACACATTAGTTGGCATTTCATTACACATTAAGTGGCCAATTAACTGATTGGCATTTATATGAATAGCAATAACGTGTCTCAGCGTCTTTAGCATCATGTAGCTTTGGACCATTTGTATAACTTCCACTTTAAATGTCTGTTCAAATGTTTGTCTGTTTAAAAATGCATCATTTGCCTTCTTATAATTAGTTATGCTTTCAGTAAATGGAACTTTTAAAAATATACACATTTCAAATATTTTAGACTGTGACTTGTTTTTCATGTTCTTAATTATGTCTTTCAAAAGAACATACTTGTATTATATTTCTGATGAATTTAAGTTTATCACAAAATGTTTGATGTTACATATGTCAAATGTGAGAAATTTTGTCTATCCAAAGGTCAAAAAGATTTTAATTTTTCCTTTCTTCTGGAAGTTTTATGAATTGAGGTAAGATTCTGTGATTAGTTTTTGTTTAATGTTTCAAGTAAAATTGAGGTTCACTTATTATAATGTTGAATTATTTTAGCATCATTCATTTTGTTGTATTTTGTTTTGCTCTATTTTGGATTCAGTCTGGTTTTGTAATCAGGGTAATGCTGACTTTATGAAATAAATATAGAATGTTTTTTTTTTGAGTTTGCATATGTTTGGTATCATGATTTCCTTAAAAATTTGATAGACATCACCAACAAAGTAATCTGTGTCTAAAATTTTTTTGAGGGATGAATAAATACAAATTAAATCTCATTAATAGATACAGGATTAGCCAAATTTTGTATTAATTCTTGAATCAATATTGGTAGTGTATAATTTTCAAGGAATTTACCTATATTTGTCAAAACTGTTAAATTTACTGGAAAAAATATGTTTAAATGTTCCTTAGTTATTTGAATTTTCTGTTAAAATAACAGCATTGATTCTTTTTTTTTTTTTTTTTTTTTTTTTTTTGAGATGAAGTTTTGCTCTTGTCGCCCAGCCAGGAGTGCAATGGGGCAATCTCCACTCACTGCAAGCTCCGGCTCCTGGATTCAAGCAATTCTCCAGCCTCAGCCTGCCTAGTAGCTGGCATTACAGGTACCCACCATCACGCTTATTTTTGTATTTTTAGTAGAGAAGGGTTTCACAGTGTTGGCCAGGCTGCTCTCGAACTCCTGACCTCAGGTGATACGCCCGCCTCGGCCTCCCAAAGTGCTGGGATTACAGGCGTGAGCCACTGCGCCTGGCCAATAATAGTGTTGATTCTTCTGTCATTCCTGATATTTTAATTTGTGTCACCTGTTTTAATTAATCATTATAACAAAATATGTTAGTTTTAGTGATCTTTTCAAAGAACCACCTTTTGTTTTAACAATTTTTCTATTGTCTATATTCTATTTTATGGCATTCTTTTTCCTACTTATTTTGAGTTGAATTATTTTTCTTTCACTCTACCTTAAGGTTGAATATTAGATAATTTATCTTAGACTGCCTTATTTTTTTTAAATATATAGTTAAACATATATATTTTCCTATAAATACTGCTTTATGTGCATACCCCAAATTTCAAATGTTATGTTTTTATTTCTATTCAACTTAAAATATTTTAGAAATTTTATTTTACCTTATCTGTCATTGAGAAATGTATTATTTTATATCCAGGTACTTTAGAATATTTCAGGCATATTTTCTGAATATTTCAGGCATATTTCAGGCATATTTCAGGCATATTCAG
Source organism: Homo sapiens (assembly GCF_000001405.40). NCBI lineage: Eukaryota > Metazoa > Chordata > Mammalia > Primates > Hominidae > Homo > Homo sapiens. The sequence continues at coordinate 42,485,268 of NC_000014.9, read as the reverse complement.
AATATTTCAGGCATATTTCAGGCATACTTTAGAATATTTCAGGCATATAATAAATATATATTAATTTATTTGTAACGTATTTGTACTGAGGTCAGACAGCATAGTCAGTATGATTTCAGTTATTTTAGATTTATCAAGAATTGTCGGCCAGGCGCTGTGGCTCATGCCGGGCGCGGTGGCCTTTAGGAGGCTGAGGAGGGCAGATCGCCAGAGGTCAGGAGTTCGAGACCAGCCTGACCAACATGGAGAAACCCCGTCTCTACTAAAAGTATAAAATTAGCCCAGCGTGGTGGCACATGCCTGTAATCCCAGCTACTGAGGAGGCTGAGGCAGGAGAATTGTTTGAACCTGGGAGGCAGAGGTTGCGGTGAGTCGAGATGGTGCCATTGCACTCCAGCCTGGGCAACAAGAGCGAAACTCCATCTCAAAAAAAAAAAAAAAAAAATCCTTATTAAGAATTGTTTAATTGCCAAGCATATGGTTTACTAGCTATATTTTTTATTTTATTTATTAGTAGTTGCTCTAGGGTTTACCATGTGCCACTAAGATTCTTAACATAATAGCCTACCTCCAACTAATATTTTACCACACCATTTATGCATCGTTTAAGTCATGAGAACCTTAGCACAGGATACATCTTTTGTATGCTCATGTCTTTGTACTAACGTTGACATAATTTTTTTACAACTATGATATAAATTCCACTTCATTATATTTGCCTTTAACAGTTAGATATGTTTTAAAGAGATTAAAAATGAGCAAGCATCTTTTATAATTACTTACATATTTTCTACATTTGGAGCTCTTTATTTCTTAAATACATAATTTCATTTGATATTATTCTCTTTGGGCTAAATTACTTCCTTTAACATCTTTAACATTTCTTATAGCACAAGTCTGGTGGAAGTAAGTCCTATCAACTTTTGTTTATGTAATATTGCCATTTTTTTTCCTTATTTTGAAAGCTATTTTGAGGGGCTATAGAAACCTACACAGACTTTTCCCCGTTTCTCTTGGTGAGCCTTATTAACAAAAACCTTTTAATTTTGAAATAATACAGATTCAAAGGAATTAGCAAAGAAATGTGCAGCAAACCTCCACGCTTCTTCACCCAGCCTCCTCCAGTATTAACATTTTGCAAATCGATTGTACCATATCAAAAACAGGAAAAGGATATTGGCATAATCTATAGAGTGTTTTCAAATTTCACTAGTTACAGATGCACTCACTTGTGTGTCTTCTGTATATGTGTGTGTTTGTATGTAGTTCTGTAAATTGCTTTATATGTGCAGCTTCATGTAACTACCACCACATTAAAGAAAAGAAATTAACCATCCTCAAAAAACTATATTATCTTTTTATAGTTATTCCTACCCACTCCATCTTTAACTCATGGCAACCATGGATTTTTTCTACTTGTCTATAATAATGATGTTTAATTAATAATATATAAATGGCATCACACAGTATGTATTAATTTGGAATTAACTTTTGTCACTTACCCTAATTCCCTTGAGTTTCATCTACTTTTTTGGTTGGTTCCTTTTTACTGCTAAGTAGTATTTTGTATGTTTGTACAACAGTTTGTGAAACCACAGAACTCTAGACAAACTCTGACTTTTTCTTTAATCCCTATGTTAAATATGACATTCTATTATTTTCTGGACACAGCAGCATTGTTTCTGATGAGAGTATTTCTTATCTTTGATTTTCTGCACATAATATGTATTTATAATTTTTCTGTTATAAAAAATATTATCTTTATCACTGATTTCCTGAAAATATATTATAGTGTATTTATGTTCCACAGGGTGAAACTCCATGAGGTCAGGCAAAGAAAAAAATACCTAAAAAGAATAATTACTGGAAAATCATGAACCAAACAATTCCTACAACTCTTAGAGGCTTGTCAATCATTCAAGCTTATACCTGCCGGAGTGGAACAACTTCATAAACATTTAGGCTATTCACTACACACCAGAAAGGTTCACTCCTTAATAGTAGAGTAAAAATAACTCTAGAATATAGATTTTACTCCAGAACTGCACTAGAAAAAGTATGTTTATCTACCTTGGGATTCACAGACTAAACTGGAATTACAGATTTGTAGTGTTCATCTAATTTGAAAACATTTTTGCCATTACTTCTGCAAATATGTTAGTTCCTCGTCAATCCTTCCTATTATACATGCATTAGAACACTTAATATTTTCCCAAAGCTCACTAATGCAGTTAATTATATTTTCAGTCTTTTCTTCTTTGTGATTAATTTGGATAATTTCTATTGATATATCTTGAAGTTCACTGATACTTACTTTTGAGAGGCAGCGTGCTGGCAGTCCTCACAGCCCTCGCTTGCTCTCAGCGCCTCCTCTGCCTGGGCTCCTACTTTGGTGGCACTTAAGGAGCCCTTCAGCCCACCGCTGCACTGTGTGAGCCCTTTTCTGGGCTGGCCAAGGCCGGAGCCCACTCCCTCAGCTTGCGGGGAGGTGTGGAGGGAGAGGCACTAGCCAGAGGCGGGTCTGCGTGCGGCACTTGTGGGCCAGCTGGAGTTCCGGGTGGGCGTGGGCTTGGCGGGTCCCGCACTCAGAGCAGCCGGCGGCGCGGCCGGCCAGGGCAATGAGGGACTTAGCACCCGGGCCAGCGGCTGCGGAGGGTATACTGGGTCCCCCAGCAGTGCCAGCCCACCGGCGCTGCGCTCGATTTCTCGAGAGCCTTAGCTGCCTTCCCGCGGGGCAGGCCTCGGGACTGCAGCCTGCCATGCCTGAGACTTCCCCCGCCTCCGTGGGTTCCTGTGCAGCCCGAGCCTCCCCGAGGAGCGCCGCCCCCTGCTCCATGGCGCCCAGTCCCATCGCCCATCCACTGCCCAAGGGCTGAGGAGTGCGGCCGCACGGCACCGGGACTGGCAGGCAGCTCCACCTGCAGCCCCGGTGCCGGATCCACTGGGTGAAGCCAGCTGGGCTCCTGAGTCTGGTGGGGCCTTGGAGAACCTTTATGTCTAGCTCAGGGATTGTAAATACACCAATGGGCACTCTGTATCTAGCTCAAGGTTTGTAAACACACCAATCAGCACCCTGTGTTTAGCTCAAGGTTTGTGAGTGCACCAATCGACACTCTGTATGTAGCTGCTCTGCGGGGGCCTTGGAGAACCTTTATTGTCTAGCTCAAGGATTGTAAATACACCAATCGGCACTCTGTATCTAGCTGCTGTGGTGGGGCCTTGGAGAACCTGTGTGTCAAAACTCTGTATCTAACTAATCTGATGGGGTCTCGGAGAACCTTTGTATCTAGCTCAGGGATTGTAAACGCACCATCAGCGCCCTGTCAAAACAGGCCACTCAGCTCTACCAATCAGCAGGATGTGGGTGGGGCCAGATAAGAGAATAAAAGCAGGCCGCCTAAGCCAGCATTGGCAACCCGCTGGGGTCCCCTTCCACACTGTGGAAGCTTTGTTCTTTTGCTCTTTGCAATAAATCTTGCTACTGCTCACTCTTTGGGTCCACACTGCTTTTATGAGCTGTAACACCCACCGCGAAGATCTTCAGCTTCACTCCTGAAGCCAGCGAGACTACGAGCCCACCGGGAGGTACGAACAAACTCCAGACGTGCCACCTTAAGAGCTGTAACACTCACCGCGAGGGTCTGCGGCTTCATTCTTGAAGTCAGTGAGACCAAGAACCCACCAATTCTGGACACATTTTTACTGTGTCCACTCTACTGATAATCCTATCCAGTAAAACATTTATTTCAGATATTCTGGATTTTTCTATAGTTTGCATTTCTTTCCTTATTTTCACTTATTTTTGGATTATTGTACATATTTATAATCTTTATGGTCCTGAACCAATGTTTCTGTTGGCTATTTTTCTCCATTTTGTGAATAATATTTTCCTGCTTTTTGCCTGTTTTGGAAATATTGTTGTTTAGAGCGGGAGTCACCAATCCTAAGGCCACAGACTGTTGTTGGTCCTTGGCCTGTTAGGAACCAGGCCACACAAGAGATGACCCAAGAGCATTACTGCCTGAGTTTTGCCTCCTGTCAGATCAGTGACAGCATTAGATTCTCACAGGAGCTCAAATCCTAATGTGAACTGTGCATGCTAGGAATGTAGTTTGCATGCTCCTTATGAGAATCTAATGCCTGATAATCTAAGGTGGAACAGTTTCATCCCCAAATTGTTCTTGGTCACACCCCCATCCCTGGTGCCAAAAAGTTTGGGGACCACTGGTTTAGGGAATATTATTAACTTTATATTTTCAAAAGCTGAATTAAAATAATTTTTAAAGTGCATTTAACTTTGCTATGGCAGACAGGTCAGTTATTTACATATCAGCTTGAACCTTTTGAAGCTTGTTTCTGTTATGTTTTAGTGCTGTTCTGGAGTAAAATCCAGAGTCCAGAGCTAGCTATACGCTGCTACTAAGGGATGAAGATTTCTGGTGTATAATGAATGGCTTAAATGTTTATGAAGTTTTTTCCCCTCTGGCTGGTTTGAGCTTGAGTGATTCACAAGCCTCTAGGAGTTCTAGAAATTATTTGGTCTGTAGTTTTCCAGTAATTATTATTTTGGGGGCATATGTTCTTTGCCTGACTTTACAGGATTTCACCCTATGTATATACAGAATGACATTCAGCCAGAGACTCAAGAGGATGCTTTACTGATTTCTGAAGCTCTGTGTGTGCACATTTCTCTTTTCTAGCTCTTTGCTCTGAACATTCTTGTTGAGTCTGCCTCCAATAAATCTGTTCTTTGTCTTTTCAACTCAACAAGACTGCTAGGCTCTGTCTGATCTCACCTTCCTGCTTTGTAGTCTGGAAACAGTTTCTGGGCATAAAGCGGGGCTTTCCTAGGTCTCACCTCATTTGTTTTCCCTCTATCAGAGACAGATTACAGTCTTTTGCTGACTGATGTTCAGTGTTTGAAAAAATGTCATCTTCAGTTGTACAGTTTTCTAGATTTTTACAAGAGGGTGACATACTTTAAAAATCAGATTTTTGTATTTCTTTCAAGGGTATTACTTTTCTGTAATGGGTTCAAGCAATAAGGTAACTACATTTATCTAGGTTATTAAAATAATTAGCAACAGTAATATAATAATTAGGAGTAGTAACATAATAATAGCCACTGATAGTAATAAATCCTTCTAACACAACAATTATTTACAGTAAGACCTTGGCAAATTACACTTATTCTCAGCAAAACTGTGATTGTTATAATGCTATAGTCTTTCAAAGAATAATGGTACTGATACTCAGCTTACTGAGATTTTTGTGTCGAATATGTTAGAATTAACAGCATTGCAATTAATTGATTCTTTTAGTAAATTATTATTTTTGAATGCTCACTGGTGTTAGCCAACATCCCAGAATGCACGATATAGCAAATAAAAATGAAACAAAACAAAACATAAGAAAAATTTATGTGACTTATGATCCACTGGCCATATACAGAAAAAACTTGATAAGTAAAATATGTAATATTATAGATGCTGATAAGCTGTAAGAGAAAATAAAGCAGAAAAATAGCATAGAAAGTATTTGGGGTTAATTATAATTAAGTTAGTGTAGCTTGAGGATGTTCTGTTAAATGGTGTCTTTTGAGGAAAGACTGCAGGAGGTGAAGGAATCTGATGGAGACTGAGGAAGAAAGTAGTAAGGGATGAGATAAAAGAAGAATTAAGGGTAGGGTGAAGCAAGCACAACTTGTAGTACGTTTATTAACCATATTAAGGATTCTGGCATTTACTGTGAGAGAAATCCCCATTGTAGTGTTTTTGACAGAGGAGGAAAAATATCTGAAAATGATCATTCTGGATGCAGTGATGAAAACTGACTGTCTTAGTTTGTACTGCTTTAAGAAAACACAAAGGACTGAGTAATTTACAAAGAAGATACATTCATTTTCTCTCAGTTCTAGAGGCTGGAAAGCCCAAGATGAAGGTGCCTGAATGTTCAGTTGTCTGCTGAGCGCTGTTCTATGCTTCCAAGATGGCACTTTGATGCTGCATTTTCCTGAAAGGAGGAATGCTGTGTCCACACGTGGTGGAAGGCAGAAGGGGCCAGCAAACCCAATGCTGCATAAAGTATCTTTTATAAGGCCCTTAATTCCATTCATGAGGGGAGGAACCCTTGTAACTCAATTATCTTTTAAAAGCTCCTGCCTCTTAATACCATCACATTGGCCATTAAGTTTCAAAGCTTGCATTTGGAAGACTCGTACTTCCAAATGAAACATTTTGCATTTTGGTGTGCACATTCAAATTATAGCACTGACCTAAGTGGACAGGAGTTGAAGCAGGGAGAGCTATAAGCAGCAGTTGTAATAATCAGGATTAAGATTATTGGGTTTTGTAGCATAGCAGTAATAGGGAAGGTGCTTTAAAGTGTCCAAATTATAGATATATTTTCAAATCTGATATTCAAAGCCAGGTTTATCTTATTCCAAAATCTATGTGGCTTTTAATTTTCCCTGTACTTTAGAGTTTCCCTCTAATTATCTAACAAAGTACTCTCAGTATACAAATAGTATAAAACAAGTTACGTATAATTTGTTGAAGTAATTAATTGCTATTTAATGGTAAAATTTAAATTCTCTGGCTTCAACTATTTCTTTCAAATAAAAGCAACCTTGACACGCAGACACACATGTGTGTGCATGTGTGTATGTGTAATTTTCAAAATTTAAGTTGGGATTGCATTAGAATCAAAGGACATGGAGATTTAAACTTTTAATGCAAATAATTACAGGCAAAATGAAAAAGAAAATTAAATGGAAGCAAATTAGATGCGTGATAGATTATGCTGTTATCAGTGTGGAAGTGGATAAGGGCCTCAAAGCAAGTCTGAGAGTATATGAATAGTAAAACATTAACTTATAAGTAAGTGTTGAGAAACTAGAGGTAAAGGATAATAAACAAACATTGAACTTAATGTCATAACATCAACAAAGGAAATAAGGTAGCACAAAATGAAGGAAAAAGTTTTTGGCCATTTCTGTAATTCTATTATCCCTTCTATTTAAACTAGCCTTGAAAACATAGATTCTATATAATGATAAAAGACATTCTGATTTTAATTGCAATCTTCTAACAACAGAAAGTAAAATAATCAAATCATAGTATCTGTAATACTGTGCATTTTTTCTATAGAACAGATTGTGAAATATATCTCACTGTTGAAAAGGAAGAAGAGTTCACCGTGTTCATGTTTCATTTATCTTCAGCAACCCATCTCCAATCATTTTCAACATAATCATAAAGAACTTAACCAGGAAAATGAATAGGTAAAATGTGCTTTCTCTTTTTCAATATGAAAAGAAAATATTTTTGGTAAAGTTTTAATAATGATTCTCTTGGTAGAAATGGAAGCCTTCATTAATCTTGATTGCTGAGACCTTGGAATTATATATGAAGAGTGATGGTATATGCAACAACAATATATAGAGACAAATAAGTAACTGATTCCTTAGTCTTAAGCTGTTTTCTGTCTTCTATTTCTGATAAAAAGAATTTGGTCTAAACATCTTCTGGTCTTTTTTTTTTTTTGATTATTTTTATCTGTACATCATAATCTTTTACCAAAACTCTGCCTATTATTTTATCGAGTAGCCCTCCTGCTCTCTCACAGAAAATGGGATGATAGATAGATCCTGCTGTTAGCAGAGTCAGAACCAAAATATTTCATCTGTTTTCTTGGAGTTAGACCTTACAAATATGGTACATGATTCTGTGATTAGTTAATGTAAAATAATATATAAGATGTTCTTAGTAGATAATATAAAATGGTTAGGTAGCTGAGTGTAGGACATTTATTGTATTGTATAAAGAAAAATTTGCATTGTAAAATTCATTTTTCTTATTCATTAGGTTGCATCTACTACTGTGATTACAGCTAAATTGTTGCTTGTAAGATGGTGTGATTCATTATTTTAATTACTCCATTTTTCCCAATGAGTCTGTGTAAATAATTAAAGAGAATTCTTATGTCAAATCACATTAGTGAAATAATATATCAAACATTTCTTATAGAAAATCCACAAACTCATGTATTAACTGTTTATATACACATTACAAAACATTTGATAGCATGTGTTGCTGTAAATAATATTTATGTCTATCACGGCTTACTTTGTGGCAAGCATTTTAAAGAGTAATTTACGTGTATCTTATGTGGCCATATATTTAATGCCCCTAATTTTCTAAACATCCCCATAATAAATGTACTTATCTAATTTAACAGTATATATAAACATAATATACATTATAAATAGTATAATGTATATGTACATATTATATTGCCTATGATAAATACTAAGTGGTAAAGCTGAGAACACAGCATAGATTTTGTGAAGGAGGCAGGCATGGTCTTCCATAAGTGAATCTACTATATGAATCTACATTTGCAAAATACATTAATGCTTTACTTAAAAATTATATTCAACATTTTTAATACTAAGCTGGCATGTTACTTATTTGTAACAGGTTTATCAGAACAAATCATAATATTACCTTGTATAACTTTTCGAATATATGACTATACAATAGAACTTCCAGGGAACCTATTGTAATTGATGGTACTGTGTTAATAATTTGAGCCTGGAATCAAACATATGTAAATTTAAAGCAGAATTCCTAAACTTACTAATTGTCTGAATTTGGCCCAATGTCATACCCACTCACGTCTGTGCAATAAAGGTAGTGATAATGCATGACCTTGCTAATAAAATTAAATGTGATAACAAATCTCAAGTAATTGAGAAGTAGTCATTTCTCTTTACTTCTATAGATAGCCATATGCTTGAAAATATAAATTGTAATACATGCATGTAATATGGTTCTAAATTTAACCAATGATAATTCTTAATATTTAATAAACTATTCTATGATTTATGGGGCATTTACTTAATCAAAATTTAAAAAATACCTTTTAACATGTACATAAATAAATATGAAATCTCAGAATTCTACCAACCACTATGTAAAAATAAAAATGATTGATGTCTCATAATTTCAATTTAAAAATTCAGCTGCACAATATAAGCTTTTCAATTGCCATGGCAGCATATTATATCACCCTAATTTATGTAGTTTATGCTGAGTTCCTAGTGGCAGATAATTTAGCAAGACTCCATATTGATATTCGGTAAATTCAATGAGAGATTCAAAATGCATTTTAAACTTTAATTTCTTGTGAGTATTCTGTTACTTGAATGTCACAGAAACCTTTTCAAAAAAACTTCTGCTTTAATTTATAAATCCCCGCTAATATTTAGGCAATTAAAAACTTTATTAATATATAATTAAAATTTATATGGAATCTGACTACATTTATTGGAAGTATTGATGACCAAATTTCTTTTAGAGCCCAAATTTAATTTTAGTTTTTACATAGTCCAAACAAAAAAAACAGGGTCTTAATCATTTTACGCAATATCATTCAGTGTTTTTTATAATAAGAACTATATAAACGCATATGGAACATTTAGAAAAAATATTTATGTCAAAAATATGTAATAACAATTGTTGGGGTTCAGACAGGCTGGTGGGAAAAATTTTGGTTCTAGGAAATAGCCACAAACCTCGGAAAGCTGAAGAGTTTGCATAACTTTAGTACAACACTTGGCTGAAGGAAGCCTTATACCTTTACCTTTAGTTAAATAGATTAGATACAAAGGAATGTGGGGGAGTTTATCTAAATAGCTTGTTTACTCATGTGGTCTTAAGACTAACCTTTAGGGTGCATGCTCTTTGCTCCGGGTGGTCAGCAACCAGGTTAATTACCCACAGGTGTGTTGACTCAAAGCCTTTGTCATTAATCTGTGCCAAATAAATGGAGGCAGGGCCAGCTAGTCGGGGCACGCTGGTGCTACAAGTCTTTCTGTCAGTGGCCGGACCCCTGGCCAGCTCCTTCACTGAAATATTGCTGTCTGAGTACGTTATTCATCCATTGTTCAGCTGAGGTCTGCGGGATGGATCCCAACAAACAATTCTACCACTACTACTAACACTTCAATGTGTATCTGTATCTGCATATCAACTGCAACCAAAAATGAGATATAGTTGATTGTTTCTTTCTTAATTCTACAATAAAAAATGCTATTTGGAGAAATGACTGAGTCTGGGATGAAGGTAGAAAATATACAGCATGAGCCTGAGAACCTTTTCGTGTCAGAAAATAAAGTAGCACAATTTAAAAAAAAAACACAAACTGGTAGTATGCCAAAGGACATAAGAAACAATTGGAAAGCCTCTCCATGGCCAAAGCTGAAATAATTTTAGTAGCAACATGAATAAAATTGCATTGGATTATAATCCAAAGTATAAAATAAGTACACATAAATCCATACTGATACAACTAAATGCTTACATAAAAAATAAATGGCAAAGAAGAGACAAATCCCCAAAGTCGAATACTAAATAATTTATGAAAATTCTCTGTTCAAAGAGGAAGAGTATAACCTTGCATGTAGACTAAGCTTAAAAACTTCTTTTCACAAAGACTACAATATGGAAAGCAGGGAGAAGATTCCCTTTGCAATAAAGAATCTTGACACACACTATCTGTGCCAAGTACTTACACTGATCATTAGTGGTAATAAGTCATATCGATTTTGATGGTTAATATTGAGTGTCAACTTGATTGGATTGAAGCTTGCAAAGTATCGTTGCTGGGTGTGTCTTGAGGGTGTTGCCAAAGAAGATTAGCACTTGAGTCAGTGGACTGGGAGAGGCAGACCCACCCTCAATCTGCATTGCCACCATCTGATCAGCTGCCAGCTAGAATAAAGCAGGCAGAAGAACCTGGAGGGATTTGACTTGCTGAGTCTTCCAGTCTTCTCTTTCCTCCTGTGCTGGATGGTTCCTGCCCTCAAACATCAAACTCCAAGTTCTTTAGCTTTTGGACTCTTGGACTTAACACCAGTGGTTTGCCAAGGGCTCTCGGGTCTTTGGCCATAGTCTGAAGGATGCACTGTTGGCTTCCCTACTTTTGAGGTTTTGGGATTCTAACTGGCTTCCTTGCTCCTCTGCTTGCAGACAGCCTATTGTGAGACCTCACCTCACCTTGTGATCCTGTGAGTCAACACTCCTTAATAAGCTCCCCTTCATATTTACATCTATGCTATTCAGTCCCTTTAGAGAACGCTGACTAATATATGATGGTAGGTACCTTTGATACCAGATTATCAAAAGGGCACTTTTTTCTCGTGTTCTTCCTCCCCAAAATTATAACCTCAGACTCATCATGAGAAAAACATCAGACCAATCCCAATAGAAGGGCATTCTACAATATATTTGACCAGTACAACTCAAAACTGTGATGGCCATCAAAAACAAGAAAAGTGTGAGAAACTGTCACAGCCAAGAGACACCTAAGTAAAAGTGATGAATAAATACGAAATGCTATTCTGGCTGGAATCCTAGAAGAAAAAAAGGACATTGGGTAAAATTTAAGAAAACAATAAAATATGGACTTTTGTTAATAATAATGTATTATTTTTCTTTTGTTCTTTTGAGGCGGGGTCGCGCTCTGTCACCCAGGCTGGAGTACAGTGGTGCGATCTCGGCTCACTGCAAGCTCTGCCTCCCCGGTTCACGCCATTCTCCTGCCTCAGCCTCCCGAGTAGCTGGGACTACAGGCACTTGCCACCACATCCGGCTAATTTTTTGTATTTTTAGTAGATACGAGGTTTCACTGTGCTAGGCAGGATGGTCTCAATCTCCTGACCTCGTGATCCGCCCGCCTCGGCCTCCCAAAGCGCCGGGATTACAGGCATGAGCCACCATGCCCGGCTAATAATAATGTATTAATACTTGATCATTGGTAACAAACATACCATATAAATGTAAGACATACTATCTTTACAATTCTTCCAGATATAAAAACTCTTCTAAAATGTACAGTTTATTAAATAAAACAAAAATATTCTACACAATTATTATCACAGCAGCAAAGTGTTCATTGAATCTATTTCCTATAATTTATTTAAACATGGCTCATATTAAACATATGGGTTTAGTTTAGCTTTTGTCATTCATTCATCCATTTGAAAAATATGTACTAAGTATTTGTGTCAAGCTGTAATGAAATTTGAGACCCTACAAACAAACAGGTAGAAATAAGCCCCTACATAAGCCCTATAATAGCATGCTCATAATTAATGGTGGAGACAGGTAAAAAAGCCCTACATAAGCCCTATAATGACATGCTTGTAATTAATGAGAAGACAGTTAATAAATATAAAGTGAAGAAAAGGCAAGCAAGTAAAAATAAAAGTAGGTATATATTTGGTGGGAGGGGAATGAGGAGCTATTTGAGATAACAGCTCCATTGTCTCCAGCCTTACACTCTGATTGCTCAGTAGACAAAGAGTGTGTAGGACTGAAAGAAGAAACGCGTCTTAGGATTTTATTGCATTGACCCAGGAAAGAAACAATGGTAACTTTGGGCTTAGACTAGGTAGGTGGCAGAAGGTATAATAAGGAAGGATTGGTATCTAAATGTATTACACAGAGAAGCCAAAATAATTATTTCATCATTTAGATGCGAGGGGGAAAAGAGACACTAAGGATTTCTCTTTTTTTTTTTTTTTTTTGCATAAAGATCTTGATAGAGATACATAATTTTAAGTATTTTAATACATTTGATTAATTGTCCATAAATTTAGAAAAATAAACTCCCATCAATAAGAGTTTTTACTTGTCTCCCCAGAATGAGTAACAAATAATGTTTATTTTTTATATAAAAGAAGTCCAGAAGTAGGTAGTCCAAGGCTTTTGTGGGCCCTCCATAATTATCAGAAACCCAGGAGCTTTCTGCTTTACTGCTTCTATTTGCTGACTCCCATCCTCAAGTACAAAAAGGTTGTTCTTGTATCACAGTTTGCAAGAAGGAACAAGGAAGGAATGACAAACAGGAAGCATTTTCTAGGGACCTTTGCCACTTATCAACCTTACTCAAAATCTCATATCACAATTGCCTTCATACATTATTTGATAAAACTCTATCACATGACCAAACCTAGTTATAAAGGGTCATTAGGAATAGGTCTCTTAACTAATTGCAGCGTCATCCATACAAATTAGGAAAGAAAATTTACTAAAGAAGAAAATGTATCCTGAGTAGGCATTCAGTAATCTCATTTCTATTCGGTGACAATAACAATATTGTATTTCTTTAAAATATTTTAAATGTCATACATTTACTACTGTTTTGTTTTATTTCACCTCTTTCATATAGAAGTTTAATACTTTGTCATATGCTTAATAGCCATTAGTGTTTATTTACTCTGGCATTAAAAATTTATGAAAAGTTCTTAACTTATGAGAAGATCTAGAGAGACAAATCAAGAGCAGTAAAAAACAAAACAACTTCCATTCAACTAATGATGATTGGATGGTAGGAGGAAATTTGCTTTGTGGTTTGAGAAGAACCAGTTGCAGGTATACAACTGCTCATTATGTGACTTATTTTTTGAAGAACAAAAATATTGCATTCTGTGACTTATTTTTTGAAGAAAAAATATTACATGATTCAATGTAATGTACAAGAAACCAGAAATTCCCAGTTAAATATTATTTCTGGGATATAAGCTAATATATCTCTAGAAGGACATCAATCAAAGTAATTATATTATCAGTGAAAGAAAATTATTAACACGTTTCCATGAATTAACTTATTATTTAAATAGCTGTTATGAAAAATAATGGGTCTCATGGTTAAAATCAAGGTAAATCACAACAGAGAAAAGGAGAAAATATGGAAACTGTTCCATAGTAATTCATATTAGGGTTTTTTCTTATATCAGGCTATTTCTCATCAGAGATTTACGTACTTAAATAGAGTAGGATCCCAAGGTTAAAGAGATATTGAAGATTAATTTTCAAACTTTATCAAATTCATCCTTGCATAGAACACATTATAAAATCTTATCTTTTAACTTCTAATACTTTGACTTAAAATTATGTAAAGCATACACATATTGTTAAAATAAAGCATTACAAAAATAATAAAAGTAAATATTTTTCTGAAATAAAAATGTCAGGGTTTTTTTGTAGGCAGTAGAAATCATAGAAAGTGACTCTAAATATGCCTTCTCACTCTTTATGATCAAAATATAATTTTGTTTAAGTGCACAGGGGATGTGCAAATACCAAGCCATAAAAAAGTATTTTGGCATGTTTGGCCTTATTAATAAAACTAATGTCCTTGAAATCTACTTTCCTCTTCCTTCACAGTTATAAGTCCAATCATTTCCTAGGACAATAAAGCTTATTTCTTTCTTTCACCTCTTGGTGATATTAGGTAAGGAGGAAAAAGCGAAGAAGGTTGGTCAAACATCTATGAGATTTTTTCATTAATATATTAATAAATAAATAAATAAATCTTTGAGCCTTTTTTTTTATCTATCTCCATAAGGATAGGGGAAAATGTCAGGTGTCTAAACAGGTGCAGACCAAGATATGAGAGCCAATAAATAATGAGAATAAAACAGTGTTATAAGCTCATATCTAGTTGAGGAATCATGCAGTTTGGTCCAGAATTTTTTGGCTGCAAAACTAAGGCAAGAAGCCAACAGAAAATCAGTTAAATAAAAGAACCCACCTAAAAAAGAGTTATTTTTAGAAACAAAAATTGGAAATGAGGACAGAAAAAAGCCTAATCCAATTTTTTTTTTTTTTTTTTTTTTTTTGAGATGGAGTTTCACTTTGTCGCTCAGGCTGGAGTGCAATGGTGTGATCTCAGCTCACTGCAACCTCCGCCTCCCCTCCTGGGTTCAAGCCATTCTCCTGCTCAGCCTCTCAAGTAGCTGGGATTACAGACACCCACTACCACAGCCGGCTAATTTTTGTATTTTTAGTAGAGATGGAGTTTCACCATGGTGACCAGGCTGGTCTTGAATTGCTGACTTCAGGTGATTTATCTGCCTCGGCCTCCAAAAGTGCTGGGATTACAGGCATGAGCCACTGTGCCCAGCCTCCAGATTTTTAAAAAACAATCTGAAATCTATGATATTTTTGGGGGGTGGGGGGAAGGCAGTAATGTTAAAGTTAATGAATGACAATCTCATTCAATTGTACTCAATTTTGAGGTCAAAAGTTGGAGATCCATTTTTGTAGAAGTTAAATACGTACCTTGTGGTTGACTTTCGGTTTTGTGTGCCAGAAAGTCAAATACTTAGTGCTTTTCTGCCCCACTGTTTCATAGACTCAGAAATATCCTCAACCCATATGTAATGTGCTTTAGATTTTTCAGAGGATCATTTTCAATCTAAGGGAAAATTAAATATATCACAGCATCAGCAATACCAAAAACCTTAAATAGACATCCCCTGCTCCATGCCACTTCTAGGTGGACAGTTGTCCTGTCTTGCTCTTCTCTGTTCTCCATAGGTCACGCTGTTTCCCTGATGAATCATAGTGTGTCAGCATGTCTGTTCCAGTTGAAGAACTAGTGTCCACTCATCAGTCTTCATTTTCTCGGTGAGAGCCAAGCACACAAGCTGTTTCTAGTCAGCTATCTTGGCCTGACATTTGCTATTTTCCAGTTTATGTAAGGCAGTCCTTATTCATACAACAATTCCTAAAATATCTGAGTAATTTTCTTCCTTCCTCAAAGTTTCGGTATTAGTTTCTAGCAATATTTTATTATTGATATAAGAAAGTTATAAACGTGTTATTTTAGAAATTAAAATATGGTATAGATTATGAGCAACATTTGTAAGTGGTACATGGGTACATGATGCTTGAGAAAATGCATTTCTCATTGTTAAGGTACAACATTATAACCATGCACAGTTATTTATGAAAACATTAAATAATTCAAGTTCCTTAAGTCCTTAAAGATTTACTTTTATCTCCTTGACCTACCAGATTATTATCGTAATGCATAACATTTTAATACTACTCAGATGTTTCCTTATATTTCTGACAATGCTTTCTTTTTATGGAATAATACTATATAATTCTGTGTAGTGTTTCACGACTCTCATGGTTCTACCTTGTATCAATATGCAATTAACGTTTTTGTACAATTTTTTTATTTGGGTAATAATACCTAACATGAGACCTACCTTCTTAAATTTTGAGGTACACATACAATATTGTTAACTAGAACAATATCGTACAACAGTTCTCTAGAAGTTACCCATCTTGGATAACTTAAACTTTGTAGCCTTTGAGTTGCAATGCCCCATGTCCTCCTCCCTCTAGCCCCTGGCAATCACCATTCTACATTCTACTCTTTGCCTCTGTGAGAGTTGACTACTTTAGGTAGCTCATATAAGTGGAATCAGGCTGTATGTGTCATTCTGTGACTGCTTATTTCACTTAGAATAATGTCCTCCAGGTGTTTCCATGTTGTTGCATATAGAAGGATTTCCTTCTTTATTAAGGTGGAATATTATTCTGTTTACCTGGAATATTATATATATGGAATATTATTTAACTTCAATAAAGAATGGATAAAGAAAATGTGATTATTTATTCATTCACACATTGATGGACATTCAGGTTGTTTGTGTATCTTGTCCTTTGTGAATAATGCTGCAATGAACATGGGAGTACCTGTTGTGAGATGATTTCAATTCTTTTGAAAATATATCTAGAAGTGTGATTGCTGGATAAATGATAGCTCTATTTTTAAGTTTCGAAGAACCTCCATACTTTTCCATACTTTTTTCCATAGCAGCTGTAGCATTTTACACTCTCACTAATAGTGCTCAACGGTTCTAATTTCCTCACAACGCTTGCCAACCCTTATCTTTAAAAAAAAATAGCCATTCTAACTGGTGTGAGCTAATATCTCTTGTGGTTTAATTTTCATTTCCGTGGTGATTAGTGACGATGAGCAACTTTTCATACACTTGTTGACCATTTGTTTTCTTTGGAGAAATAACCATCAACATAATTTGTCTACTTTTAATGAAGTTATTTGATTTTCTTTTGCTATTGAGCTGTAAGAGTTATGTGTTTTGCATATTAATACTTTATCAGTTATACGGTTTACAAATATTTTGTCACATTTCTTAGGTTGCCTTTTCACTCTGTTGATTTTTTTTTTTTTTTTTTTTTTTGCTGTGCACAGCTTTTTAGTTTGATGTTGTCCTACTTGTGTATTTTTAATTTTGTTTTTTGTGCTTTTGGTGACATATCAAAGAAACTATGCTGAGGCCAATATCATGAAGCTTTTCCTCTATGTTTTCTCTAGGAGCTTTATAGTTTTAGGTTTTACAAATGTGTATTTTGAAAACTATAGGGCATTGATGAAATAAATTAAAGAAGAGACAAGTAAATGGAGAGACACACAGTGTTCATAGATTAGAAGACTTGATATTGTCAAAACACCTATGTTACCCAAAGCAGTCTTCAGACTCAATAAAATTCCTATCAAAACCCAATGTCATTTTCACAGGAACAGAAAAAAATACTAAATATTACAAGGAACTACAAAATATCTGAACACCCACAGCAGTCTTAAAAAAGAACAGCAAAGTTGGAGGTACCACACTGCTGGATTTCAAAATATATTACAAAGCAACAGTAAGTATAGCAGCATGGCAATGGAATAGAATAGAGAGTCCAGAAAGAAACCCATGCATATACAATCAACTGATCCTCAGCTTGGGTGCCAAGGATACGCAATGGGGGAGTGATAGTCTTTTCAATAAATGTCATTGAGAAAACTAAATCTCCTCATGCAAAAGGATGAAATTAGACACTTATATTACATTATACACAAAAGTAAAGTCAAAAGAGATTACAGATTTGGACACATAGCTTTTCTGAGCCTTAGCTTTCTCATGTATAAATTTTTTCTTCTCTGCAATGTGGGTATGGGTAGTACAAAGTGTATACAGAGCCATAAATATATTTACTGTATATATATGTATTATGTCAGGCAGTGCTTTGGAAAATAAGAAACTAGAAGGAAGGATAAAGAGGATGTCTAAGAGGTGGTAGTATGCTATTTTATAATGTTGGTCAGGCAGTATATCTACAATAGTACAACATTTGAGAAGAAGTCAGTAAGAAATAAGAGGAGTAGTGTATGTTATGCTCCTAACATGAGTTCTGTTTTATTGTAGGAATTCAATGTTTGACACTTACTTTTGTGCTGTAGATTTCATTAATATTATTATCCCTATATTGAATTTAATACCTGTGCTTTATTTTTGTTTGCATTATTTTATGATTTCATAGTTATTTAGCTTTTTATTTCTTGAATTTAATTTTTTCAATCTACCTGGGAAAGTAAGAAAAAAGGGGGAGTAAAGAGAAGCGATCATATACTTTATTGAGGCAAAGGTATGTGTGTGTGTGTGTGTGTGTGTATATATATATATATAGAAAGAGAGGGAGAGAGAGAGTGCAAGAGACAGAGACAGAAACAGAAGGAGACAGAGACATCTATCTTACAAATATTTCCAAATATAGTTCCTAATACAGTAGAACATCTCAGATATTTCTTTTATAAATGGCATGAAACAAAAATGTCAGAATGGGGATAGTGAGAACAATATGGAAAATAAAGAAAGAAGACTTACAAATTCTAGGAAATGATTTTAGGGAATTTATGAATGAAACTGTGTGCATATTACACCCTGCCATGAGGTTTATATTAAAATAACATTTATTTTTATCATTTGGAAAGTCATTTAAAAATTTTAGTCAAAGCAAAAATTATTAGTAATCTCATCACCAAGAGGTAATCGTGGTTACTATTTTACTCTATTTACTTTCTTCTGTTTTTCTTTTGTTTGTTTGTTTGTTTTCTAAGAATGTACCTAGCACAGGGCCATTCACTTTGTCATCATTAGACAATTTTATTTTTACTACTCATTATTGTTATGGAATACAAATTTGTGTTTCCCCAAAATTCATATGTTCAAGTCCTAAATCTCAATGGATGCTTTTAGGATATAGAGCCTTTGAGGGGTAATTATGTATAGAGAATAGAGCCCTCATGACTGAATTTGTGTCCTCCTATCAGAGACACAAGAGAGCTTGTTTCCTCTCTCTCTCTCTGCTTTCTGCCATGGGAGAATATAAGAAGAATATCACCATCTGGAAACCAGTGGGCAGGCCTTCACCAGGCATCAGATCTGCCAGCATCAAGATTTTGGACTTCTCAGCTTCCAGAACTATGAGAAATAAATGTTTGCTGCTTAAGCCAACAAGTTATGGTAATTTTTTATAACAACCTGCACTAAGACAATTGTTGTTGTTATTATTATTATTATTATTATTATTTTTATTATTATTATTTTTAGATGGAATCTTGCTCTGTCACCCAGGCTGGAGTGCGGTGGCATGATCTCAACTCACCCCAACCTCCGTCTCCCGGGTTCAAGCAATTCTTCTGCTTCAGCCTCCCGAGTAGCTGGGATTACAGGCATGTGCCACCATGCCCGACTAATTTTTTTTTTTTTTGTATTTTTAGTAGAGTCAGGGTTTCACCATGTTGGTCAGCTGGTCTCGAACTCCTGACCTCAGGTAATCCACCTGCCCCAGCCTCCCAAAATGCTGGGATTACAGGCGTGAGCCCCTGCGCCCAGCCAAACTAAGAGAATTATTAAAGCCACTAAAACATCTGTAGGGCAGAGAATCTTTGTAAAATTATCAAGTCTTTTATTCTACATCTCTTTCATTAATGAATTTAACAAAAATAACAAAAGCAGAAATATAGATAGATAGATAGATCGATAGATAGATAGATAGATAGATAGATAGATAGATAGATAGATCAATCAATCTGTTTTCAGAAATGGGAATTTATGTATACCATTCTGGTTACATTATTATGGGAATGTGTTTCCAGATAAAAATTTGAAATACAACAACCAGCTGGGTATAGTGGCTCACTCCTATAAACCTAGTATTTTGGGAGGCCGAGGCACGTGGATCACTTGAGCCCAGGAGTTCAAGACCAGCCTGGGCAAAATGGTGAAACTCTGTCTCTACAAAAAATAGAAAAACTAGCTGGGCATGGTGGCATGTGTTTGCAGCCCCAGCTACCCAGGAAACTGATGGTGGGTGATCACTTGAGCCTGAGAAGTTGAGGCTGCAGTGAGCCGTGATTGCGCCACTGTATTCCAGGCTGGGTGACAGACTAAGATTCTGTCTCCAAATAAATAAATAAATAAACAACTAAAAAAGTGTGGGAGAATTATTTTAGAGACACATTCATTAATGAACAAAGCTTTAAAATACAAGTATTCATTAATAATCTTCCAAATTTGAATGACAATAGTATAGGCTCAAATGTGCAGATAAAAACATTAAAAAGTGCTTAGTTGTTTACATCATTTTCTTTCATTTTATAGACCTCTCTTTAATTTGCATAATTCTACACAATAAATAGTATACAAGTTTATATGGTAAATTGTTGTCTTCTATTAGGAAAGTTTAATACCTAGTGATTGCAAAGAATGCCTTTACCACTCTGAAGATAGCTCAGTTTTCCAAGATTGTACCTCTTACCTCCTTTCCACACCTCACTTATCCAACTGTGTTAATGTATTCAGACCTAGGGTATTTTGCTGTTCAAAGAATGTTTTTCTTGATTAATAAGCCCATGGTATAAACAAAGTCTGCTAACAACCCCTCTAACTTGGTGACACACAGCTGCAAATTCTCCTCTGTGGATCTGGTCAGAGATTGGTTTGGGGCTTTGTAAAGGCAGGTCCAGGGAAAGCCTTCCTCTTTAGAGCATGTCACTTACTCCTGAGGTGAGGCCTCTGATATTTCATCTGAATGTCAATGTAAACTAGATCTCTCCACTCTAACTAGACAAAGGACAAACCTCCAAAACCTCCAAGCATTGCTGAAATTCTAGTCGATCTGCCTCCTTCTTAAAGCCATCAGCAGACATTGTTTGATAAGCCTCATTTAGTTTCATCCTGTGCATGTGCATTAGTAGGACAAGCACTTGTGGGAAATGGCTCAAGTGACTTCTTGTCTTCCCTTCTGCACAGCTCCATCCCCTCCATGGCCTTGAATCTTAGCTACCAGTCATGTCAGCAGCCCTGGAGTTCTCCAATATCTGACTCTTCATCTCAGCAGAACCACTGTGCTCTGGAACCTAGTTCCCTGCCCCATGGTCTAGAAATTAGCCCAGTGAGAGAGCCCTGAGAGATCACAGGACTCACCTCAAAAGTACCCCTTTCCACAGGTTTTCAGTCTTATGCTGCCCTTTGTGCAATTTTCTAAAAAATCAGTAATCTCATATATTCTTTTTCAAGTTTATATTTGTTTATGGTAGGAGAGCTTATTCTTTACAAGTTATTGCTCATTCAGTGGCATTAATGAGTTTTAATTTTTAAGCTGTAACAAGATATCATTTCCAGAATTATAACTATATATCAAAATTTAAAAATATGATATTCTACTTGAAGTGTCTTGTCTCCCAGTGAGCCATATTTTGGAATTCTAGAGGTGGGAGAAGACTTTTCCAACCCAATTAATCTTTAAACAAATTCATATACATAAAACTTACGTTAACGTTGCCCATAGTTGTCTCACATAAAAAATCCTCTTCAAAAGCTTAGAAATACATTTGAAAGTTAATATTTATTCACAGTCTTATTATTTTAGCTTCATATATGAGGAACAATTTGATATATATGATACAATGTTGGAATCAGGGAATTAGAATCATATATTTAAAATAAAATAAAGGAATGAGATTATTTAGTTTAAAAAAATTATTTCAAGCCAGGCTCAGTGGTGGGAAGCTGTAGTTCTGGCTACTCAGAAGACTAAGACAGGAGGATCCCTTGACCCCAGGAATTAAAGCTATAATATGCCATGATGGTGCCTAAATGTTGCCACTGAACTCCAGCCTATTCAACATAGCAAGATTCCCATCTCTTAAAGAGGAAGAAAAAAAGAAATCATTTTAAAGTGTGAAGTTTTCTCTTAAACGAAAGACTTTCTACTTTTTTCAAGACATGCAAATATTGTGATATAAAAGAAACAATAACATTTAATTCCTTGGGAAGAATGTTTGGTACATGATAATAGTTTCACAGATGGAATATTCAGACAAGACTTTGAATGTATTTTATGTACAAATTAAATGCCTTTTACATTTATATAGAATTAAAAACAAATAGAACATTCTAACTGCCTTTCTATCTTGAAATTCGAAGTACTTCTGACTTAATAAAAAATATTTCAAAGGGGGCTAAAAGTACTGTAACACATTAATAATTTTAACTTTATAGAGTCATGCATATATTAATAGAAAATAATATACATAAAATTAATGATCTTGTGTGTCAAAAGAGAAAAGGTATTTGTGATTTCTATCCTTTGGTTACCTGTAAATACATGTTTCAGAGAGAGATGCTGAGTCTCTCCTAGAAATTTGAAACCACAAATTTCTTCCAATGTGATTGATTTATTGTTCAACAATTTGAGGATAAAATCAATTTTTGTTGTATATCTATAATTTCATTTACAAAAAATGCTAGACAGATATAGAAAATTACACCAAACTAAATTCAGTTATGTAGAAATATTGATAATGCATTCCTTTATTGGAAAGTAGAATCACTCTTTCTTTAATTAATTCACAATGTAACTACCTCATCTGTTGGTTGACAAATCTGGAAACCGAAATTATTACTTTCAACTCAAGCAAAGTTACCTGCCTATTCCAGAATGCATAGGTGCATGTTTAGCTGAAATAATGGATTAAAGTGGATCAGTTAGTTCATTTATCATGGGTTTGACTACACAACTAAATAAGTGAAATCAATCTAAAATTCATTAAGTAGTGCCATGTTTTAGTTTTGTAGATAAAACCCTAGATGTGAAGGCTGTTACTCCCCACCGCCAAAATATTCTCTAGTCTGTGGATAATCCCAAACCCCACAAATTTGTGGCACTGCCCTGCTGGATGCTCGTGGCAACTATAGAAGATCATTCTGTTCGATAATGACTCAATTAGTATTTCATATATGAAAAATAGAAATCTCCTCTTCTATAACCAGACTCTAAACTGGCCCTGATAATTCCAAACTCCTTGCATTAATTCTTAGCCTAATTTCCTCCCCTTGACCTATGACTTGATTCTAAACAAAACATATGGGAAAACTGATGAGATGTCACTCCTGTAATTATGCTGCATAAGACTGCCATGTCTGTTTTTCTGGAAGACTGTCTCCTTGTTGGCTTTGACGAAGCAAGTGGTCATGTTGGGGAAGGTCACATAGCAAAGAATTGAGAGTAGTTTCCAGCCAACTAAGAAGTAGAACTAAGGGTGACCTTTAGCTAACAGCCAGGAAGAAATTGGGGCCACAGTCTGACAGCTGACAAGGAATTTAATGCTGCGAACAACCACATCATCTTGGAAGTGGATCCATCTCCAGTTCAGCCTGTACATGAGAAACCACATCTGGCTGGCATGATTGTAGCTTTGTAAAGGAGCCACCTAAGTGGTGCTTAGACTTATGATTCCACATATGGAAAAACTATGAGATAATAAATGTGTGTTTTTTAAAGCTGCTAAGTATGCTAAATGTAAGGTAATGTTATGGAACAACAGATAATACACCAAACATTCAAAAATGCTTGACAATTTGACAATGATTTAGCCTTACCAAATACATTTCTCAATATTGTCTTTAACCTAAATTCAGGAAAAGGAAGACAGTCAGTCCTGCTGTACCACTTGTGTTGAAACCGCACATTTCTTCCAGTGTGAATGATTTATTATTGAACAATTTGAGGATGAAATGAATTTTTTGTTGTGTATCTAATTTCGTTTGCAAAAATTACTAGATAGGTATAGAAAATTACACCAAACTAAATTCAGTTATATAGAAATACTTCATAATGCATACATATTCATCTCATGACAATGAGCCATGCCAAGCCACATCTGGTGTAAACATATTTAGTAGATTTTTATCTTAAGTAATTGTCCTTCTCCCACTTCACAATAACTAGCTGTACTCTTTTCAACAGCCACCCTGTTGACCTTTAGCCTCCTCTCAGGCTTTTTTGCACTTTCCCTTTTCTTCTTTGATATTTTTCTTCCTTTACCTCTCTTTTCTCTTACTCTTTTCCTCTCTCTCTTTCTCTGTCTCTCTCTCTCATTTTGTTTGGTTTTCTCTTTCTTTTACCTCAGGAGCCAGGTGGGCAGATCAGAAGGAATAAAACACTCACTTTTGCAAGAAAACTTCACCTCTTTTTTCAAGGTAAAATGTCATATTTACTGTAGCATTATGTTTCCTGGCCTTTTGACATGCATAAAACTGTGCTAACTTTTTATATTGGTTCTTTTCTTATGTGTCAGTGACAAACTTTTTGAGTGAAAAGACCCTAAAGGCATTTTCCCATAAACTCTTTGGGTTTATAGTGTGATTTTACATAGCATGGTATATTTTAGGAGTGTATATATCACGTTACAGCAAAACTGACCTATACAGATCTAAACAGAATTCAAATTATTTCATACATTCCCTACATTTCCATGCCTCTGTGTCTTTGTATTCATTTCATTTGCTGAACCCTGAATGACTTCAACCTGTACACATAGAAGCTGAATCTAATCTCTAGACTTATCTCTTCTTCCAAGAAGCCTGTTATTATCTTCAAATGTAAATCATTTTTCTCTCCTTTAAACACCATTGAACTTTGTTTTTTTCTTCCTTATTTTTCCTGTCACTATTTGTTCTTGCTCATATTTTTTCTGGTAAAATATCAAAATGCTTGTGGACAGAACCTGCTTCTTTTATCAATTGTATCATAAAGCATTCTGCCTCATATGTGTTAAGTTTTAAAAAACTTTTGAGAACAGACTATACAGAAGGAATTAAATCCACTGCACATGAACGTGTACTCTCTTAAGATGATTTTCATCAGAATAGAAGGAATGTTCTGAGTTCCCTATTTTATCAAGATTAATCACTGTGAGAGGACTATAATCAATATTTTCTTTTCCATAAAACAATTTTCATATTGGCGCTATACACAAATACTAGCTAATGGAAACTTCTGGAATGATAAATATATTCTTTATCTGTGCTGTTTAATTTCATCACCACTAGATACATGTGAGTTTTAAGTGTTTAAAATGTTGCAATTGTAACTGACTCAATTTATAACTTTATTCAGCTCGCAGGGAAGACTGGCCACACCACCCTAATCTTATTATGCAAATGGGCTTTCCACTTGGCCATCTCCATGTTATCTGCTGCTTACTGTACATATGGCTAGCAAAGAGAAGGGAACATGGAGCTGCCATTTTGAATATGCTTAGTGCCAGCATTCACCTGTGAAAGCTTCCAGCTTGCTTGATTATGTCTGCAGTTCAATTTTACAGGCTGCTCTTTGTTAGAAAAGAAAATTATCTGGGGGCTGCTTTTCATTAAAAGGAAAACCTTACAAAGAACTCGGTACCCTCACTATCTGCCTAAGTAATTTCTTCTTCACTCCTGTATCACTGGTATGCTGTCAATAAATCTCATGTCACATAATAAAGAAAAAAGAAAGGAAAAAAAGATATATTTTTTAGTACAAATGCATACATGCACAAACACATTCTTAACAAAATAAGAAGGAAATACTCATGACAATTACAGTCCTTGTTTCTGCAACTGGTCACGTAGGTGTAGCTGATATTGATGACTACCTTCTTCTACTACTCTTTCTGTATTCCCTTTTCCTTCAGAAAGCACCTCAGCAGGTGGTAGTTTTTTACCCAGTGGAGTGACTCAAACCTTCATTCCTGAAGTGTCCGGGTCATTTGTAGTCCTGCCTGGATTGGGCTGTTGTAGTTTCCCATTGACCTTAATCACAGGACATGGCATTACTAAAAGACGCCCTAAGGCATCTCTTGTATTCCATGCATACCCTTCCTTACATCCATTGTGGAGTAGTAGACTGATTTCATCTTGACAGTCTGGGTCAATCACCCCAGCAAACACTGTAACTCCCTACTTATCCTGTTGACTTAAAGGTAGCAGGAGCCCAAAGTGGCCAGGTGGCAATCTCAGCCTCCAGTTTAATGGAATCATTGTTGTGTTTCCTGGTGGCAGCATTCTTCCCTCTGGAACTAAGACCTCTAGGCCAGCAGAACACAATGTCAGAACAGGAAGCAAAAATTGTGCTAGTGGGTCAATAGAGGTAATGGTGAGAGGTGCCACTTCCATGTCCACCCCTTGAATTACTGGACCCGTGAATCCTGGCTATGGGGGTAACAGCACCATATATCGGATGCTGATTCAGGGAATACACAACCTTCTGAAGAACTTTGCCCCAGACTTGCAAAGTGTTGTTACTTAGCTGGCTTTGTAATTGTGACTTCAAAAGGCCACTTCACCATTCTATTAGTCCAGCTGCTTCAGGATAATGGGGAACATGGTAAGACCAGTAAATGTTATCAGCATGAATCCACTGTCACACTTCTTTAGCCATAAAATGAGTGTCTTGGTCAGAGGCAATGTTGTGTGGAATCCCTTGATGGTGGATGAGGCATTCCATGAGTCCACAGATGGTAGTCATGGCAGAAGCATTTTGTGCAGTATAGGCAAACCCATATCTGGAGTAAGTGTCTATTACAGTGAAGACCAACTACTGCCCTTTCCATGATGAAAGAAGTCCAATATAATCAACCTGCCACCAAGTAGCTGGATGATCACCCCAAAGAACAGTGCTGTATTGAGGTCTCAGTGTTGGTCTCTGCTGCTGGCAAATCGGGGACTTGGCAGTGGCCGTAGCCAGGTCAGCCTTGGTGAATAAAAGTCCATGTTGATGAGCCCATGCATAATCTCCATCTCTGCTGCCATGGCCACTTTGTTCATGAACCCATTGGGCGATGACAGGGATGGCCAGGGAAGGAGGCTGAGTGGTGTCCACAGAATGAGTCAACCTATCCTTGTGATTATTAAAATCCTCCTCTACTTAGGTCACCCTTTGGTGAGCACTCACATGAGATAGAAATATCTTTACAGTTTTTGACCACTCAGAGAGGTCCTTCCACATATCTCTTCCCCAATTTCTTTGTCATCAATTTTCCAATCATGTTTCTTTCAAGTCCCTGACCATCCAGCCAAACCATGGGCTACAGCCATGAATCGGGATACAATCGCACATCTTGTCTTTCCTTCTTCAGTGTGAAGTGCACAACCAGGTGCACTGCTCAAAGTTCTGCCCACTGGGAAAATTTTTCTACACCACTGTCCTACAGAGATGTCCTAGAAAGGGGCTACAGAGATGTCCTAGAAAGCTTTCCACTTTCAGGTGGTTCCTGCACATTGTGCTGAACCATCTGTAAACCAGGCCCTAGTCTTCTCTTCCTCCATCAACTGATCGTAAAGAATTCCCCATGGGGCCATTGGTGAAGGCTCAAAAAGAAAAGGCAGGATGGCAAGAGTGGGGACCATGGGCATTTGAGCCACTTTCTCATGTAACTTATGTGTGCCCTGGCATGCAAACGTCTCACCAATAAGTCCAGTGTGTTTGCTACTTCTCACTCACCGGGTCCCAGTAAGCATAATGTCATCAATGTAATAGACCAGTGTGATATCTTGTGGAAGGGAAAAGTGATCAAGATCTCTGTGAACAAGATTATGACACAAATCCAGAGAGTAGATATACCCCTGAGGTAGGACAGTGAACTTATATTGCTGGCCTTGCCAGCTGAAGGCAAATTGCTTCTGGTGGGTCTTATGGACAGGAATGGAGAAAAGGCATTCGCCAAGTCAATGGCTGCATACTAGGTACCAGGAGATGTGTTAATTTGCTCAAGCAATAAGACCACATATTGTACAGCAGCTGCAATCAGAATCACTACTTGGTTAAGCTTATGATAATCCACTATCATTATTCAAGATCCATCTGTCTTCTGTATAAGCCAAATAGAAGTGTTGAATGGGGATTTGGTGGGAATCACCACTCCTGTGTCTTTCAAGTCCTTGATGGTGGCACTAATCTCTGTGATTTCTTCAGGGAAGCAATACCGTTTTTTATTTACTATTTTTTAGGTAGAGGCAGCTCTAAAGGCTTCCATTTGGCCTTTCCCACCATAACAGCCCTCACTCTACCAGTCAGGGAGCCAATGTGGGGATTCTGCAAGCTGCTAAGTATATCTATGCCAATGATGCATTCTGGGGAAATGACCACAGGATGAGTCCAAGGACCCACTGTAAGTTGGACCTAAGCTGAAACTCACATGACCTGATGATTATCTTCTGTAGACAAAGGACAGAAAAACTCACGTGATTAATATCACATGACCTCCATATGCTCCTATTTTAACTGGAGGACCACTATGATGTTTTAGGTTCCTGGGAATCAACTTCAGCTAGTATCTAGTAGTCTCCAAAAATTCGGATCATTCCCTTTTTCCCAATGCACAGTTACCCTGATAAAAGGCTGGAGGTCTCCTTGGCAAGAATGACAGAAAGATTACAGTACAAGTTGTCAGTAGTGTAATGAGCTCCTTCCTCAAGGGGACACAGCCTCCCCTTCATTCAAGGGGTGCTGGGTCTGTAAACTGGTTCAAGTCTGGAAATTGATTAAGGGGCCATGATTCTGTTTTTATATTTCAAATTAGTCTTTTGTCCACTCGACCTAGAAGTTTTCTGCTTATATAAATTAGGTAAGAATGCAGTAGGCTTCCTTTCAACTTTACTTCTAGGAACACCATGATTAATTAGCCAATTCTAGAGCTCTACACAAGTCAGACTATTCTGATTGCTGCTTTGCCTCTGCTGTTCATTATGATAACTTCGCCCATCTTGCTTTTGATGGTTGAATGCCACCATTTGGCCCCTGTCACCTTGTGATCCAATTATTCCCATTGCATTTACATTTTGTAGTTGAATGACTGTGGTTTCCATTGTAATATCTGCATACAGAGAAGAGCAATTGCTCTTCAAAGATGCAGATTCTCCCCTCACAAATCTACTTTGCAAGCTATTGGTGAAAGTTATGTTTTCTGTACCCTCCCAGCTGGGATGACTGGGTCTAAAGTGACAAATCCACTCTAGCATCCCAATGTCCCTAAGCCTTTGGATCTCTTCCTCTAAATTAAACCAAGGGAGATCGGGCATTTCCAGCTCATGTTCACAGTGCGCCATATTTTGATCCATATTTCAGCTAATCAAGCAAATAAACTATTAGAACCTTTTTTAACTCCCCGAGCTGCAATATTAAATGCAGAATCCCTGATGAGTGGGCCCATATCACTAAATTCAGCCTTATCAAACTTTATGTTCCTTTCAACATTATCCCATATGCTTAATATACATTCCCATGCCTGTTCTCCAGAGTTCTGCTTATATAAATTAGAAAACTTAAACAGTTTTTTTCAAGTGTAGCATACCGCCTTATGGGTCACACTCTGAACCTCACCTGTAGGGGCCTTCTGGAACTTGAGTCTAATTATAGGTCTTGAAGCAAAGAGGGGTGTTGGGAGTGGGTCCTGAGGAGAATCCATATTGTTTTTCCTGGCAACTGCCCCAGGAAGGCCATTACTATTGCCTCAGGCAGGGCAGTGCATGGTTAATTTCCTCAAACAAAGGTGGAAAGGTTGATGGCAATGCAGATAGGGAAGGGAATGTTGCCAACACTGTGGTTAGGGAGGCTGTTTCCTCTGGCAAAAAAAGGCTCATCAGCATTTAGGAGCTCAGTGCCCCCAGCCTCACCAGGGTTCTCCCACATGTCCCCATTTCAAGTTGCAGGGTCCCATTCTTTTCCAATCAATGCCCTCACTCTAACAGTAGACACCTGGTGAGACTGAGTGTGCACCTTTTGTTGCAGGTAGCCACTCACAGGATAAAACCTTATGTCTGATTTTCTGCAATTTCTGCCCTTTGTCTACAGAAGATAAGATTCTCATTTAGGGCAATCTTAGAAGACATGAGGCTCGGCATGTGCGTCTGGAGCCGGGAGTTAGAATCCCTGAGCTCATCTTTTTATTGATTTATTTATGTATCTATTTATTTATTTATTTATTTTATCACTTTGTCCAGTGAACTTAGAAGCACCCAGACAGCTTCATAATATTCCTTGGTTCTCCACATATTGTCAAAGGTATTATGTACAGAGTTATTAAACATCCTGCCTCTGATGAGTGGTGAAACAGGAGTATCAAATGCATTTATTTTGCGTAACTCTCTAAACACCTCATGCCAAGGACTATCGGTATTCCCCATACTATTAGAAATAAGAGTCTTTAGCATTTTAGGTTGTAATCATATTAAGCAGCCAACTCCAGAAACCCCAAACCAACTAAAGAAACCCATTCTTAAAATTCTGTTCCTCTAGAACCACCCCACTTCTGGTAACAATAAGTATTAGTCCGGGTTCTCTAGAGGGACAGGACTTATAATAGGATAGATGTACATATGAAAGAAAGTTTCTCAAGAAGAATTGACTCCCACGATCACAAGGTAAAGTTCTAAGATAGGCCATCTGCAAGTTGAGGAGAAAGGAAGCCAGTGGTGGATCAGTAGGAGTCCCAAAACCTCAAAAGTCGGGAAGCTGACAATGCAGCCTTCAGTCTGTGGCCAAAGGCCTGAGATCCCCCTGGCAAACCATACTGTAAATCCAAAAGCCTAAAACCTGAAAAAAGTTGGAGTCTGATGTTCAAGGGCAGGAAGCATCCAGCATGGGAGGAAGATAAAGCCCAGAAGAATAAGCATGTCAAGTCCTTCCACATTTTCCCACCTGTTTTTATTCTAGCCCTGCTGGCAGCTGATAAGATTGTACCCACCCAGATTGAGGGTGGGTCTGTCTTTCCCAGTCCACTGACTCAAATGTTAATCTCCTTTGGCAACACCCTCAAAGACACACCCAGAAAGAATACTTTGCATCCTTCAATCCCATCAAGTTGACACTCAATATTAACCATCAGATCTATCCAGTAAGAATGTTTGAAATTATATAAGAACAAATCAGACGTTTTACATATGAAAGTGATTTACCTGCTTATCTCTCCACAGCAAAAAAAGGTTTCTTCTCCAATATTTTTACAAACATATGCTGTTTTCACCACAATTACTTTTATATTACTTTGTTGATGTTAAATAGCACTATTACATTATTTGATTTTAATCTGATATTCTTATCTCTTAATTTTGAGTAGATTGCTGAACTTGTTTACTTTCCTACTCACATTTTCTCTTAAATTAGAGTTGTAAAATTCCCTTTTAGTGTGAGGAAAACTTGAAATCATAATTTCATAATTGGAGCAGTTGATGATGAAAAAGCCAAGTCTATAAACCAGTTGCTAGAGGAAGCCTGAATGCTACTCTTTTCATGCTCACCCACACATGCATGAGAATCCTCAAGCCAGTCCTACCCTCTAACCACAAAAAAATCTAGGCCAGTCTCCTTTACCAGCTATTTTAAGCCATTTTCACACCTGCTTGGAAGCTAGCCCTACATTTCCCAAAAAACCTCATTATGTTACTGATAGACTTTCACTTACCCCTTAGTGCATATGTGGTATCATTGTTCTTAATATCTACTCCAAATTTTGTGTGGTGTGACTCATATTCTTTGAAATGACCATAATACGTGACACAATATTATCCTAATCACACTCTATAAAATTTTGTGATTTGGGAAGGTGTTGTGAGTCACCTCTGAATTTTATCTAATATCTTCTTCTTCTTTTTTGTAATAGCAATCCCTGAAATATCACTGTACAAAATTGATGGCCTACTTAATTATAATTGTTTGCTTTTCCTTGTGAGTAATTGGGCATATGAAATAATTGTCACTAATTCTCTCTCTAAAAGACACATTTTAATCGAAGCAATTGTGGTATGCTGAATAGTGGTTCCCAAAAGTTGTCCATATTCTAATCCCCAGAACGTGTGAATACATTATCTTACAAGGTAAAAGAAACATTACAGATATGATTGAGTTCAGGATCTTGAGATGGGGAGATTATCCTGCATTGTCTGGGTGGGCACCATGCAATCACAGATTCTTATAAGAGAGAAGTGTGATGGTCAGAATCAGAGAGAACATGTGAGGTTGGAAACTGAGGTCAGTGAAGAGAGATGGTGCTGCACTGCTAGCTTTCAAGCTGAAAGAAGAAGACCATGGGCCAAGGAATGTAGGTGGTCCCTAGAAGCAGTAAGAGGTGAGGAAACAAATTATCCACTAGATGCTATAAAAAGATGTAGATTTGTTGATCTATTTGTTACTTCTCACCTCCAGAACTAAGAGAATAAATGTGTGTGTTGCTTGAAGCCACTCAGAGTGTGGCAATTTGTCACAGTGGCAACAGGGCATTAATATAATGACAAAATGAAGAAAATGACTTGAGATAATTTTTTCCAATATTGCCTTCAGGAGAACAAGTTGATTCATTATTGCAACCTAGATCCTAAAAGCTACTCTGATTTGTGTGCCTTTCAAAGCCTGGTTGAGTTTTTCTTTCAGTTTTTTAAGCTACTTCATGTAGTTATATTGAATTTGAGTTTTAGTCAAATTTACCATGTTTGTTTCATATTTCCTGAATTTAAAGAACAGTAACTAACATAATCTACTTTCCTGGGCTATTCCAAAATCAAATGAAATAAAGTAAGTGATGTTCCCAATAAAAGATAGTACTTTTTATTTTTATTAATATGATTGTTCCTGATATTTCCAAATTGTCATTATGATGAAGTGTAACCGAAACAAAGAAATAGTGTAATGCCAACCCTTCTGAAACTCCTTTGCTTCATCCAGTTCTGATCATTTCCTCCTTCATAAAGGTAGCCACTAACTAGGTTTCAAACACTGCATTTATAATTTTGCCTGTTTTAAACTCCATAGAAAGTGAATCACAAAATACGTCTATGTTTATTGTTTTTCTCTTAACATTATGTTTGCGAAATTCTTCCATGTTAATGCATGCAGGTAAATTTCATATATATTTCCTGTTGTGCAAAATTATATTGCATGCATAAACCATAAAGGATTTATTCAATATTCTATGGATGGAATTTCAATTTTTTTTCTAGTTTTTGGCCTAAATTGATAATGCTGCTAGAACATTTTTGCATGTATTTTTTTGGTAAATATATGCATTGGATTATGTTAGTTATTTTATCAGGAATAAAATTTGGGGGCCAAAGTATATTCATAACATTAAAGGCAAATGGGCTTCCAAAGTTGCTGCATCAAAACCCATTTTTACAATAAGTGCATAAGAATTTGAATTTGTCCATATTATCAAAAATATTTCTTAATGTTAACCATGTTGACATTAGTATTCTCATGGGTAAGTAGTAATAGCTCACTGTGCTTTAATTTGAATTTCTCTGATAACTAATGAGGTTCAGCAAACTTTCTTATGTTTATTGATTATTTGAATATTCTCTTTGTGAAGCTTGACCAGGTATTTTGCACATTTTCTCTTCTGGATTTATAAATGATTTGAAGGATTTCTTTATACATACTTGTTATAAATCTGTCAGTTTTCTTCTCAGAAATACATCTCCTAATCTGTGTCTTGCCTTTTACGTATGTCAACTCTATTTTTTGCTGAACGTAAATTGTTAATTTAAATATAATTTATCAATTTTTGCTTTATGGTTACACACTTAGTTTCCCACTTAGGAAACTTGTTTTTATCCTAAATTCAAAAAGATAGTACCTATTATCTTCTATATGTTCTGTTACTTTGCTTTTTTATTTAAATATATACTCTACCTGCAACTAATTTTTGAGGGGAGTTAGATATCATGTAAGGAAATAATTAACACATGTCTGTTTGCTTAGTCCCTGTCTGTTTCCAAAGCTGCCTGGAACCATGATGGACTCTTGCTCACCTCAGGGATACAGACCTCAGAAGGTTATTTATGTTAATAGCTGATAATTTTTCACACCTTGAGTCATAGGCTGTGCAAATAAGCTTGTCATGATTGCTTTGACAAACATCAAGACTAATGATATTCACCTGGTTTCATTTTGGAGTTCCTGAGTTTCAGTAACCATGGCTGGTCACATAACACGGTATGCCCACATGTCCAGCCCTCTATCAAAACCCTGAACGCTGAGACTCAAGCATCCTTCCCTGGTAAGGGACACTTTGCATGTATCCTTGAAATTCACAGCCAGAGAGAAAAGTGCATTCTATTCAGTCCCAGATAAAAAGGTTTAAAAAAAAGAATGTGGGAGCCTGCATCTTACTCCTTGAAAATTGGCCAACTGCATCTCTTTTATCCTCTTTCTGGCTCTGTATCTGTTTGCTGTAATAACTCATAGTTACGTGAATAAATTGCTCTTGAGTCCTGGAAGTACTTGTAGCAAATGAATTGCGAGTGTAGTCTTGAGATCATCAAAACAGGTCAAGATTTATTTTCTTCTATATTAATATACAAATGACTCAGGATTATTTAACAAAAGACCATTTTTTTCCCCCACTGCTCTGTCCTAAACCAGGTGTGTATGTATAAGTATTGGGCTGGTAGTGTACTCACTAATTCATTTTAATTGACTTTTCACTTATCACTTAGTCCATGCTATACACAAAAACAGACACACATATACACATATATGTACACAGGATGCATTATTGTAAATATGCAAATATATGACTATTATTTATTACAGCATAAAGATACAAAATCCAGTTTCTTGCATTTTATTATCTCAGTAATGAATGTTTTTGTGCATACACACTTTACACATTTTTCACTAAATTTTTTATGCTATGTTTGTAGAATTTTAAATGTTATATTTTAACATTTTATTTTCCAATGGTTTATTACTGAAATGTAGAAATACCTGTGATATTTGTATATTAATTGTGTATCTGGCCAATTTGCTAGACTCACTTAGGAATTTCAATAATTTATCTATATTCTACTGGATTATTTTGGTATAAATAATATTGTCTGCAAATTATATTTTTTCTTTTCAATAGCAATATATTCATTTTATTTTTGTTGTTTATGCCACTGCTTAGTACTTCTTGTACAATATTAAAGAGAAGGAATCTTTGTCTTATTCCCAATTTCAAAAGAAAATATTTCAATATTTAACCATAAAGGGTTATAATTGCCATAGTATTTTTATTGTTAACTTTAAGATACCTTCTTCTACATATAGTTTACTGTTCTCTCTTTTAATCTAAAGTGCATGCTTAATTTGATTAAGTGGTTATCTGGGTTAATCTTTTGGATGTTCTTCTTTAAGTTACTAATATGCTAAATTATATTAATTGACTTTTGAATATTGAATCAATTTGGCATATTCCTGAAATAAACCCAACTTGTTCATGATTTTTTTACCTTTTTAGTTATTTATACGCATGATTTTTCCAATGTTATTTTCAGAACAATTACATGTACATTAATGAGCAAGATAGGCATGTAAATTTACTTATTTTTAAATACCTTTGTGTTCTGACATCAAGGTTACTTTGGCCTCTTATAAGTGTTTGGATATTTTTCCCTGTTTTTATTCTCTAGAAGGGCCTGTATGATTTAGGAATTCTTTCTTCCTTAAATATTTGCTAGAAATAATAGGTAATATTATTTTGGCCTAAAGTTCTTTTTATGTGGGGAGCCTTTAAAGTAGAAATTCAATTTTTCTTAGATACTGAACTATTCAGGATTTTTATTTTTAGGTCAGTTTTGATGTTGTATAATTTAAGAAACTTGATAAAATGTCTAAAGTTTCAAATTTTTAAGATTGTTAGATCTTTTTTAATATCTCTAGTATTTAGAGAACTTTCTCACTTTCACTCTTGTATTGGATATTTGTGTCTTCTCTTTCTTGATTTGTCTTAGAAAGGGTATATACATTTTATTAGTCTTTACAAAGAGCTGCTAGTTTTGTTGATTTCTTTCTGTTGTTCTAATTATTAGTTATTTTATTACCTTCTGGTCTTCTACTTTTTATTTCCATTACTTCATTTTTCTAATTGCTTGTGAGTTAGAAGAATTTCATGTTTAATTTGTAGTTTTTTCTTGGGATGGATGAATAATACATTAACATTTCAGAAATTTTTTCTTTCTTACCACATGGATTTACAGCCAGACATCTGTTTATAAGCTGGTGTAGCAGGATCCAACAAATTTTAGTGTTTAGTTATTATTTTGTTTCAGTAAAATAAAATTTTAAATTTCCATTAAGGTTTTGTCTTCAACCAAGAGATATTTAATAATTTATTGTTCAGTTGCCAGATACATGGGATTTTCTATCCAGTCAGAGAAAACATGCTGTGAGATTTCATTCTTTTGCAATTTATTGAGACTGTTTTTGTCACCCAGCATAAAGTCAATTTTAAAAGTTGTTCCATATATCTTAAAAAAATTACTCTGTAAGTGCTAGCACAATGCTTTATATGTGTCTATTAGGTCAAGTGTGCTCACTGCATTAACTTTCATAATCAGTTTGCAGTTTCGTATGATTTATCTATCAGTTACTGAGAATAGTGAATTAAAATATTGCCTTATAGATTTTCTATTTCTCATTTTAGTTACGTCTTTCTGATGATTGCAACATTAGTCATTATCAAATTGCTCCTTTTATCTAGCCCTTCCTTTCTATTACTGCCTACTTTGTTTGATATCAGTATAGACAGACCAGTTTTCTTTCTACTTGTATTTGTATTATATCCATATCTATATATTATTATCTATTTATCTACATTCAAATCTATCTATATACATGGTCTTCCACCCTTTTACTTTAAAATTTTATAGGCTTATATTTTGATACATTTTCTCCAAGCATTATATAGTAAAGTTTTAGTGTTTTATTCATTCTTCTCTATTTTTCTTGGCTTTCTAAGAGATTATGTGTGAAATATGCCTAACAGTTGCTGAGCACATATTAAATGCTTAATAAATAAAAGTTATAATAACATATATTTAATATTAAGATATTGGAATTTGTAAAATTACTTTGTAAACATATTATCTAATGTTATATAAATGCACAATTGTTTTTTTAACTAGGAAACTACTAACACAAACGACCCTTTTCAAAAGTTTAACTTTCGAAGAAATTTTCCTTGCTCTATAGTTTTAAAGCAATTCAGTAATGTTAAAAAAATTTAAAATTATCACTATTATAGACAACAGAAAGTGATGATTTGATTAATACGCATTAATAGATTTTCAAATCTAATAATTGGGAAATAAATAATACCATTTGGTTTTGTTTACTATCATACTGTCACAAAAATTAGAAACTCTGTACATAGTTGTCATCTTTAATGCCATATAAATGCAGAAAAGAATGCATCTTTAATCTTTTGAAAATATTTAGGATATGATAAAAGTAAGGAGTAAGCTCCCAAATCCTTGCTATTCTAATTCTACATTTCTTCAGAGATCAGTCAATCATTTTTATTGAACCTGAAATTACTTTATTTAATCATTTTATAAAGCATAATAAACGAAAATTACAAGAATTTGAAAAATAAACAAACAGGACTATACAGATTGTCACACAACTGAGCATATATGGTAATATTACCTATTAATGTGCTGTTTTCCACATTTATACAAAACTCAGATTCCATTGTAAATTTTTAAAGTTAATTTTTTTCATATAGACAAAGAGCACAAAGTTTATTTTATGCATTTGATTTAGTATTTAATAAATACTATACAGTTATCAGGTGGCTTGATCCTTACTACTGAGAGATTGGTTTAGCCTCAACTTTACAGTATAATTATTATCTACATATTTTAAACTACATCTTTATTTTTGACCTATATAAATTAAGCATGTCTACATTCATTGTAAGCTTTTAAGCTAGATACTTCTTGAATTGCAGAATTATGATACTGTTAGAAATATATGGAGATGCTTAAAAAGAAGAAATCATTTCCAAAATGAGT
Organism: Homo sapiens; assembly: GCF_000001405.40. Lineage (NCBI taxonomy): Eukaryota > Metazoa > Chordata > Mammalia > Primates > Hominidae > Homo > Homo sapiens. The sequence continues at coordinate 42,447,455 of NC_000014.9, read as the reverse complement.
TATTTTATGAATAATAAGTCATAAGAAGAGAAAGAATGAATCTATGTCTAAGTAAGTGGCAGAAAATGGGCTACAGTGTCAATGATTGGAGAAGGGTTTTATCATTCATCCAATCTAACTTTTTGTTTTACGAAATAAAAATAGACATCAAGTAAACATAAATAATTTTCAAAGGTCATCCATCTAGTAAGTGGCATGAATAACAATTTGAATAATTAGTGAAATCACATTAAATAAAATACAGTATGATGGCACAGAAATAGAAAACCTTATTTTAAAAATGTCTTACACAAAACTAATAAAAAATAAAATGTAAACATATGGAGACAAAAAGATGTACAAAAGAACATTAAGAAGCAATGTTGGTTGATCTTGATTTATTTATTCAAGACAAGGTAAAAAGATTGCAATAAATTTGTAAACTATAGTTCTATAGGAGCTACTATCTATGGTAAATATGAAAATAATTCAAGAAAAGATAATATCATAAAATTCTACCTTGAATAAAAAAACACATATTGCATGGTTTTTGTGTTAAAAATATGATACAAGAAACTGGAATGAATCCAGTAAGAAAAAAATGAGTCATTTAGGAAAAAAAAATGATGATAAAGTCATTGGGATGATAAGATAGTAAGTTGGCATATAAAATTTCAATACAAAAATAGACATTGTATCAACCAATTTAAAATGATAAAAATAATAGTATTTTGGGTTTATATACTACTTTCTCAGAAACACAAGGTGATATTTAAAACATAATTTTCTTCCCAGAAGACATCCTTTAGAGGCCAAGATCCAACATGACAGTTTGATAAATGAAGTTTTTCTTAAAAAAGTTACGTTTTTTCTCTATTTGAGAAAAACAGAACACAGCTAACAAAATTCTTTACATTTCCTCACTGAGTAGAAACATTTTCTACATGACCTGATTCACTGACTTTAATAATTTATAAATTGCCTAATTTGTATTAAATTATTGCACCTGCCTGTTATTTTATGTATTTTTACAGCAGTAGAGGTACTATGAACTCAGTATAACAGAAAGTTTGTTTCAAATTATTGCATCTTCCTACTGTTAAAAGTGAAATTATATGCTCATAGGTAAATGATTCAGTGGAAATAAGCCACAATTGTGTCGTTTTATGTTAAATATAGAACATTTTCTATGTCAGTTATTTTTGGTATATTGATAAAATTCTCATGCATGTATCTCATTACTCATTAGCATATGCATTTTTTAATGTGATAGAATAATATAAACAACATACTGATAAAATTTATAATATGCTTTTTCTCAATAAAATATCCAAAATTGGTGACAATAATTTCCTTGAGATGGATTATAATTTTTGTATTTTCCTCTATTTTCTTGAATGTTCAATCTTTCCACAATGAATATATACTGCTTTAAAAAGACAGAAAATTGGGGGGGGGGGGTTGGTTAAGAATTGCCCAATAACTCACTATAATTATATCTTTGTAGAGTACTTAAAAATTCAAAGCATTTTCATGTATATAATCACATTTATCAGGGTCTACATTTGGCTACTGTTCAATAGCACTATCATATCTGTTGTTATCTGGTTGGTGCCAGTTCTGATCACCAGTGTTCTGTTCCGGTTCTTAACATTCTTAAAAACACCACTGTGGGCCGGGCGTGGTGACTCACGCCTGTAATCCCAGCACTTCGGGAGGCTGAGGCTGGCGGATCACGAGGTCAGGAGATCGAGACCATCCTGACTAACACGGTGGAACCGTCTCTACTAAAAAATACAAAAAAATTAGCCAGGCGTTGTGGCGGGTGCCTGTAGTCCCAGCTACTTGGGAGGCTGAGGCAGGAGAATGGCGTCAACCCAGGAGGCGGAGATTGCAGTGAGTCGAGATCGCGCCACTGCACTCCAGCCTAGGCGATAAAGCGACATAAGTTTCTTGACTGCTAGATAGTTCTCCTTTGCTAACATTTCATTAAATCACCTGTATGAGCATTCCACTAGAACTTACAATTATTAAAACAGAGCAGGTTTCATGCAAATAAGACTATAATGAAATATTAATTTATTTCATATCCAAATTTACATATTCATATGTCATTTTCTGTAATGTAAGGGAAGGCAAATTCGGATATCTTAATTTCCCACAAAGCCATAAAAGTTTAGCAGTAAGTTTTATATAGCTTCCTTTGAAACCTAAGATTTTTACAAAAAAATTATTTGACTTTAGAAGTGTGAGCATGTGCGTCTGTGTTTATTTTGTATATTTTAGTGTATCTGTAACTTCAGTGAGGCGATATAGATACGTCACTTTCACATCAAGTAAAGGCAGAAATAAAGTTACAATCTATTTCAGAAACAAATGTTTTCAAGTTCCTGAATATGGGTCCAGAATGAGACAAGAACGCCGTGATTTAGATTGTTAGAACTTTGCTTGGTTACCAAAGTGATAAATATATGTTCATAAATAAATGACAACTATTTTACAAATGAACTTCTAACCCATAATGAACCTAATACAAGACCTCAGTTTTTTTTTGTTTTGTTTTTTGTTTTTTTTTTTTTTGAGACGGAGTCTCACTCTGTTGCTCAGGCTGGAGCGCAGTTAATGGCACGACCTCGGCTCACCGCAGCCTCCGCCTCCCGGGTTCAAGCAATTCTCCTGCCTTGGCCTCCCGAGTAGCTGGGACTACAGGCACCCGCCGCCATGCCCGGCTAATTTTTTTTTTTTTTGTATTTTTAGTGGAGACTGAGTTTCACCATGTTGGCCAGGCTTCTAAATCCTGACTTCAAGTGATCGCCCGCCTCTGCCTCCCAAAGTGTTGGAATTACAGGCGTGAGCCACCACGCCAGTCCTTAGTTCTTTATCATCTGCAATTTCAATAACATGTATTTCCAGAGGTACTACATGTTAAATTAAAAAGTTTAATCCTAAAACATAAAGGAAACTAATTTGAGGGGTCATTATAATTCATAGGTAATTTTACCTAAAAATTCAGCCTGTATTAAATTCTTTTTTGTATGAGTTTTTCTGGGGGATACATGTTAAGATAAAGAATGTTCTCCAAATAAGAGCCATTAATAGTATGCCTTCTCCCCAAATGCCTATGGGCATTGTTTTACCTAGATGATACAGTTTACAAAGTTAAATAAATGTAAATTATATAGAATACTATATAAATGTATTTTTTGAACAGTGAACTTGTATGCTTGCATCTTACCCTTCTGCTAAAATACCCTTGATTTGGGGCTGCACAATTAATTTGCACTACAAGTATATTTTCCCGTCATACAACGTTCTAATTATTACTTCTCCAATGAAGAAAACAATGAATCTGCAAATCAGAAACCTAAATCAGCAATAATGCAAAAGCCTACTAAATAATCAGTGTGTAAGTCAGAATCTCCTAAGTATCTCTAGGCACACAGGATGGACTTGATAATCTTTTAAAACTATTACCAATATTTTATTATTATTTTTCTAACACAGCAGATATAAAAGAGTTTCCAGTACCTAACCTGGAGTGCAATGACATCTGAGTGATTTATAGAAATATGAGGTTCCAGGAAATATCTAAAATACATAGTACATAAAGGAAAATAATTGAGAGGGGAAAACAAATATTAAGAGCTGAAAATAGGCTTCTGCTAAGTAATATTTCTACCACTTAATTTATGATAAAATAATTTGAGAAAATTAAAACTTTTAATCTATTGGTAATTTACATGCACCTGCAAATTAATCTAATTGAACCTCCCTTGTTACATCAGTTATAGGGTGATATAGATTAAGGTGAGCAGCATGAAGAAGAAAATGACATCCATGTTAGAAAGAATGTGGGTCCACAAAAACAGTGCTAGAGTTCCCTTGAAAATCTTCTAATTCGAACCTTGATGACTAACATATCAGATTTCATCTACAATCTTCAATTCACATTAGGCTTTTATGCAAAGAGTTGATAATATTTCAGAAAACATTACACATTGACCCAAAATTTATTCTAAAGATATGTTTAGTAATACCAAACACAAGTGAATCAAAATAATATAATATAATAAATAATAATATTGAAGTAAAAGAGCATTGCAACCAGATTTATTGATTAGTGTATTAATTCTGGTATTGAATTCTTCCAGGAAGTTTGACTATGTAATTAGTGTTTTCCTTTAGTCTTTTCTTCTCAACTATATAATTTTTAAAAATATAAAGCACTACCTAAACTATAAGGGCAATTTCAATAAATGTGAGTTAATGCAAAACATTACACAAATATAATGCTAATTTCTTTTCTAGTTACACCATAATATATTATTTATTAACCTTTTTTGATACGTGTTTATATGCCAATTGCAAAATGTGCATATAGATTTACAACTTACATTGAACTACCTATAATTTAATTGGTAACACATCATTCATAAGATTACAAAATGTGAATAGTTATTGCTCTTTTTCATTGATTGACAGCTGTCATGTAAAAAAAGACAACCAACATAATAATTGAATTTTTGATGGACCTGTTATTAAAATCTTAATTAGCTGGTGAGAGGACAGATGGTGTCTGGAGACTGTAGGAAGTGAGGGACAAGATGTTATAATGTGATTAAGAAGAGCTAATTGAGGCAAAATTCTCCTAATACTCAAAGGGAATGATTTAGTAAACTGAGGGAGAAATTTTACAAAGATGTTACTCAATGTTCAGCATTGGAGGAGCTTCCGTTGTGGTCTTCTTTCAAGGCGGTAAAATAAAATAGAACCGAATTTCACTACAATTAAATGTATCAAAAAACTCTCTGACCTAGGTATTGAGAAAAAATTTTAAAAATAATGTTGAATTTTACAAAAATACGTATCCAACAAATTAAAACAGTGGCATTGTGATCTTGCCACTAAACTAATTATTGAAAATAGATGTGTATCTTAGAACATAGGAAGAAGTAGTAGCAGTAAAAAGAAGAAAATGGATGGCATGCATTTCAAGCAAAAAGTTTTTTAAAAGAAAGAAGAAAAAGGCTGAAATACAATACTTTTTTGTTGGATGCAAGAGGCAGGCTGACTTCACATAACTTCCCTTTGAATTTGTGGATATGAAAAATATGAAAAGTCTTTAAAATAACTGCCATGTATTCTTCTGTGAAAAACTGCTTTTTTTTTTTGGAGTGAGAATATGGAATACTACTGGAAGTAAGGTAAGAATAAGGAGATTCTTAAAAATAGATTATGTGATCCATAAATATCATAAAAGAGATTAAAAGGGGGCAAATAACAAAGTTCTGAGGAAAAGTAAGAATGAACCGTAATAAAACTAGGATGGCACTGTGAAAGAATGAAGCAGGGATGAGTATGAAAGAAGATAGAAAACATGACAAAATATTATGTAGGTGAAGGTAGGCTAATGTGCTAAATTGGCTGAAATAATTGCCTCTAACATTTAATGACATCTCACATTGCAGTTACTGAATCAGGTAGAAAAATCAGTTCCTGGTGGTAGAAAAGACAATATCCATTACATTGCAAAATGCCCCTAAAGAAAGCAAATGCGTAATAAAATCTTCATTAGATTTATTTCTGGGACAAAAAGTATCTCTCTGCATATAAATGCCATACCTCTTTTGTCAGCAATGAAAACTATTTTGAACAAGAATATTTTCATTTTCAACTTAGTCAGCAGGAAATATAATGTTAAAATATACATCCATTTATAAAAGAACTCTAGCTCAGATTCTTAGAAATATTGCTTATAAGACTTTCAAAGTATATATTTTTTTCCTTACACTTTATGTGGCAAAAAATGTATCTTTAGATACAGAGTATGGCTTCAACGAATAGCTTTCCAACAAGCCATTCCATAGTTTATATTTTTCTGTATTCTCAACTTCTTCTGCAATATACACATATGTTAAAAGCCAATGCATTTTATGTCTATGGCCTTTATCATATGGATTTTGCAATTTCTTCCTGTTCTGTGAAATTAAATGTCTGTTTCCTATTTGCCAACAGTCCTTGTCTGCCTATTGATCATGAGGACAGCTCAGGCAGCAGCAGGGCAGATGGAATAGAATTCAGGATTGGCAAAGATGTGAGCAGAGGGCAGAGTTGCACAGGCACTCCTGAGATTTGTTTGTTTTCTTTTCTTAAACCTCTAAGAACTGGAGAGACCTCAGATAGGGAATCAAGAAATGAATTTGGCAGATGGGACAGAGGAAATCTGTTTAGTCTGCCAAGTTTAGGAATCCAGCTTTCTGATTCATGGTTATGTATAAATAACTTACAAGAAAGGTAAGGCTGCACTAAACATCTTCAACTCACTAAGATGTAGAAACAGAGTATTGTCAACCTCAACTACATTCTAGCTTTAATAACCTGCTGTGATGCTCTCATTTGAATTTAAATACAGAAACTACTGATGAAAAAATATCATTAGGAAAGCTATTCAGGACTTAACCATATCAGGAATTCTAGAGAAATACTATTTAATGTAAAAATAAATCTGGAAGTATTAGAATTTTCTGACATTGCTCCATCATACACCATGTTTTTCAAACATCCTTTATCCTACAGATAACATGTGAATATAGAATACTCCAAGAGTGCCTATCTTAGGCAAAAAGCTGGATAATTGTTAAATATGTTGACATTTCCATAGAGGATATCAAACTTACGGAGTTATTAAAACAAGTAAAAACAATAAATCAAAGATAATTCCACAAATTAATTGTGACAGTGTTTTGTTCAATGTATCTTTTTACTTTCAACAAATGCTATGCAGTTTCTATACATATTTGACATATTTTTCATATCCTTGCAATTGCTTCAATATATGTAATTTTCATATTAAGGAGAAAAAAGTTGGTTATATGGAAATCCTTTATAGTTTCCATTGACATCTGTGAAGAAATCATTCTGTAACCAGACCTACATTTTTCTCTACAAATTTCTCATAAACTTTTTCAGCAGTGAATATAAAGAAAAATCTTATATTGGATATGAAAATGCATCTGTTGTTGTTTTAAATATTTTTGTATTTTCTCTGTCAGAGGTCAAAAACAGACATGTGCATACACACACACATACACACCCCTCTTAGAAGGAAAATATATCGTTTTTAGTTTTATACTTCATCTTAAAGAGGATAAAACTGTAGCTCTGGCTCCTAATAAATATTTAAGTTACTTTTTTATTTTTGTAGGTACTGTGAATTGTGGAATATAGAAGTGCACACTGTTCCAACACATAAAGTACATTTGTATCATTTAAAAGCTTTGTGGAACTTTATAAAAGTATTGCATCCATGAATAAAAAGAAGTTTATTTTCTCTTCGTCCAAAGCAAAATCTGTTAACTCCTTATCTTTGGCTTTTAAAAAAATATTCTTTAACCTACAATTTGAAAAGAGATATCCTATTGTTTCTTCATTGTTCAATGTGATATTCACAAATATTTTCATAAATGTTTGCATAAATAAAGTAGTATACATTTTCCAATTTGTTTTAAGAGGAACTTTAAGAATGACTATTCAACCCTTAATTAGCATGTTGTTAAAAAAATAATAAAAAAATGGAACAACATTGTTCTATTGAAACAAGCTCTTGAATTAGGAGACCTTTGCAGTGTTTGGCAGAATGTAAAGAGGACAAGTAGATTTTAGGAGAAGAAAACTGTTATTTAATAACGTGAATAAGAAAGCAGGCCATGAAAAATACAAGGTGGCTTACACCTGTAATCCCAACATTTTGGGAGGCCAAGGTGGGGGGACCATGAGGTCAAGAATTCGAGACCAGCCAGACCAACATGGTGAAACTCCATCTCTACTAAAAATACAAAAATTAGCCGGGTGTGGTGGCGCCCACCTGCATTCTCAGCTACCCAGGAGGCTGAGGCAGGAGAATCGCTTGAACTGGGAGGCAGAGGTTGCAGTGAGCTAAGATCGCACCACTGAACTCCAGCCTGGGCGACAGAGCAAGACTCCATCTCAAAAAAAAAAAAATACATTGTTCTTTTTCGTATTTATATCATTTCAGAATAATTCTTAAAGAAGAACTTTTCCCTCCAACAAAAATCTTTGTCATTAACAGGTTTGGCTAGATGGAACTACCATTAAAAATCAAAGAATTGTTCTTATAGATTGTGACAACACGTTTAATATAACATATATAATATTTAAAATACATTATGTGTGTGTATTATACAGTACCTCTATATATAATCTCTCACTGACACATACACATACGTACACACGTGTGCACACACATACACATATATATGAAGAAACAGAATTTCATTGTTACAAAAGCAATCAGTAATGGCTGATCTTATTTGAAACTGTTTCTTTTTAAATCAAATTTGTCTGATGAGGCTAAATCTGCTATGATTCACCTAATTTTTAAAGAAAAAGTATGGCATTTTTAAACTTTGAAGAGTACCTCTCATTAAACTACCAAAACTTATCTTTTAATTATCATTGGTATAGCCTTTAAGTTGCAACTACCTGAAAAAAAATGTACTCACTACAGGAGTTGAAAAAAGAATACATTATGAATAATTTTTGTATTGAGACTTTCTGTTTGGTTGTTAATATACATAAATAATTAATATAATGTAAAAGTTATTTTACTGAATTTATGTTCACTGAAATTTGATCACATTTAAGAATCTCTTTGGCATAAAGAAAGATATTTCTGGATTAAAATGACCTATGAGTTTAATTAACAGTCAGCACGTCTCTATTTCCTTTAAATGTTTTCTTTTTCATATGAAGAAACATCAGCCTTATAGGTTTCAATATTAGAAGACTAAAAAAGAGGATCGAGCTTCTTGATGCAAATCCATTTTCACATGACAACCCATGCCATCCTCACTCTGACCTTTATCTATGCTACTAAACAGTTTTCATGTTGTTTTAGTTAATGTGGTAATATGTGATCTTCCACAAAATTTGTTTAGACAATCATGTTGTGCTAATAACTTAGAATCATAAGTTAGATCATGGGCTAGTTTTCATCTTTTGGTTGCTAGTAACAACAAATGGGCTTACATAAAAAAGAAAATTCAGTTGTTCATAAAATCTCCTTTAATTAATGACATTGTCACAGTCCCAGATTCTGTGCAACTTTTTGGTCATAGTCCCAGATTTTGTGCAACTTTTTGATCTGTCATCAACACTGTTAACCTCCTAGTGAGACTGGCCAATCTTAAAACATTAAATTTAATACTGGAGCGAAGATTGGAATTTCTAACTTATATAAATGTACTTTTTAAATAATTAAACTGAATTTAGAGGAAATTGCGAAGGCATTTACAATTCTTGAGACATTGTACTGTTTTTTTAATCTACTAAAGGCCTGTCCTTTTATCTCCTTTCTAGATCGAATTTTGCTCATCTCGGCCCTGTTCTGTGGCTTTGTAGACCGACCTCTATGGATATTGAAGCTCAAGTGAAAGAAGGATTAAGTTCCCCATTCTCTGTGTAAGTGAATCATTGTGGTTCTGCTTGTGGCAGCTTTTTACATTTGCATCACCTGTCCAGCAGCTCTCCTTCCTCTCTTCCAAGCTCTTTATAGCTATCATAACACAGCCCCACAATTTATTCCTTCAGGAGTAGAAGTGGAAATGGGTACCCAAAGTTAATCGCTGTGTCCTTCACCACCTATAGCTGGTTGTCTTATATTTTCTGACAACTCTCTTCACTGATATTTATTAAATTATAAAACATTAAACCCTTTATAAATTTGCTATCTATTAAGAGCCAGAATCTGGTTGCTCCAATAATTGGTATCAGGATTGACCTAGGGAACAGATCCTCAAAGTAGGATTCTAGGTATAGATTACTCAAATATTTAATAAATATCTATATACCTTTCTGTTCCAAGGGAAATATACTACTGCTAACTAGTGGCATATAGTGATATAATAACTCAAATTAGCAACGGCAGTGGAATGGGATGGAGTGTCAGAGGAGCACTAACTTTCAGGAGTTCAAGTGACTACAGCAGTTGTTGACAGATTTTTTTCTTGAGAGACCATATAGTAAATACTTTAACTTTGTTAGCCAAAAGTTTACTGTTGCAACTACGTAATCTACCCTTGTTGAGCTAAAGTAAACTAACCATTTGTGTATGACTGTGTTCAAGAACGGTAAATATCCAAACAGGCAGGGGTCTAAATTTTGCTTATATGCCATGGTTGGTGACTCCAGAGCTAAATTAGTTAGTCACTATGGCAAAAAGGTGGATCAAAAATATTGTAGGTGATAGAATAGCTGCTTCTTAGAGCCCTAGAAAGCTTACTAAAAATATATCTGTAAATTAAGTCCATGGAGTCCAAATACAAGGCATGGTGGGACAATGAGAAAATCTTTACAGAAGTCTTAAGCAAATTATTTTAAACAATTAGCACAGGACACATCTAGCTGAGTTTCTGTCTCTAGGTTTCATTATAAGGTTTTCAGAGCTGCAATAACAGTTAAGGAAAAACTCTGCCAAATTTCTTAGGTTAAGCTCAGAACTATGGTTGGATCGACCAGGATACTAAGACTAGGGATGTACTATATATTTTGGACAGTTCTAAAAATGACGAAGAATTTTACGCCCCCAAGTATCTCTGAAACTTTGTTGCCTGAAGAGGCAACCTATTCCTCTTTAGTGAGAAAATCAGCTACCTCTAGCACAAAAACTTTAGAGACTGCATCTGTGATGATTGCCTCCACAGGGCATAATGATTCACAATGCAATTCATTGCATTTAGGCTCATTGACAGATTTAGATATAGTATAACTAATACGAAAAACTAAAAGTTCTGCTTCGGGAAGTGATAGAATGCACACTTTAAAATAAGCTACTTATTGACAGTTTTATATTAGTAAGTGCATGTGGAACTTACATATAAATAAAAACTAACTGTATTAGAACAAGAAAAGAAACACAAAATTGGATTAGTTATCATTTATATCTATAAGCATATTTCATGGGGATTCAGGACGTAACGGTTTGGCTCAAGCACCAATAGAAGTATTATCAGCCTAAAGGTGTGATAAATTGAAGCTGGGCTCAAAAACAAGGATTTCTGATAAGCATAAAAATGATAGAACTTAATTCCTTAACATATAGGAAGGAGTGCTAAGGCTGGGGGAAATAGGAATGTTGGATAGGCAGCACTACTATTTGCAAATGGCTCCAGCACTATTATTTGCAAATGTCCTAACCATACCCTGGAAAAGGCTTAAGTGTGTACTCCCTTCACCATGGCATTTATCATACCATGTTGGGTAAGTGGAACATCGTTATATATGAAAAGTAGAGGAGTGTCTTCTGTTTTAGTAGAAATAAATATGAGAAATGCTGCCATGGCTTTAATTCTTGAATTCAATAAGTATAATGAAATCAATTCATTTCATTATACTTATTGAAATGAATTTCATTATACTTCATATATAAGTATATAAGTATACTTCATTATATAAGTAAATTTCATTATACTTATTGAAATGAATTCAATAAGTATAATGAAAATCTAGAAGACAAGATGGGGCCACGTAACCATATATAAGAATGTAAGAAAACGTCATCAGGGAGAGAGACAGAAACAATAATTCCAGAGTTTTAACCCTCTGTATTCTGTATTGATGGATAACTGATGATAAGGTTCCTATGAATTAATCTACTAAAATGATGTTAGGTTTTGTGGTGGGTTTTTTTGGATATGTGCATATATACATATATATATATATAATATACATATATATATTATATACATATATATATTATATACATATATATATTATATACATATATATATTATATACATATATATATTATATGCATATATATATTATATACATATATATATATATAAAAAATTTTAAGTTCTGGGATACACAGGCAGAACGTGCAGGTTTGTTACATAGGTATACACGTGCCATGGTGGTTTGCTACACCCATAAACCCTTCATCTACATTAGGTATTTGTACTAATGCTGTCCCTCCCTTAGCCCCCTCAACCCCTGATAGGCCCCTGTGTGTGATGTTTTCATCCCTGTGTCCATGTGTTCACATTGTTCAAGTCCCACTTATCAGTGAGAACATGTGGTGTTTGATTTTCTGTTCCTGTGTTAACTTGCTGAGAATGATGGTTTCCAGCTTCTTCCATGTCCCTGCAAAGGACATGAACTCATGCTTTTTTATGGCTGCATAGTATTCCATTGTGTATATGTGCCACGTTTTCTTTATGCAGTCCATCACTGATGGGCATTTTGGTTGGTTCCACGTCTTTGCTATTGTGAATAGTGCTGTAATAAACATATGTGTGCATGTGTCTTTATAGTAGAATGATTTACAATCCTTTGGGTATATACCCAGTAATGGGGTTGCTGGGTCAAATGGTATTTCTGATTCTATATCGTTGAGCAGTCGCCACGCTGTCTTCCACAGTGGTTGAACTAATTTACACTCCCACAAATAGTGTAAAAGGATTCCTATTTCTCCACATCCTCTCCAGCATTTGTTGTTTCTTGACTTTTAAATGATTGCCATTCCAACTAGCATGAGACAGTATCTCACTGTGGTTTTGGTTTGCATTTCTCTAATAACCAGTGATGATGAGCTTTTTTTCATATGTTTGTTGGACTCTTAAAATCCTTCTTTTGGGAAGTGTCTGTTCATATCCTTCACCCACTTTTTGATGGGGTTGTTTTCTTTTTGTAAATTTGTTTAAGTTCTTTGTAGATTCTGGATATTAACCCTTTCTCAGATGGCTAGATTGCAAAAATTTTCTCCAATTCTGTAAGTTGCCTGTTCACTCTGATGATAGTTTATTTTGCTATGCAGAAGCTCTTTAGTTTAATTAGATCTCATTTGTCTATTTTGGCTTTGGTTGCAATTGCTTTTGGTATTTTAGTCATGAAGTCTTTGCCCATGCCTATGTCCTGAATGGTATTGCCTGGGTTTTCTTCTAGGGTTTTTTTTTTCATGGTTTTAGGTCTTATGTTTAAGTCTTTAATCCATCTTGAATTAATTTTTGTATAAAGTGTAAGGAAGAGATTCAGTTTCAATTTTCTGCACATGGCTAGCCCGTTTCCCCAACACCATTTATTAAATAGGGAATCCTTTCCCCATTGCTTGTTTTTCTCAGGTTTGTCAAAGATCAGATGGTTGTAGATATGTGGTGTTATTTCTGAGGCCTCTGTTCTGTTCCATCAGTCTATATATCTGTTTTGGTACCAGTACCATGCTGCTTTGGTTACTGTAGCCTTGTAGTATAGTTTGAAGTCAGGTAGCACGATGCCTCCAGCTTTGTTCTTTTTGCTTAGGATTGTCTTGGCTGTATGGACTGTTTTTGATTCCATATGAAATTTAAAGTAGTTTTTTCTAATTCTGTGAAGAAAGTCAATGGTACCTTGATAGGAATAGCATTGAATCTATAAATTTCTTTAGGCTGTAATGCCATTTTCACAATATTGATTCTTCCTATCCATGAGCATGGAATTTTCTTCCATTTGTTTGTGTCCTCTCTTATTCATTGAGCAGTGGTTTGTAGTTCTCCTTGAAGAGGTCCTTCATATCCCTTGTAAGTTGTGTTCCTAGGCATTTTATTCTCTTTGTAGCAATTGTGAATGGGAGTTCACTCATGATTTGGCTCTCTGTTTGTCTATTACTGGTGTATAAGAATGCTTGTGATTTTTGCATGTTGATTTTGTATCCTGAGACTTTTCTGAAGTTGCTTATCAGCTTAAGGAGATTTGGGGTTGAGACAATGGGGTTTTCTAAATATACAATCATGTCATCTGCAAACAGAGACAATTTGATTTCCTCTCTTCCTATTTGAATACCGTTGATTTCTTTCTCTTGCCTGGTTGTCCTGTCCAGAAGATTCCAATACGATGTTGAATAGGAGTCGTCAGAGAGGGCATCCTTGTCTTATGCCAGTTTTCAGAGGAATGATTCCAGTTTTTGCCCATTCAGTATGATACTGGCTGTGGGTTTGTCATAAATAGCTGTTATTATTTTGTGATACGTTCCATCAATACCTAGTTTATTCAGAGTTTTTAGCATGAAGCGGTGTTGAATTTTATCAAAGGCCTTTTCAGCATCTATTGAGATAATCATGTGGTTTTTGTGATTGATTCTCTTTATGTGATAGATTGTGTTTATTGATTTGTGTATGCTGAACCAGGCTTGCCTCCCAGGGATGAAACCACTTGATCGTGGTGGATAAGCTTTTTGATGTGCTGCTGGATTCGGTTTGCCAGTATTTTATTAAGGATTTTCACATTGATGTTCATCAGGGATATTGGCCTGAAATTTTATTTTTTTGTTGTTTTCTGCCTGGTTTTGGTATCAGGATGTGAGTTAGGGAGCAGTCTCTCTTTTTCTATTGTTTGGAATCATTTCAGAAGGAATGGTACCAGCTCCTCTTCGTACCTCTGGCAGAATTCGGCTGTGAATCTGTCTGTTCCTGGGCTTTTTTTTTTGGTAGATAGGCTATTAATTACTGCCTCAATTTCAGAACTTGCAATTGGTCTATTCAGGGATTCGACTTCTTCCTGGTTTAGTCCTGGGAGGGTGTATGTGTCCAGGAATTTATCCATTTCTTCTAGATTTTCTAGTTTATTTGCATAGAGGTGTTTATAGTGTCCTCTGATGATAGTTTGTATTTCGGACAACATAATTGAAAGTAAAACACTCCTCACCAAATGCAAAAGAACATAACTCATAGGAAACAGTCTCTGAGACCACAGTGCAGTCAAATTAGAACTCAGGATTGAGATACTCACTCAAAACCGTACAACTACATGGAAACTGACCAACTTGCTCCTGAATGACTACTGGGGTAAATAATGAAATTAAGGCAGAAATAAATAAGTTATTTGAAAGCAGTGAGAACAAAGACACAACATACCAGAATCTCTGTGACACACACAGCTAAAGCAGTGTTTAGAGGGAAATTTATAGCACTAAATGCCCACAGGAGAAAGAAGGGGAGATCTAAAATTGATACCCTAACATCACAATTACAAGAACTAGAGAAGCAAGTGCAAACAAATTCAAAAGCTAGCAGAAGACAAGAAATAACTAAAATCAGAGCACAATTGAAGGAAATAGAGACACAAAAACCCTTCCAAAAAATCAGTGAATCCAGGAGCTGTTTTTCTTAAAACATTAACAAATAGATAGACCACTAACCAGACTGATAAAGAAAAAACACAGAATGGCAATTATTAAAAAGTCAAGAAACAACAAATGCTGGTGAAACAGTGGTGTAATAGGAACACTTTTACACTGTTGGTGGGAATGTAAATTAGTTCAACCATTGTGGAAGACAGTGTGGCGATTCCTCAAGGATCTAGAACTAGAAATATCATTTGACCCAGCAATCTTATCACCAGGTATATACCCAGAAAAATATAAATTATTCTATTATAAAGATACCTGCACATGTATGTTTATTGCAGCAATATTCACAATAGCAAAGACATGGAATCAACCCAAATGCCCATCAATGGTAAACTGGATAAAGAAAATGTGGTACATATACACAATGGAATACTATGCAGCCATAAAACAAAATGAATTGATGTCCTTTGCAGAGACATGGATGAAGCTGGGAACCATCATTCTCAGCAAGCTAACACAGGGACAGAAAGCCAAACACCTCATGTTCTCACTAATAAGTGGGAGCTTAACAGTGAAAATACATGGTCACAGAGAGGAGAACAACACACACTGGGGCCTGTTGGAGGGGCAGCGGTAGGGAGAGCATCAGGATAAACAGCTTAATGTATGCTGGGCTTAATACCTAGGTGATGGGCTGATAGGTGCAGCAAACCACCATGGCACACGTTTACCTAGGTATCAAACTTGCATGTTCTGCACATGTATCCCAGAACTTAAAATAATTTTTTAAAAGCAAAGATACTTGAAAGTGTAATGACAGTTTTACCAAAATAGAATATAGGTAAGTCTGTATAGTAGGGATAAATTAAGAAAGGTTAGATTATTTATAATTTCAGTTTAAGAAGTTAGCTCTTAAATCTTTAAGCACTGTAGAACTGAGCATTCAAACCTGAGCACGTGGTGATATAACTTGAGTAATATATTAGAAACATAATTTGTCAAAAATATGCAGTCATATTACATGTCATATATTTAACTCCTGTGAATTATTTATAATAAATACATAAAGCAAAATAACCAAGTTGCAGTTCCATCATGTTATAATAAAAATGCCTGTGTGTGAAGAACATGAGACAAGATAGGAGTTCATAAAAATTATTTTTAAGACAGCTTGAGATTTTTTATCTCAATGGCAAAACAAAGCATAAAAGAATAGATAGAGAAATGAAGACGGACATTTGCTTTGAAGTATTTTAAAGTTTGAGACTATGTAAAACACTCAGATATTTGGAAACAGTACACTAGCTAAGAAGAGAATTCAATATTCGCCGTTAAAAAGAAAAATATGATAATCTTCCACAACCACATGTATTAGTTGAAGGTTTTAGATCAATAAAAGAGAATAGAGTTAGAGGAAGAAAGAAAACATGAAGGGGAAAAGCAAAACATTAAGAATGTTGAATGGTAACTAATAGAATAAGAAGTCAACACAGAAGCAAAAAAAAAAAAAAAGACTTTGACATAAGAAAATCAGTATGATAGTAGTATAATCATGCCAAAAACCAACAAAGTGTCTTAAAAATGAGAAGGTGGTTATTAATGTCCCAGACAGAAGATGTATTTGAGAACATTTTTTAGAATTATATCCACAACCATAAATATGGATACAAATAATAGCATTATGAAGAATAACAGCATAAATGTACTGAATGCTGACCATACAAAAGGCAGAGTACAATGAGACCTTTATATAAAATCATGAGTCTTTACTATAGTCCTTCATATTGACATATCATTCTTTTCTATGATACATATATTGGGAAATATCAAAGTAACAATCTAATCTCAGATCCTCTGACCACAGACAGGCAAAATACCCCAATGTATAAAACTACTTACCTTTTGAATGAAGAGTGAGGCATACATACATGTATAATTGTGCAAGTATTTAAATGGGATTTTCCACTATCTAGTATATGTGTGTGACTTGAGTTACTCATTTCCTCAAGTAATTAATCAAATATTTGAATATCAAGTTCATCCAATATTCTGCTAATTAGACCAGCAAATGCTTACAAACCAGCCTTAAAACCTGGTGAATTCTAGATTTTTTTTTTATGTAAGAGTATTATTCTTAGAATCAAGAGACCATTTTCTGATACTAATTTTCCATGTGAGTTACGATACACCACTATATCATTCATTGGTTTTGTTTCTTCTATTAGATAAATTTGCATTTATTTGTTAGAATCATATTTTTAAGACAAAGGATATATTCCATTAGCTATTTCTATGTCATAAATTTCAGAATCATCAATTTCTTAATTTACATAACAAAAATGTAATTGATAATAGCAGCAGGTTTGCATAATATATATTAAATATCTTTTATAAATTATCTTGATATATCTGAGTATTTTAAAAAATTAGATTTATAACTCATATCTTTGCTACTGAAACATCAGGGATTCATTCTCGGTCTTGCCTATTGCACAGAAAGCCAATCACTGAGACAAGGAGTATCGCCAGGGAAAAATGCTTTAATCTGGTGCTGCAGCCAAGGAGGTGGGAAATCATTCCCAAATTCTTCTCCCTGACACATTAAAATGATTGATTTTATATAGCAAGTAAGACACATTATCATGTGTGGGAAATCAGGAATCAGGGAGAGGTAAGGAAGAGGAGTTGGTCAACAGGGAGCAGGCAGTCAATTAGGCAATCATTATAGGTGAGTTGACTGGTGTCTCATTGTCCAGATGTGGTAATATCCCCGTGATATTATCCAGGAGGCCTGATGGTTCGTTTCCTGAGAAAGAAGCTCAGGTAATACAAATGTGGCTTTCTCAGGAATCAAGACTGGGAAGGTCAATCTCTATGTTTATTCAAAAGAAACCATAAACATAAGTTCTATGGAACAACTAGGCCAGTTTTATCTTCATAACTTCTCTAGAAAAAAAATAAAACCTACTGAGAGAGGAGGCAGGTAGGAACTGGTCAGGCAACTAGTGAGGGAGTGTCTTGGAAGAGGAACTATACCTGTGGGAACATACCTGCACCACCTCTGTTATGTAGCTAGCAGGAGGAAATGTAGTTAAGAACTTAATCTTATACCAAGATGCTTGCTCAGAAGGGACTTTCCAGCCACCCACACAGGCACAGACAAGAACTGAGGGCATCCTAAAATAACCCTGAACTCATTATAATGCCATTAGCATCGTGGTTTTAGCCCCCACCCCCCACCATGTATTTCACTTAAGCACTCATGGGTAACAACCAAGATAGAGTTACTATAGTCAACCCCAGGCATGCACAAATGTAACACCCCAGGGGGAATTTTAGCCCTCCCATTAAGGCAGAACCCATAGAAGACTTCCTTATTTCTGCCACATAAAAGACCCAAAACTCAGCCCCCTTTTTGGCAACCCCTCTTTGGGTCCCCTCTCACTGCTGAGAGCTTTTCTGTTGCTTAATAAGTCCTACTCTGCTTTACTCTCCAATGTCTGTGTGCCTTATTCTTCTTGGCTTTGGAACAAGAACTCAGACCTCACTAAACTAAGGAGTAAGGAGGCTGCAACACTACTCCACAGAGGCCATGTCCTATGTACCCAAATGTGCACTTGTAATTTCTCTTCTAACACTAAAACCTAGAAGATAACTACATTAATTTTATTTCATACATAATTCACAGATGCACATACACATACACAAATATAGAGTAAAACAATGTAAAATATATATTTTTCATTTAGTTAGCTTTTTAAAAACTCCAATGACTTATTTACAAATCTAGTAAATACTAAATCACTGAAAAATTATTTTAAAGTAAATAAACTTAAATAACTTGATGCACATTTTTATAGAGTCCATTTACTTTACATTATTATGCAAGTTTTGTGACACTGTAAATGATAACTTTAATTATGTTTAATTATAAAATCCATTTGAGACATTTTAAAGTTTTTGGATATTATATTAAATGGTTAAGCAAATCAAAGTTTGGTAGTTTAATTTGCCTATGAAAATAAGCTTGTTAAAGTAACCCATAGGTAACATAATTCGACTAAATAAGAAACAGGTTATAAGTTTTAATAAAATCAGTTTAATTAAAGTTCATGTAATAAAAAGCTCCATCAGCATAATATTGAATTTAGTACTAAAAATAGTCAAGTATCTCTGAATTTTTTATTTATCTTTCACATAGTTAAGCATTTTTACATGCAGCAGGACCCAGACCAAAGTCCTGGAACTTTGGAAACAAATAATTGAGTTTAAAATCTGCTATAAACATTTTAAACTCAGATATATTAAGATAATTTATTAAAATTATTTAATGCACATTATGTAAGCCTGCTGCTACATGTAAAGCATTTTTACATGTACAAGCATTTTACATGTCATTAAGCATTTTGAAATGTAAGCATATTTACATTATAGCTAAGAATTTTTAGATCCATTTAAATTAAAATCTTTAGTTTAATTAGATCCCATTTGTCAATTTTGTCTTTTGTTGCCATTGCTTTTGGTGTTTTAGACATGAAGTCCTTGCCCATGCCTATGTCCTGAATGGTAATGCCTAGGTTTTCTTCTAGGGTGTTTATGGTTTTAAGTCTAACGTTTAAGTCTTTAATCCATCTTGAATTGATTTTTCTATAAGGTGTAAGGAAGGAATCCAGTTTCGGCTTTCTACATATGGCTAGCCAGTTTTCCCAGCACCATTTATTAAATAGGGAATCCTTTCCCCATTGCTTGTTTTTGTCAGGTTTGTCAAAGATCAGATAGTTGTAGATATGCAGCATTATTTCTGAGGGCTCTGTTCTGTTCCATTGATCTACATCTCTGTTTTGGTACCAGTACCATGGTGTTTTGGTTACTGTAGCCTTGTAGTATAGTTTGAAGTCAGGTAGTGTGATGCCTCCAGCTTTGTTCTTTTGGCTTAGGATTGACTTGGCGATGTGGACTCTTTTTTGGTTCCATATGAACTTTAAAGTAGTTTTTTCCAATTCTGTGAAGAAAGGCATTGGTAGCTTGATGGGGATTGGCATTGAATCTGTAAATCACCTTGGGCAGTATGGCCATTTTCACGATATTGATTCTTCGTACCCATGAGCATGGAATGCACTTCCATTTGTTTGTGACCTCTTTTATTTCCTTGAGCAGTGGTTTGTAGTTCTCCTTGAAGAGGTCCTTCACATCCCTTGTAAGTTGGATTCCTAGGTATTTTATTCTCTTTGAAGCAATTGTGAATGGGAGTTCACTCATGATTTGGCTGTTTGTCTGTTGTTGTTGTATAAGAATGCTTGTGATTTTTGCACATTGATTTTGTATCCTGAGACTTTGCTGAAGTTGCTTATCAGCTTAAGGAGATTTTGGGCTGAGACAATGGGGTTTTCTAGATATACAATCATGTCGTCTGCAAACAGGGACAACTTGACGTCCTCTTTTCCTAATTGAATACCCTTTATTTCCTTCTCCTGCCTAATTGCCCTGGCCAGAGCTTCCAACACTGTGTTGAATAGGAGTGGTGAGAGAGGGCATCCCTGTCTTGTGCCAGTTTTCAAAGGGAATGCTTCCAGTTTTTGCCCATTCAGTATGATATTGGCTGTGCTTCTGCACAGGAAAAGAAACTACCATCAGAGTGAACAGGCAAACTACAAAATGGGAGAAAATTTTCACAACCTACTCATCTGACAAAGGGCTAATATCCAGAATCTACAATGAACTCAAACAAATTTACAAGAATAAAACAAACAACCCCATCAAAAAGTGGGTGAAGGACATGAACAGACACTTCTTAAAAGAAGACATTTATGCAGCCAAAAAACACATGAAAAAATGCTCACCATCACTGGCCATCAGAGAAATGCAAATCAAAACCACAATGAGATACCATATCACACCAGTTAGAATGGCAATCATTAAAAAGTCAGGAAACAACAGGTGCTGGAGAGGATGTGGAGAAATAGGAACACTTTTACACTGTTGGTGGGACTGCAAACTCGTTCAACCATTGTGGAAGTCAGTGTGGAGATTCCTCGGGGATCTAGAACTGGAAATACCATTTGACCCAGCCATCCCATTACTGGGTTTATACCCAAAGGACTATAAATCATGCTGCTATAAAGACACATGCACCCGTATGTTTATTGCGGCATTATTCACAATAGCAAAGACTTGGAACCAACCCAAATGTCCAACAATGATAGACTGGATTAAGAAAATGTGGCACATATACACCATGGAATACTATGCAGCCATAAAAAATGATGAGTTCATGTCCTTTGTAGGGACATGGATGAAATTGGAAATCATCATTCTCAGTAAACTATCACAAGGACAAAAAACCAAACACCGCATGCTCTCACTCATAGGTGGGAATTCAACAATGAGAACACATGGACACAGGAAGGGGAACATCACACTCTGGGGACTGTTGTGGGGTGGGGGAAGAGGGGAGGGATAGCATTAGGAGATATACCTAATGCTAAATGACGAGTTAATGGGTGCAGCACACCAGCATGGCACATGTATACATATGTAACTAACCTGCACAATGTGCACATGTACCCTAAAACTTGAAGTATAATAAAAAAAATTGAACAAAAACAAAACAAAACAAAAAAATAAATTAAAATCTTGATTTTGAACCTGGAAAGTAGTCTTATGATATCTCTATCTTTTTGTAGTTGCTAAACTGAAAAGTACTGTCTGTTCTCAGAGATATCACAATCTCATCAGTAGATTCCATGGGCTGGCATATTTGACTGCAGTTAAATCCATTCTTTGTGGTCTTCAAAGTGAATCTTATTTCATGTAGTTCCGAAAAGGAGAAGAGATAATTACATCTAACTTGAAGGCTTATTGAAGAATCCTTTAAATTACCTATGCCTCTCTTCATTAAGAAAATACAAGATAATTTGAATCTAGCTAATAAATTAAGGCTTACTGGAAATAACGCCATACAAATTAGTTCTGAAAATTTAAGCAGAATGCTTTTCTCACCTTGTGGGAGACCACGAATTATCAATTCATAGCTTCGTGTTTACCTTGATTATGAAAACCAAGAGTCAGAAACAGCATCACTGGAAATGTTCTTCATAATGATGTGTAAAACTTCTTTAAGTGACTTCCTTCTCAGTTCACCAGTTCACTTATTTTTTATACTGTAAAATAGTGTTTTCAACTAGAAATATTAACTAAAGAAAAATTCAATCATCGCATTTTTGTGATTCACTGAGAAGAACTATAAAGAAAAGGGAAGAGGGGAGTTATGTAAATTCAAGTATTATAATTTGCAAGATTGCTTTACTGTTACATTCAATCATGCATACATAAGGTAGAATGATTTTGTATATGCCTTATGATAACTAGTTAAAATCTACCTCCCCAGCCTTATTATTATCAAAAATGGCATCATCTCCATACACATAATAACAGCTAGAATCAAAATATCCAATTACTATGTAGATAATAAAAAACAAGAATAGGAGAAATAAAGCTACTCTTTCATACAAAATGTAACCTTTCCTTGGTTTGCACATTGTGAATAAGTCAGAGGAGCTTCACACAGAACAATATTTTGCAATACATTGGTAAGGAGAGGAAATTTATCACAGAAGTTAAGGGCCCTTGCTCAGCAACCAGAATGCCTGAGCTGCATTCCAGATCCACCAGTTGTGTGATTCTGAGCAATAACCTAAGCTGTTCCATGACTAAATTTCTCCATATAGATAAGGAAAATAATTGTCCCTGTTGTTTAAGGTATAATGAGGTTTCTATGAGTCAGTGCATACAAAATGTTTAAAAAAGTGTCTTGATATAGGAAACAATCAATAAGACTTCTTAATATTAATTTGTATGATTGAAGGAATAAAAATTTTAACATTGGCTTTGGCCACATAATATTTATAATATTGGTAATGGGAAAATATCTATTTATCACATTTTAACATGCATAATTATCATTTGAGGAAAATTTATTTAATTAATTTATTTGGTTATGTTTATATAGTTATTGTAACATTGAGAAATATTGAACTTGGCCTCTCAAAAACAGAGACTGGATAAGGCATAACCGTCAGCTGTATCAACAACCTTCTGCCTTCCACAGAAGACACGCTGGAGATAATTGATGGGCTATTTGAAGAAAGACGTGCACTAGAAAGTGGAACTGGATTTCTGAATATAAAAAAAAAAATTTGAAATCTGACTGTGGAGATCCAGCTGTGTTTCTTGTGATATATATGTGAAAATACTAACCTCTTAAAAAAACACCATTAAGGCCCTCCATTACTCTGGTAAATTCATAACAAACATGAGATTCTTAGTTACTATTAAGCGTTGCCATTACTCTGTTATTTTCAATATAAGCTAAATTACTATTTTCTAGAGGGAACACCAAAAAATGTCAATTTTTAAAATTCATTCATTCAACTCAGTTGAGTAGGAAATAATAAAATATTGCTGCCAGAATGTCTTTTAGATTTACATTTATATCAGCTTTTTCTCTGTTAAAACAAAGAGTGTGCCAAGCTACAATTCCATAAATGTCAAGTGGAAACATGCTCTCACAGTTTAACTGTGTGAACAGTCCTGCATTTTCTATGGGAATACAGAGGATCTGTCATTATACAATCTTATTTCATTACTAATTAGTCTGTGATATATGAGGATTACAAAATCTGCAATGAATATAATCCCATGTATCCAATATAATTTTGCTTCTTACATTGAAATTTTTCAGGGAAATCAAAAATAAGCATACTATAAGTGAAACAAATTATTTTTATATTGACTAAAGCTGAGGGAGTATATTAAAAAATTCTAAATCTCTAAACCTAAATGTATATGTTTTATATTTTTCAACTAAGTTAATTAAAATGTCTTTTTCCCCATATTTCACTGAGTGAAGAGTGAGCATTTCAGAAGGCTTTAGAATACAAAGTTGAGTTTGACATCAAAGTGAAAAGTGGTGACATTGTATTATTAGATTAGTAAATAGTGTCATTAGAATTTAGACACTTTGTTTTTATACACCACTAAATCTTAACTCCTTGTTAAACATATGGTCTTGATTCTATTCAGAGAGAAACTACAATGGTGTCTGCCAAATATTCACAACTTGAACTGCAGAATAAAGACAATATTTCTATGTAAACTGTGCTCTCTAGGTAATAAATATATAGGGATCTATTTATCACCAAAACAACCGCTATTATTTCATAAACTGTTTTTGGCAGCTTACAAGTAGGTATTATTTTAAGGAATTATTTATAATATAGTTCACTTATTTACTTCATGAAAAACACTAAATGAATACATATTTATTTAATAAAATATTTGTTTTCAAATTTTTAAATGATTGTCTTTAAATTAAATATAAAGAAACAAAGGAGAGATAAAATTTACTTCTAGACTGAAATAATACTCTTGGATGACAAAGAACATCGAGAACTTTGATGAAAGAATAAATTTGGGAGAAAAAAAGAACAGTGAAGTAGAAGAGACTAATCATATAGAAATACTGCATGTGAATAATCAACAAGCAGGAATCTAAATAGGGAAGATACAGATTTTAGCACAGTGATATAAGTTACATAAAAAAATTGTTGTCATGATTAATAACTACTTTCATAACAGAAAGTTTTAACATAACTGACTGTTTTAGGTACCAACTCTATAGTAAGAGCTGCTTACATGTTAAGCAAAACATTGTAAAAGCTAATACGATTGTAAAAATCATGAATGGAGTTTTATCAGTGGGAACCAAGACAGAACCTCCCGGTAAGAGTGCATGCCATTCTTGAATAAATGACCAGAGTTTTAAAAATGTTTTCATAATGCTATTAATAATTGTTAAGGGCTATTTGAAATGCATCTATTATTCCAAGAATAGATAGTTAGATGGGTAACTATACGTAATAATATTTAAAAGCATAGATT
Source organism: Homo sapiens (assembly GCF_000001405.40). Taxonomy (NCBI): domain Eukaryota; kingdom Metazoa; phylum Chordata; class Mammalia; order Primates; family Hominidae; genus Homo; species Homo sapiens. Next base: position 42,422,416 of record NC_000014.9, on the reverse strand, counting down.
TTGAGTATGTATAATAATCTTCAATGCTTTTGATACACTGGTTCTATTACTTTAGGAAAGATGTGTTTTCATCTATAAAATAAAGTTAATATTTTATATCCTATATGTATAGGCAGGCTTAATGCAATTAATATACCTAAAGCTGCTATTAATAACATATGTTTGTTACATAAAATGACAGGTGTTACTATAAAGTGCAACAGGTAATTTAGTCTAAAATACTTAGATAATAAAGTAAGACATGGCTTTGTGTGTTGCCTTTTCTCTTAATATCAATCCTAATTACCTGTCTTTATTATGTAGACATAACCTTTATGTATTAAAGGCAAATATACAAACATTGGACTTTAACTTAAGGGGTCTTTGATTAATACTGCTAAGCATTAATTTAGAAAAACAAAATGTCATGCACCAAATAACTAATAATGTGATGAAAATAATGAGATACTCCTACTGACTCAAATCCCATCAAAAAATCATCTTCTCATAATCATTATGAATCATCTTTTCAGAATGAACCTGGAGGGCATTATGCTAAGTAAAATAAGCCAGAAACAGAAAGACAGAAACTGATACTGCATGATCTGACTTACATGCTGTCTTATGGTTCTCTGGAAAGACAGAACCAATAGGATGAATGAATGGATAGATAGAAAGAAAGAAACATAGATAGATGGATAGATAGAATAGATAAGAGGGAATATACTAGAGGAATGGGCTCACAAGATTCTGAAGGATAAGGAGTCCCATGATGGATTACCTGGGAGCTGGAGAACCAGAGAGGCTGATAGCATGGCTCAGTTCAAATCTCAAGGCCTGAGAATCAGGGAGGCTGATGAGGTAATGCTCAATCTGAGGCCGAAAGCCCAAGAGCCCAGTGATCCGCTAGTACAAGTCCTGGAGACTAAAAGCCAGAGAATTTGGAGTTCAAACATCCAAGGGCGGGAGAAGAAGGGTGTGCTGGCCACAAAAGAGAAAATTATGATTTACTTTTCCCAGTACTTTTTGTTCCACCAAGGACCGCAGCCAACTGAATGGTACTTGCCCACATTGAGGGTGAATCAGTCCACAGATTCACGTGACAATCTCCTCTGAAGCACCCTCTCAGACGCACACAGAAATAAGCATTTACCAGCTATCAAGCCCCCCGCTTAATCTGATCAAGTTGGCAGTTAAAATTAGCCTACACATATGTGGAATCCAAAACCAGAGAGTAGAAAAGTGGTTAGCAGGACTTCAGGTGAGGGGAAGGTAGGGAAAATGGGAAAATGTTGATCAAAGGGTATAAACTTTCCGTTATAAGATGAATACTTTCTGGAAGCCTAAGGCACAGCATGATGACTATGAAACACATTGATAAAAATGTATTGTATGTCTGAAATTTGCTAAGAGAGTAGATCTTATGTATTCTCACTGCTAAAATACAAAAGTTAACTATTTAAGGTGATGAATATGTTAATTAGCTTGATATTGGTAGTAGTTTCATAAAGTACATGTACATCAAAACCTCATGTTGTACAACTTCTACATATACAATTCTTATTTGTCAATTATCTCAATAAAGCTAAAAAACCCAAATAATTTGTCCAATAACAATACTAAAAAACAAAACATGTTGCCATAATAAAGGTACATGACTGCTTAATTATATTTTATTATATATTATTATCTTCTTATGCCACTCCAGTTTTTACAAAATTGTGTTCTAACAAATCTGCAAAACACATAAAGTGTACTGACCTTACTAACATAACAACAGCAGATAAAGACTGTTGCCTTAAAAAAAAGGTAAGTACTTGAAACATTTGAAATTGATATCAATATTTTCTCTGCTTTGCAAGTAGAAAAATGTGCTTATTTACACAATGTCTTTACCTTAAAGAAAAGCATCTGTGAAAAGGCAGACTTATTAAGATAAATTAGAAAGATACTATGAACATTTAAAAGGTTTAAAGATAAGTTATTTAACAAGTCATTTGAATTGTGTACAGTCAATATATAGTGATATAATATGTAAATAGTAAATTCATATATTTTAAATGGCATGTCTTTATTCTGAAAAAAATTTACCATATCAAACAAAACATATCAACTTGCCATTTTATAAATGAGTTAAATACTATAGGTGACTATATTGCAGCATATTATGACATCACAAAAAAGAGAACACATTTTGAAATTATTTATCAAAAGTCTATAAGAATAAATAAGCATTTATATTTTTACTTATATTATGTCAACATCATCTGGCTATCTCTGGTGTTTGCTAATCTTTCCATTTAGGCTGCAAACCTATCGTTTCACCTTTCTTTCTTTAAATTTTTATTTTAGCTTCAGGATTATATGTCCAGGCTTGTTTTATAAGGAAAATCGCCTGTCATGGGGGCTTAGTGTACAGATTATGTTGGTGATAAGCATAGTACCCAATAGGCAGTTTTTTAATCCTCATCCTCCCTCCCTAAAATAGGCCCCGGTGTCTGTTGTTCCTTTCTTTGTGTCCATTTGTATGCAATGTTTAGCTCCCACTTCTAAGTACAAACATGCAGCATTTGGTTTTCTGTTCATGTGTTAGTTCACTTAGGATAATGGCCTTCAAATCCACCCATGTTGCTGCAAATAACATGATCTTGTTTTTTATGACTGTGTAGAATTCCATTATATATATTTACTTTTGCTTTTACATTTACTTTAACCAATCTAAAGGTGAACATTTGGGTTGATTCCATGTCCTTGATATTGTCAATAGTGCTGTGATGAATATACGTTTGTATGTGTCTTTATGGTAGAACGATTTATGTTCCTTTGGGTATATACCCAATAATGAGACAGCTGGGTTGAATGGTAATTCTGCTTTGTGTTCTTTGATAAATTGACAAACTTCTTTCCACAATGGCTAATTTACATCCCCACCAGCAGTGTACAAGTATTCCCTTTTCTTCACAAATTTGCCAGCATCTGTTATTATACTGCCATTGACCAGTGTCAATGGAGCAAAAAGAACAAGCCAAAATAAAATAAGTTTAGGCTGAAGACCAGGGAGCAGATTATGTAGGATCTTATTTATTTTTCTCAGGGTGATAGGAATCCATGAGAAGTTTTTAAAGCAAGAAGTAATGTGATCTTGTTTAAAGTTAACTTGTTTTAAGTAAGAAAAATAAAATAACTTGCTTAGACTATTGTGGGAAGTGATGTTAGCTTGGACAAATATGATACCATAAAAATTATAGAGATCTGACTATATTAAGGATATAGATTCCAAGTACAGCTGACAGGAGCTTCTTGGATAGAGTTTGAATGTGAGAGAAAGAGGCAGTTTAAGGATAACCTGTCCCGGCATTTTGAGGTCTGAGTAAGTGATGCTAATTACTGAATTAGAAAATACTAGGGAAGATATGGGTTGGAATTGCTTATTAATATCAAAATGAAAATGCTTAGTATGCAATTGACAGACAGAGCATAAGTTTGTGACAAGGCTTCTCTTGCTGTCATTTATATGAATTATTTTCTTTTCCCTCAAGCATTATTTTATTATTGTCCTCTGTAGTGGAGACTCTCAATAAAACTCAAAGACTATTAGTAATATTTAAAGCCATGAATCTGGGTTACATTACACAGCCAGGAATTTTTATGAAGAAGACTTCTTAAGACTTTGTCCTCAAAAGTTCTATCATTTACTAATTAGGAAGGAGAAAATAATCCAGCAAAATAAATGAAAATAACATATAATGAGGTATGAGAAGCTTATAATGATATAGGAGAAAACTAGTATTGTGTACTGTACATTAAGTAAAACACATACTAATAAAAAGGAAATGATCCATGCTGAATGCTGCATGGCTGAATACAGTGAGGACTGGGAATTGTTCTTTCGATTTGATAAAATGAAAGCCATTGTTGACAACAGAAAATATTAACGGAATTGGAAGGACATGTCAGATTGAAGTGGGTGTAAGATAAAATAGGAGGTAAAATTATTATACTGCCAATCTGAGCAGTAACTTTTGATGTTAAACTCAAAAGTTTAACATCATGATGTTTAACATGATGTTAAACTCAAAAGTTCCCTTTGTTTTCTCAAATATTTTTCAGAATACACCAAAAGCTATGTCTCCCTGGTTTCCAACCTGACCACAGGAATAGTGTCTTTTCTCCAAATTCTCTTTCATAGGACATTTGTTCAAAGCTGTATTTTAGCATTAACAACATGAGTTTAGAATGACTACATTGCTCATTTACATTGATAAAAGAATTTTGTAAGAAGCTATATGGTTTGTATGACATAAATCCTTTGCCCCAAATATCCTACTGCTTTTAATTTTCTTTGTACATATTTATGCAAACTGCATATTTTTGTAACAAAAAAATCCTTTGTTAATTTGATGTGTTCTTTCTGATTCATCACAGTTATTTTCCTTTTAATGTTTTATGTACTTCTAAGAGACAAGATGCCAAGGTATGAAATCCCTCTAAGCTTTATTCTGCAGAACCTATTTTGTATGCTACTAGTGCCAAAACATGCTGTTTAAAATGATAGTTGAATTATTGGAATCAGAAAAAATGAACTCATTTTTAAGACCTCTCAGAATAAAAGTAGGTCACCATGTTTTATTTCACTTTTTTGTATATATATATTTTTAGTTCTGATCCACTGAAGTAGTGAAAAATGAGGGTTCTTGTAGATAGGTGGTAATCCACATCCTCGAAATTCAATTTGCCACTTAAAATATGTGACTAACACAAAATAAAGTTATGCTTAAGGCTGTTCAAGTAGAATTATAAGGTTGTATAAATTAATCTATTTCTTAGAAGCCTAAAAACTATTTTACAAGTTCTAGTTCCACATTTCCAAGTCCTTGCTAAAATATATTCTTGGATAGTTTGCTGTACCTTCAAAGCTCAACATGCTTAAATTTGACTCATCTTGAATCCCCATGGCAAGACTCTCAATCTTTTCTACTTTTGGGGATGATTATATTTCTCTAGTCAATCGAGTTCAAAATTATGAATACTTTTCAAACTCTCTCTTCATCTTAATAGCTAATATTTTGCCAAGCTATGTAAAATATTTGAAATGCATTTATTAGCCATGCTTTGTTTTCTATTCTCATGGTGACTTTCCCAATCCAAGTCCTTATTTCCTTATTTCTACACTAATGCAAAGCCTCTAATTGTTTCCTTGCCTCTAGCTTTCCTCCAATCCTCCCTGCACATTACTAAAAAATTAATATTCCTAAAGGATAGGTTTTTATTCTCTAATTCCTCAATTAGAAGCATATAATGAATAAATGAATAAAATTCAGGCTCTTTAGTCTGACATTAAACTGTGTTCATATTTTTAACTTGTTTTCTTCTGAGTTTTATTTGCCACCAACTGCTCTTAATAAACAATGCTACCCAGCTCAGTATACTCTTACAAGTATCAAAATGCCTATTTTAAAACCACCTATATTTAGTAGTATTTTTTCAGTGATTATTAAAATACAACTACAAGTTAACCCTCCACAAATACATAAAAATATTATCCATTCAGATTTAACTTTCTTAACATTTGCAATTTTTAATATATCTTAGTATTCCACAATTAGCTGTGAAAGTCCCTTGTATACTTTTGGAAGTCGTTAGGGGAGGTAAAATAATATATCAGTGATATGAAGGTTTGCTTTTGAATATTTTGAGGAGGTTCAATGCTTGAACAAAGAATGGCTTTCACTTAAGTTAAATTAAATACATTGTGGATTTGTCAAAATTAGTAGATAATAATTAGAAAATAATAGCTATTATTTTCTAATAATTATTAATTAATTATGTGGTAATATTGCCACTCATTATGAAATATTTCCTGAATTCTGCCAATATTAAAGTGCAGAAGAGAAGCTACAATGTTAAAATTAGAATCATTAATAGACAAATAAAATTAAAGTAAGTTTTTAAAACTTATCTCATACCACATCTCAATCATACGTGTACCTGGTAAATTCCTATTTCTAACCATTATGTTTGTGTGCATGTAGTTTGAGGAAAACGTAGCACAGTAAAATATGTCACATAAGTATGAACTAAGACTATTAAATTTTTAGATTTAAATTTATCAATTACTTTTATTTCCAGTAATATATAGTTTTTCAAATAAAATACTACATAGGAGTAATTTTTAACATCATTTTAAAATGAATTTTAGAATAAAGTTGAAAATGTTTCAAATATGTATTTAAAACAGAGGAAAAATTAGTTTTGTTTATCTAAGCCACATTATTAGATTTAAATGTGATTTTTATGGATATGGTCCAGAAAATAAAAGCAAATTATTTTATTAAAAATATTATATGACATACGTATCATCCGGATATTACTCTAAGTCTGGGATTTTCACAACAAGCAAACTTTCTTAAAATAGAAATACAGATAAAGTTGCTTAGTGATTCTTAGTGGCATGAAGACAATTTCATATATTTTGATAGATGATCATTCTTTAACCTCCTGAATACTATAATAAAAGATTAGATTATCTTCTCTTAGCATACACGAGAATATCTATTAGGTGATAGCAGCATGCGTTTCCTTCAAAATTGTGGAAAATTGCCAGTGCTTTGAGAAACAGAACATTTTAGTTTTGTAAGAACAAGGAATGTATGTTCTGTGGCCGCTTTGGTAAACAAGCCCCAAACACAATACATAATGTCTGGTAAATATTAAATATTCATTGAAATATTAAATGAATGACTACAAAAATACCCAAATGACACTCAAAAAAAGATAATATATGTAAAAAGTGGAATATGTTCAGAACACCAATGATAAACTCCTTTCGTATGCTTTTAAGTTCTAAGTCCATTATCTTAAACTGTCTAATGTTATTACAACTCTCCTTTCTAATTACATTAGTCATTTCATCACCTTTAGTATGACCCACTGAATCTCTTTCCCCTACCATATCCTATGGTATTCACTATTACCTTTTACTTGATATTTTTCTGTTTTGTTTTTTGTTTTTTGTTTTTCTTTTGCTTCAAAGCACGTGGCAAAATTACAGTTGTCTTTGGGTGAATCCATGTGAATGGGTTCTAACTCTTTTCCTCTGGGACAGAAACTTTTGATGTTTGAGATGGAGCCTGCTCTGTTAGCTTGGGTCTCTAACTAAGTTTCTGTGCTGATTGGAGATGACAAATAATGTTAGAAAAAAGATAAACACTCATTGTTTTAAGCCACCGTGAATTCAAGGCTGTCCTTTATTGCAGCATAAGCCAACTAATCCAGTCGTGTATGTCCGTAAACAAGTAATTGGTCATAACATTCTGGAAAGTAATTAGAATCCAATGTTCATTCATTCATTTATTCATAAATCTATTGTATCAATTAATATTGATTAAATATATATTATGTTCCAGGTGTTATTCATTGCACCATACAATGAGGGTGAGAATTATCGACTTTTTATTTCATCTTTCAAGCTCCAATCTATATGAGAGGTTGTCACATTTTATATATTCAACAAAAATGTTTTAGGTTGGGCATGTTGGCTCACGTCTGTAATCCCAGCCCTTTGAGAGGCCGAAGTGGGTGAATTGCTTGAGCTCAGAAGTTCTAGACCAGCTTGGGCAACATGATAAAACCCCATCTCTACCAAAAATACAAAAAAAATAGCCAGGCACAGTGGTGTGTGCCAGTAATCCCAGCTACTTGGGAGGCCGAGGTGGGAGGATCGCTTGAGCCTGGGAGGCAGAGGTTGAAGTGAGCTGATACCACATCACTGCATGTTCACCTGGGTGACAGAGTGAGACCCCATCTCAAAAAAAAAAAATGTTTTGCATGAATGAAAAAGAAATGTAGTAATGGATGCTGGGTGGAACAGACATTAATGAAAAAAATCATAGAAATAAAAATAAAATTATAACTACTCTTTGCTAGTTATTGTGAGGATGATTATTTTAGCAAGCATTTTTTAAGTATCCTTGGAGTATAAAGATGTTCTTTACCTTAACTCTTCTAACAACTCCACTAATCAATAATTATAATTTAAATTATTCACAAGTATAAAATTATTCACAATTATTACATAATTGTGAAAACAATAGTTTAAAAGTTAAAATGAAAAGACATGTTACTTGTGAAATATTATAGTTCTAGTATACAGACCTATTGTTTCCAAACTTGTGCTATTTCCATTTTGCTAAGATACCATTCCATTTAAAAAAATGATATTAATAAGAGTTAGGATGATATAACTGTAGTACATATTTCAAAATATTTATAGTCATTTCTAAGGAAGACGTTTTAACATATAGTAGAACATCACCATTACCATTAATAGGTAGTGTAAACTTTTTTCTCAATTACGAAAAAGACTTTAGATAACTTCTGACTACCCATTCATGTTTCGGTGGACTTCATATTAAAATGGTATTTTAAGAAACCCACATGAAGGAAAAGCATAACATTCCACCATAAATATAGATACACTCTACATTATATAACAACATTCATTGTTAGGATAATGGAACTACAATATAAATATAAATTACAGGATATAACCAAAAGATACCACTTTGAATGGGGGAAAAAAAACAACATGAATGATGGAAAGGGAAGCCTTGTCACAAATCTATGACCTGTCTGTCAGCAAGATATTCAACCAAATAGAATTCAAGGAAACCTTAGAATCAAGGGTCTCAACGCATATATATTTTCACAAAGACATTGTAGTGCACAGGACAACTGAACTAGGAACAGAAGGCCCCTCAGATTTCACTATAATCCCTCAGATGCTGATTCCAAGTTTATTGGAACAACTAAGTTGGTTCAACTTAGTGTTTGCTGCCAATCTGGTTCCAGCTCTACAGAGAAATTTAAAGACCTGTACAGAAAAAAAAGGAAAGAAAAACAAGGATTCTCAGGCTTGTCATCTGCAGAAGGGTCATAATTAGGAGAGGGCAGATAGATTTACAGTTGAGAGGAGGAGAGCGGTAACAAAAAGACAAATATAATCAACAAAATGGAGAGTAGACAGTTCTAGTTTCCAGAATGCATGGGTAAGAATATCTGAAAATTTGGTCCTCAAGAAAAGCAGTAAGAACATTAGCAAAAATTATGAAAATCAGATTTTAAAGAAATTTGGCAATTAACAAATAGGACACAACAATATGAGGAGCATTTAGTCAAGAAAAACACTTGGATATTAGTATGAACATCACAATTTACAGAATTTTAACTTACTGTATTCATATTCCTTTCTGCACAGCTTTGCAGTAGCACTGGAAACCAACAACCTTGAAATCACGCTGTAAAAATTATCAGCATAGCAATTCCCAGAGAAAACGGAATGGATTTGATTTAGAGTTTCTCAAGAATTCCACCTTCAGAAAATTGTTACTATTTGACTTGTCTGTCAGTTACCTGGAAAGGACTTTTTTTTTTTTTAATTTGACCTGACTCAGAGTTCACTCAGTGTGAATAATCTTTTCCTGAGGCATTTTCCAAAACAATCAGCAGCAATTGTTTAAATTGAAGAGGGCTGAGAAAGTGATAATGGTTGGGGCAAAGAATAAGACCAAAAACCATAAAAGAAAAATCTGGGAAATGAGTAGCCTGTAAAGGGCTTTCAAGAGCTTTGACATATTCCTGGGAATGTGGAAAAACACGCATATTGCAAAATGGTGTGCATGCCCAAGAAAGACGTTAGAAAGTTCTTATATTTCACCTGTAGCTGACACTGAGGTTCTGTACAAACAGAAGGCGTGAAGGTTTAGAAAATATTTTAAACTACTTGCCACAACATTGAAAGTGTGTGCCAGCACATACACTGAACCTCTTGACCAAGGTGGGGAGACCTATTGGTGCAGGGCATTTAAGGAAATCTTTGCCTAAACATCAGCTGAAAAGAGACATCAGTAGTAACATATGACACACAATAGAGATATTGTGAGGTTCAGGAATGTTACTAAAAAAGCAAACAGCAACCACAGCCAACACTTGGGAGCAAGAGAGCTGATGACTACAGTTGTAATTTTTTGTTATTTAAAATTTCCAGTACTCAACAAAAAATTATGAAAAATGTAATGAAACAGAAAAAAATATTTCCAGTATGAAGTGGGGGGAAGCAATTAATAGAAAATACCCCTAGGAAGCCCAGTGAATAGATTTACTAGAAAAAAAACTTTAAATCAGCTATTATAGGCTGGGCATGGTGGAACCCACTTGTAATCCCAGCACTTTGGGAGGCTGAGGTAGCAGGATCACTTGAGCCCAGGAGTTTGAGACCAGCCTGGGTAACATAGTGAGACTCCTCCGTCTATATTAGTCTGTTCTGATACTGCTGTAAAAAAATACCTGAGACTGGGTAATTTATAAAGAAAAGATGTTTAACTGATTCACAGTTCCACATGCCTGGGGAGGCCTCAGGAACCTGAACATCATGGTGGAAGGTACCTCTTCACAGGGCGGCAGGGGAGAAAATGAGTGCCAACAGAGGAAATGCCAAATACTTTAAAAAATATCAGATCTCATGAGACTTACTCATTATCATGAGAACAGCATGGGGAAACTGCCCCCATGATCTAATTACTTGTAGTGGTGTATGCTTGTAGTCCCAGCTACTCGAGGGGCTGAAGCAGGAGGATCAATTGAGCCGAGGAGATTGAGGCTGCAGTGAGCTCTGGTCATGTTACTTCACTCCAACATGGGTGACAGAGCAAGACCCTGTTATAAATGTATTCAAAGTACTATATAAAACCATATCTAGAAACACTGAGAGCAGGATAATAATGTCTTTTCAAACAGAGAATATAAATAAAAAGAACAAAATTATTTTTAAAAGATATCTAAGTCTGAGGTTGAAAATACAATCACTGAAAGGAAAAATCACTGCATAGTGGGGCGTAGAGGCATATTTAAGCTGCAAGAAGGATGAGTAAACTTGACGATAGGTCAATTGAAACAATCCAGTATAAACTATAGACAGAAAAAGAATAAAGAAAAATGAATAAAACCCTGAAATGTGTGGAACATCATTAGATCATCAGTGTACCAACTTTTGGATAAATTACAGGAGGTGAGGAAAGAAAGAAAGCTTCAGAAAGAATATGAAGAAAAATGACTGAAAATGTTCAAAATTTAATTAAAAACTTTAATCCACACATTTAAAAAATTCAATAAACTCCAAATTGGAAAAATTTAAAGATGTACAGTAGAAACATCATAATCAAATGATCAAAAGACAAAGAGAAAACTGAAAGCAGCAAGACACAGGCATCTCACCATTGAGAACGAATCTTCAGCAAAATCAATGGCTGACTTCTCATCAGCAATTATGAAAGCCAGAGAACAGTGCCACAATATGTTCAAAGTGCTGAAATAAAAAGACTTTTGGCCAGGCAGGTGGTGGCTCATGCCTGTAATCTCACTACTTTGGGAGGCTGAGGCGGGCGGATCACCTGAGGTCAGGAGTTCCACAGCAGCCTGACCAACATGGAGAAACCCCCTCTCTACTAAAAATACAAAATTAGCAAGGTGTGGTGATGCATGCCTGTAATCCCAGCTACTTGGGAGGCTAAGGCAGGAGAATCACTTGAACCCAGGAGGCGGAGGTTGTGGTGAGCCAAGATGCGCCATTGCACTCCAGCCTAGGCAACAAGAGCAAAACTCCATCTCAAAAAATAAAAAAATTAAAAAAAGACTTTCAACAAAGAATCTTACATACAGCTGAACTATCCTTCTCCCCAAAAAGGACTTAGGACACTTCCATGTAAACAGGACAGAAAATCCTTTGCTAGTAGATATGCTGTAAAAGAAATTCTATACTGAGTCCTTCAGGCTAAAACTGAAGGACATTAAACATTAATTCAAATCCACAGAAAGAATTGGCACTGGTAAAAATACACTGGATTGATATGAGAAACATACAAAATGTACATTTTTGAATATACCTCTTTTCTTATTTTACATAGTTTAAAAAATAACTTCAAAAAGAAACAATCATAAAACTATACTGATGGGTCATAATGAATAAAGATATAATTTGCACCACAATAACAGCATAAAGGAAGAGGAAATAATGGAGCTATACATGATAAATGTCATATACTACTGAATTTAGGTTGATATTAATTCAAATTTGATTATTATAAGATGTTAAGTATAATCCCAGGTTAACCACTAAGAAAATAACAAAATAAAAAATATATAGGAACACAAATGATGAAAGAATTGAAATGGTAAAACAGAAAATATCTATTTAAATAGATATTTAAATAATATCTATTTAAATAGATATTTAAATAGTATCTATTTAAATAGATATTTAAATAGTATCTATTTAAATAGATATTTAAATAGTATCTATTTAAATAGATATTTAAATAGTATCTATTTAAATAGATATTTAAATAGTATCTATTTAAATAGATATTTAAATAGTATCTATTTAAATAGATATTTAAATAGTATCTATTTAAATAGATATTTAAATAGTATCTATTTAAAATAAGGCAGTAACAAGGGAATAGAGGAATAAGAAAGATAGACATAAAAATTGCAGAAGAATAGGTGAAAATCAACCTTTATCAGTGAATATTAAATGTGTATATTGCTCTTTGTCTGTACTAATAAATTCTGTCTTAAAGGCTATGTTGTCTGATTTTATTGTGCCACTACAAGCTCTTTTTTGGTTACTATTTGCATGGTATATTATTTTTATCCTTTTACTTTGAATCTATCTGTGTTTCGAATCTAAAGTGTGCTTTAAACAGCATATATTTGGGTTATGCTTATTTATCCATTCTGCTAATTTTTGTTTTTTCATCTTAATGTTTAATTTGATTACATTTAACGATAGCATTGTATAAAATTGGCAATCCAAGCAGTAGTAAAGAATACAAACAGTAGTAGAAAATATGATTACCAAAATAGGGACACCATGGCATTGAGCCATATCTGCACAGAAGGAAAAATCTCAATCTTTGAATTTGGGTTTGGCATGAAGTAATTTCACTAGGTCCCTGAATGGATCACTCAAGGTGACATTAACTTATAACTGAGAAACAGTGAGAGTGTTGCCTCTACATATATTTCCATGTCTAGCAAGCAAACATTCGAAACTTATGTGCATATTTAAGTTTGATGTTTGCTTTAGTTTATATTGTGCCTCTATAACAGAATATGTGATACTCAGTAATTCACAAAGAACAGAAATTTATTTCTCATGATTTTAGAGTCTGGGAAGATCAAAGCACCAGTAAGTGTGAGAATCTACTCTCTGTTTCCAAGATGGTGTCTTGAATGCTATGTCCTTCAGAAGAGCAGAACAATATACCCTTATAATAGTGGAAGGTGGAAGGGCAAAAAGGGGGCCAAATTGTCTTCATAAAAGCTTTCTATAATGGCATTAATCTATTCATAAGAGCAGAGTCCGCATGGCCTATATGCCTCCCAAAACACCCTACCCCAACACCGTTACATTGGTGATTAGTTTCAATGTGAAGTTTGGAGGGAAAAGCAAATCACAGCAGTATTCAGTACATATCTTTCCTCAGTGAGAAGCCTAGCTCTTGGCATTTTTCTAAGAGTAAACACGAGGTTGTAGATCATGCTGTTGGTCTCAGATATTTCTATCAGTGGAAGGAAATCCATGGGAAATGATGAAATAGGATAACTTTATGCTCCAAGGAAGGCTTTATTAATGGAACTAAATGTATTGGGTCTTATGTCAAGGGTTGTATATTTTCCCAGAGAGCACAAGCCAGTGAGAAGGTAAATGAAGGCATGCTAATCACACAGAAGAAAACAATCCAGTGAAGCACATAAAGTGCCTCTCAGAATTCATTTAGCATTAATATGCTGTTTCTACTTTAAATTCACAGCATCTGTGCAGGAGACAGAATATCGTTTTAGAGAGCTAAAGCAAATTGCTAGGGGGAATCCATCTGAGGATGATGTGCTAAGATCTTTAATAGCGAATGAAAGTTTTTGATATATTTGCTTGAGTCAGCTGCATAGGACTGTTTGGCAATACCTGTTCATATATGGAACAGGAATGAAAAAAAGATTTTAACCCCCTTGAATCAAATCCTGCTTGTTGGGTCAAAATGTCATGTCTAAACATATTACCCAGAATGAGCCAGAATACATTTATTTTCCCTCTGACCACTAAGTTCTGCTGGGGCACAAGGTTTACCAACAATCTCCAAAATTGCCACAGGAGGGTTCTGATTGCTACTGAGGATCTATGTCAATATCTAAAACTTGTAAAGGAAATGCATAGAGGATGCACAGAACTACACAAGGCCCAGTGAGGATGGGCATAAAAGGCCATCACAGAGGTGAATGGACACCCAAATTTGTGTCTCTCCAAACATAATCAACATGAACAATACAAATTGCCCTTCTACCTACCTTGTTTGTTCCCCCCGAAAAAGCGATTTAATTTAGAGATGTGGGGTAACATTAATTCCCTGGTTTCTGAACATCACCAAGAGCAGGAGGGTGGTCATGAGACATACCAGCATTTTAAGTGTGCAAAGCTGACAGGTCTGGCTACTTAGCGCTAAAGATGTCATTGTTGTAGTAGCTTCTGCAATTCTTTCTTGAGCAAACATCTCAACACTCAACAGTTCCCACTGAAAATATCAGCAGAGTCTACAAAAGGGTTCTCATCAAATGAGAGGTCAGTCACATTAGTCTGAGAAAAAGAGCACCCAGAGTGGTTTTATTGCTTCCTGGATTATTTCCAGAGCTTCTTGCTGCAGGAGCCCTATGCAGCCTGTCTGGTGACTGGTGAAGATACGGTAGTAAAACTAGTAGGTGAAGAATGTCCGACTATTTGTCTAAATATATTACAGTATTTTGAGAGAAAAAAAGAAAAACCACATTAATATATTTTTTGTACACATACAAATTTATGATCATGTTTAATTTATAATTTAGGCACAGTAACAATAATAATGATAGACTAGAACAATTATATCAACATATTGTAATAAAATTTGTGTGAATGTGGCCTCCTTCTTTTTCTCAAAATACTATAATATTTTCTGACTGTTGTTAACTGTGGGAAACTGAAACTGCCGAAAGCAAAACCACTGGTGGGGGAACTACAGTACTTACACCTGAAAAATATCTTTCTGTTTACTAGAAATTAAACATGGTGACTAATTAATATGGGAAAAGTAATACTGTTTATATTATTTTATAAGAGTTATAAGACATAGCACTAGCACTCACAGCAGGACTCTGGGCTTTAAATTGCTCACATTTGCAGAGAGTTTTCAAAGAACCATTTGATTCCTAAGAACTGAAGTCTCAAAATCATTTCTTGAAAAATTATTCACAAGGTATTATGGTTAATATTAGATGTTAACTTGGTTGGATTGAACAGTGCTTAGATAGCTGGTAAATTGTTTCTGGGTGTGTCTGTGAGGCTGTGGCCAGAGGAGACCGACATTTGAGTCAGTGGACTGGGAGAGGAAGACCCACTCTCAATGTGGGAGGGCACCATCCGATCGGCTGCCAGCTGGATAGAACAAGGCAGGTGGAAGAAGGTGAGATAAGTTGGCTTGCTGAGTTTTCTGGATTTCATCTTTCTCCCGTGTCGGATGCTTCCCGTTGTTCCTCATGCCCTTGTACATCAGACTCCAGGTTCTTTGGCCTTTGGATTCTTGAACTTTTACCAGTGGTTTGCCGGAGGCTCTCTGGCCTTCAGCCACAGACTGAAGACCATATTGTCACTTCCCTGCTTTTGAGGTTTTTGGACTGGGACAGAACTACTACTGGGTTCTTTCTTCCTCAGCTTGCAGATGGCCTATCATGGGGTTTTGCCTTGTTATCCTGCGAGCCAATTCTCCCTAATAAGCTCCCTTTCATATATGCATATATCCTATTAGTTCTGTCCCTTGGGAGAACCCTGACTAATACCGAAGACATTGAAGTAAACTTTGCCACTGAGTTGATGCCTTTACTTTGAAGTGACAGAAGTCTATATGCTGACAACCAAACTTTTGCACATATGCAGTTGTTATAGCCTTAAAGATGAATATGAGCCCTACTTATTTGTATGTTAATGGTAATTTTCTCTCCAGTAAGAGTTCACCAACTGCCAGAGCTCATCAATCTTTAATTACTTTTTTGATTTTTAAGTTATTTAAAACTTGACGATAAGTAGAAAATGAAGACCAGGGTGGAGTGTAACAGAATGTATCTGAAGTGGCAAAGTCCATGGCTAGGTCACAATAGTGGTTAAGTAGGGGCCAGGATCTAACTAGAATAGGGAAAGGACAAATCTCAGGACAGAAGACCAGTTTTCTTTTTTTTTTTTTCTTTTTTTTTTTTATTATACTTTAAGTTCTAAGGTACATGTGCACAACGTGTACCTTTGTTACATAGGTATACATGTGCCATGTTGGCGTGCTGCACCCATTAACTCGTCATTTACATTAGGTATTTCTCTTAATGCTATTCCTCCCCACTCTCCTCACCCCATGACAGGCCCTGGTGTGTGATGTTCCCTGCCCTGTGTCCAAGTGTTCTCATTGTTCAATTCCCACCTATGAGTGAGAACATGTGGTGTTTGGTTTTCTGTCCTTGTGATAGTTTGCTCAGAATAGTGGTTTCCAGCTTAATCCATGTCCCTACAAAGGACATGACCTCATCCTTTTTATAGCTGCATAGTATTCCATGGTGTATATGTGCCACATTTTCTTAATCCAGTCTGCATTGATGGACATTTGAGTTGATTCCAAGTCTTTGCTATTGTGCATAGTGCTGCAATAAACATACGTGTGCATGTGTCTTCATAGCAGCATGATTTATAATCCTTTGGGTATATACTCAGTAATGGGATCACTGGGTCAAATGGTATTTCTAGTTCTAGATCCTTGAGGAATCGCCACACTGTCTTCCACAGTGGTTGAACTAGTTTACAGTCCCACCAACAGTGTAAAAGTGTTCCTATTTCTCCACATCCTCTCCAGCACCTGTTGTTTCCTGACTTTTTAATGATTGCCATTCTAACTGGTGTTGAGATGGTACCTCATTGTGGTTTTGATTTGCATTTCTCTGATGACCAGTGATGATGAGCATTTTTTTCATGTGTCTGTTGACTGCATAAATGTCTTCTTTTGAGAAGTGTCTGTTCATATCCTTTGCCCAGTTTTTGATGGGGTTGTTTGATTTTTTCTTGTAAATTTGTTTGAGTTCTTTGTAGATTCTGGATATTAGCCCTTTGTCAGATGAGTAGATTGCAAAAATTTTCTCCCATTTTGTAGGTTGCCTGTTCACTCTGATGGTAGTTTCTTTTGCTGTGCAGAAGCTCTTTAGTTTAATTAGATTCCATTTGTCAATTTTGTCTTTTGTTGCCATTGCTTTTGGTGTTTTAGTCATGAAGTCCTTGTCCATGCGTATGTCCTGAATGGTTTTCTTCTAGGTTTTTAATGGTTTTAGGTCTATCAATTAAGTCTTTAATCCATATTGAATTAATTTTTGTATAAGGTGTAAGGAAGGGATGCACTTTCAGCTTTCTACATATAGCTAGCCAGTTTTCCCAGCACCATTTATTAAATAGGGAATCCTTTCCCCATTTCTTGTTTTTGTCTGGTTTGTCAAAGATCAGATGGTTGTAGATGTGTGGTGTTATTTCTGAGGCCTCTGTTCTGTTCCATTTGTCTATATCTCTGTTTTGGTACCAGTACCGTGCTGTTTTGGAGAAGGCCAGTTTTCTAGCCAATGTTACCTCTGTCTGTAGCCTCACCGGTATACTAATTTGATTATTTATATTTCTCTCACTCCCAGTGCAATGGAAAGGTCCCATTTCAAAGAGATAATTATATGAGAAGAAGTATTTTTGTCTCCAGTAAAAAGTAAATTTTCTTGAAGTATACATCTACTGAAAGTTTCAGTTGGGAATGAAAGCTTCAAAGAAACAATAACTTCTGTATTATTAATGCAGCAAACTACATTTTTTAAGAGTAAGCATCAATTTAAAGGCCGAAAATGGTAAGCCCCATATTTTTAAATGTGTAACTCTTCTTATACCTGAGGAGACACATTTAAAGCTCCTCAAATTGACTTTTCCCCACCAAGGACAATATAAGTTACTAAAACTTATGCTTTTGTAGAAATTTAAATTTGTTTCTGAATTCTTAGCTCTTTTATTGGATACAATTTTATAGTCACTATAGCTTAATTTTTTATGTAAGGGTTTTCATTATCTTTTATTGAATAAAACATGGCAAATACTCTTCAAATAAACTATAGAAAAATGTACTTCCACTATTTTTAGTTATGTATGGTATCATCAGTTTATTTCTCTTTCTTTCTTCCCAGAAAGTAAAATTTCCCACAAACTTGTAAATATCATGAGATTAAAGTACATTAACTCAATAAATATGCATATTTGTTTCCTAGATCCTCTTGGTAAATGAGGTATAAATACCAAAACTTAGGAAAAAATGACTTCTGTTGAGCTCCTACATAGAAAGGTGAACCAAGCAATAATAGACAAGGCATACTATGTGGACAATTATCAAAGAATATTTATAGATGAATCAGTAAAAATTTCTCCACTGTTTATACCTTTCCGAAGTTTAAAACCTTTACTCATAAGATAGAGTCCTTATATTTATGGTTTAAGAGTAAATGAGCTTGCTTATTTATTGAAATTAGACATTATTTTAAATCCGCTGATTCTCTTCCTTGAGTAAAACAAAGTTTAAAATTCCACATTTTACAGGTGACTTCATATGGCACTATTCTCAAGTTTCTTCTCTTTTCCATGCAAGCCACACTAAGCTACATGTCACTCTGCACTGGAACTTTGAACTTTTGTATCTTTGCTCTGTCAGTTTGAAACATCTGTACTCAGCATATCCTTCTAGACAGGGAATATTTCTATGAATTCTTCTAGAGTCCCGGATTTTTCACTTCTGATGTGAAATCTTTCTTGATAACAGTTTCAGAGATTGTCTTTCATTTCTGTAATTTTATCTAATGGATATATCCTTAATTGTATCTCCCTATGAATCTGGTAGGATCTTTTACTTATAAAATTTCAACCACCCGAGACAAGGAGAGAAAAAAAAACAAAAAACAAAAAAACAGAAAACATAGCCATCGTGAGAGGTTGAGTGGAAGGACTGCTTGAAGCCAGGAGATAGAGGCCAGCTTAGGCAACATAGTGAGATCTTGTCTCTACAGGAAAATAAAAAAATAAAGATAGCCAGACGTGGTGGCATGTAACTGTAGTTCTAGCTACTCTGGAGGCTAAGGCAAGAGAATCATTTGGGCCTAGGAAGTTGCAGTGAGCTATGGCATGCCACTGCACTCCAGCCTGAGCAATAGCGCCATACTCTGTCTCTAAATAATAATAATAATAAATTAAAAATATATATAGTTCTTGAGGCAAAGAATTGGAGGCCACATTACTACCTATATTGATTAGTAATGTCTGAATTTCATAAATCTTTTTAGTGTATAGTTATTTACCATGCAACACAATATACATAAATTCATTTTAATCAATAAACTTGCCTTTTCAATCTCTTTATTCAATGTTTTAGTTAAAGTTCCTGGAGTCAATATAAAAATGCTAGAGGCTGAAATATTTTCTCAAAACTGTCATCAGTAGAAATATTTGTTATGACACTAGAACTCTCTCTGAAAATCACAGATAATAAAAAAATGTTTAATGTTTATGTACCAAAAGTACACTATTTTATTACAAATAATGTTTTTGACATATTTCGACATTTTACCGACTTAAGAGAAAGCGAATGAAATTAAAATCAGCTTTCAAAAGTTAAACTAGAATGTCTCTACTATAGTTTTCAAAAATAATAGATGATTATCTTATGCTAAAAATGTTATGTGCCTAAATCAAGAAGTTTAGCAAATATTTTAGAACCTTCCACTGAGTTTTACCTGAAATTTTCATGCAGCTAACTGACAGTCTGAGTATTGAAACAATGCCATTCTCAAATAGGTCATTTTGTGACTGGTAATTGCCTCCTCCTATTTATTCATTCTGTCTTGTCTTTCTAAGATTGAGCTTGATTTTCTTTGGGAGACATAGCCAGAAACAATGCTCAACTTAAAAGTCTCCCTTATTATTAGTTATGTCTGTGGCGAATGTAGCTCAAAACAACATATATAAGAGTCATTTCTGATTTCTGATTTCTGGGCAGAGATTCTAGAAAATTCTTAGGTCAAATAAGTAAATTAAAGGTGGTAACACCTCCAGATGCAGCAGAAAATACAAATTATCTCTAGAAACAAAACACAAGTAGTTTCATCAGTTTGAATTTAGTTAAGTATCAGCTAAACATAAAACAAAAGCAACAAAAACCAATACAAACAAAATACAAACACAAAAAGGAGCAAGATTCAACAGAAAAAAAATAAAATTGTCCTTCAGAAACATCAAGTATTAGAATTACAAATAAGGTAAATTGCCACATATGGATTATCCGGATAAATAAAATGGCATTAAAAGTTGACCAAGGAGCAAGATGTTATTAAGCATGACAAGGCAGATTTTTAGAATTTTTTAGAAATAAAAAATACTAGCAATATTATTGAAAACTTATATAGCAAAATAGGCAGAGCCAAAGAGAAAGTTTATAAACTTGAAAATAGATTGGAATATATTAAGCATAATGCAACATAGAAAGATAGGAAGCTAGGAAATACGAACAAACAAAAAATATCTAATGTTAAATGCCAGAAGATAAAGAAAAAAATATTTTTGTTAGTAAAAAATCTTATAATTAGCCCGAATATTTTTCAAATATAAAGGACTGGCCTAAGACTCTGACCTGGGGAAGCCTACAGCCAAAGGAACCTGAGTGGAGCTCCCTTGCCTTATGTCAGGGAAAAGAAAGAAGTCTGTTTTGCAGAGTGCCTGCTTTCCAAAATTTGGAGAAAGATGATGGGCTAGTTTTTCATAGCTAATATGTGAATCCACAGAAGAAGGCTGAACTGGGTTCTTTATGGAAAGGTATTACAAGAATACCTGACTGGATGGGCAAGGTAACCCCATGAGATAGATGAGTCATTGGAAACCAAGGGGCAAAAAGGAAGTTATAAATAAAAGGCTGAGAATTTATCACTATGTGAAGTGAACTTATAATGATAAAAGTTCAATGGAGTAAGACAGTTTCTAAGCAACCCCAAGAGAGAATGAGCCAAAGATCATATATAATTACAGCATCGAAAAACGTACTAACAAGAAGTTAAGGTCACAAATGTCCTGGCTTTCTTTTTACTGCCTCTCTCTGGTAGAGCTCAAACTCTCAAGGGACCTCGAACAGCCATAGTAAGTGGAGGAAAATGTGAACCATCGTCACCTTTCCCACTGCAGGTTTTTCAGATTTAAGGTAAACCTGAATTGGGAAAGTGTGTCAGTTATAAAACAGCTTGGAGTTATGTGGTCATTATATTGGACTAGACTTTTAAATAATTAAGAATAATATGAATAATGTTTTGACAAGGGACAAGGGCTGATAGCAATTAGAGAAAAATAATCAATTGCTTTATTCCTGTACCCTATCTAGTTAATCTAGTTTAATAAACTGGTTATAGTGCACATCACCCACATCATGTTGGACTCCTGTAGGTAGCTGGCAGGACCACACATACAGTGTCAAGGGCAAAGAAGGACAAACTATAAAACCTAAACATTTATCCAAACTTGTTATTTATCTTATTGAAAATTAGTAACCAGCTCAATCACTTATTTAGTGTATGACTACAATATTTCTGCATTAGTTCACACATTACGACTAAACAGAGAATTATGGGCATTTTTTAGTCAATCATTTCCAACTATTTGCTCCAAACTTTATCCTAACCAAATAAAAATAGCTATTATTTAACATGAATAATATCAGTTATTTCTCCAAATCACTTTCAATAATTTTTTGAACTATTTCAACAATTTAGAATTTAAACTTAGTATTTAAAGAAAGATTTTGATTACTTTTTGTTCTAGTTATCGAACTGGTACATGAATGGTAGAAAAATTAGAAAGCACAGAAAAGCAAATAGTTTTCATGTCTTAGTGGCTGTAATCTTACCAACCAGAAATAAGCAATGTTAAAAGTCTTGAAATACATTTTCCTCAAGCTTGGAATGCATTTTTTATATAATGGTATGATACTATTTATCTTTTTTATCTTAACAATATATTGACATTTTCTCATTACTATAGATAATATTTCAGCATGATTTTATACTAGTTTTATAGCACTCTGTTATATTGGTATGCTACAATTATTTAACCAACTCATTTTTGGCCACTTAGGTTTTTTTTACTTGTTCACATATATAAATTCAAATATGATGAAAGACTTCATTATACATCTCTGAAAATCCTGTTTAATAATTAAAATTATTATAGCTCAGAAAAGGCTAGTATTCAGGTTTTAAGATTTGTAAGTAATGTCTGAAGGGTGTTGTTCTTTCCAAATCTCTAAATTGACTTGTACTGCCTAGCTATCACAGTGATATGCAAGTCAAAACTACTGTATTGAATATTTGAGAATATGGAATGCTTTCTGAAATAAACTAATTTACATTTTTAAGACTCCTATCTAGTACCCACAGTAATTCTTAACTAAGTTTAGTTCAGTTTTGCTCTTACACAAGACAATACAATGGAAAGCAACAGATTTTAAAAGCTGAATTATAAGCAAAAAAAACCTGAAATATTTTATATGCCGATTTTCTTCATTTTGCATGACACAAAAATAGTTCTTTGTAATCTCCTCTAAAATGGTTACTTTTAATAATCGTTAAGCAATTTTTTCAAGAAATATTTTTTCCTTCATTTAAAAATTATTTAAATGCAATTTTCTCTGAAAGAAATAACTTTATGAGATCCTGTTACACATATCTACCCTTAGCTATTTTCTTCTTCATCAAGTTTAATTCCAGCAACTCATAAAAGTGCCAATGTAAATGCTTTCCATTGATTCAGGATCCTGAAATAGAATTTTCAGTCTACCTCTTTTACCAATTGAAACTTAAACGAAACCATTCATATTTTATATGCCTTTTTCATATTCTGTTCTTACACAACACTATATCAATATCCCTAAAAATACTTTTATCACTTGGCCATTAGCAAATATTAACAAAGCAACTATTGTAGGGTTAGTGCCATGAGTAAAATTAGTTCTTTTTAGTTCAGCTTCATGTAAGCGTTACAGCAGACAATATTTTGATTCAGTAGTTCTCAAAGTTAGCATGCATAAGGATAAACTTGTTGAAACCCAGATTATGAGCCCCAGTTCCATAGTTTCAGATTCAATTAATCTGGATGCAGCTTGAGAATATGCATTTATAAAAATTTCCCAGTTGATGCAAATGCTACTTTTCCAGTGACTATGCTTTCTAGTTTTCAGGTAAATGAACTAAGGTGTCATGTTATATAGGCTTTAAAGAGAAACCAAAATGATATCATCTATAAAGTCCTTTGCAATTGTAAGTAAACTTCAAGCTCAATTACTCATTTTTATTTAGTGAATACCTATCATTTAAGCAAAGAGAAAAGATGTTTAATTCTCAATAGAGAAAACTCTTTACCATTCAGTATTTAACTTTTCAAATTTAACTTTCCAAATTGACTAATTTGGAAATTAAGGGTTTAATAAAAAATTATTTTGTTGTACTGTAAAGAACGGATTGTTAACTTTTTTTAATATAGGTTGTGTTAATATTTAGCCAATATAAACTTTTAAGTCATCTAAAATACCAGATTCTGGCTATACAACTTATTAGTTGGTTGATGAACAAGTCATTTCAACTTTCAGAGGCTCATATTTCTTATGTATAATGGGAACAATAATATAATAGTAGGAATGACATATTGTAATGATTTGCATCACATAATTGAAATATAATAGATATAATATCATAATAATGCATATTATTTAATATATGTGATAGAATGTCTGCTTAATGGATTGTCCTAAGGAAAAATATATTTACATAAGTGAAACTCTGAAAATAGTGTCTTTACATGGTAAGGTGGGTAGAGAGAATGACCTTAACAGAGGAAAGAGTTATAAGGATGAAAAAAAGCCAAATTTTTATTCAAGAATATGCTTTATGATTTTATTATATAAAGTTCAAAACAAGGTAAATCAAATATATGATATTAAAATGTATATTGTGTTAAATTTTGAGGTGGAGTGGGTAGTGCTTTAGAGTAGCATGGCATGTTTTCATTCTATTTTCCAACCTGGCTAGAGGTTACAATTCTGTTCACATTTTTAGGATAATTCATTGAGCTAAATAGTTACAACTGATGCACTTTTCTGTATGAAGATAATGAACTTTATTTTTATTTTTTTTTTATTGTACTTTAAGTTCTGGGAGACATGTGCAGAACGTGCAGGTTTGTTACGTAGGTATACACTTGCCATGATGGTTTGCTGTACGCATCAACCGGTTATTTACATTAGGTATTTCTCCTAATGCTATCTCTCCCCTAGTCCCCTACCCCCTGACAGGCCCTGGTGTGTGATGTATCCCTCTCTGTGTCCATGTTTTCTCATTGTTCAACTCCCACTTATTAGTGAGACCATGTGGTGTTTGATTTTCTGCTCCTGTGTCAGTTTGCTGAGAACGATGATTTCCACCTTCATCCATGTCCCTGCAAAGGACATGAACTCATCCTTTTTTATGGCTGCATAGTATTCCATGGTGTATATGTGCCACATTTTCTTAATCCAGTCTATCATTGTTGGACATTTGGGTTGGTTCTGAGTCTTTGCTATTGTGAATAGTGCTGCAATAAACATACGTGTGCATGTGTCTTTATAGCAGCATGTTTTATAATCCTTTGGGTATATACCCAGTAATGGGATCACTGAGTCAAATGGTATTTCTGGTTGTAGATCCTTGAAGAGTCGCCACACTGTCTTCCATAATGTTTGAACTAATTTACACTCCCACCTACATTGTAAAAGCATTCCATTTCTCCACATCAACAAATAGTAAATCTCCCACTTTGTAAATTAATTTTAGACTTCAAGTACAAATGGCTCTATTGACATCTCCACATCTTTGCTCCAAACACAAGTATTCAAAAAGTGCTTTTGTTATACTGTCCTTTTTGTTCCATCAATCAACACAACAAATCTGATCTTTCTTGTATTTGCTGTCTCTGCTGGTGACACCATTATCAACAAGTTGTCCCTATCTAAAAGCTTAGGTATCCTCTATTCAATTCTCTTTCTCACCCCCATATTTAATTAGGCACCAAGTTCCCTTGATACTTAACTATCTCTCAGATCATTTTATAATTTGTTTTCTCTCTTGGTCTCCAAACTACATCATTTTGTTTTCTGCCTCCCATTAGCAGACAAAAATCAGCAACAATAAACTACCTAAATTTCCATTCATGTGCCTTTACATATGTTATTTCTCTTTCTAGATGCCTTTCCCTCTTTTATCTACCTGATGGATTTTATTTATCTTCCAATTCTAGTTCAAGCATCATTTCCTCTACATTCTACTTACAAAGAAAATTAATAAGATTTTTTTCTGTTATCTTTGGGGCTTCCATATACTTTTCAAAAATGCAGCAATGGAGGATAATTGCATTTCAGTTCCTTCATGATCTGTTTTTCCTTGGCATCTACTCTCTCTTACCGTGGATATATTGAAAATTTCTAAGTCATAATGCATTTTCTTCACTATTACCACCTTCAAAAAGCATATCTTTGTAGGCTAAAACTGGATTCAACATACTACTTTCCTTTCCTTTATTAATGCTACATGTTTGGGGTTAAATGCAGGATCACAATCTTTATGCAATTCATAAATACATGTATGTATTAATGTATTTTTCCTTTTATATTCTGTTTGTTGACATCTAGTTGAACACCACGTTTGATCATAAGCTATAACCTGACATTTTATACAAAAGAATTCCAGATATATTATTGGGCTGTCTCTCTGAATTCAGACATAAGTATGCTATTTCTTTTCTGTGAGTGCCATTGTTTCTTATAAGGAACGAAAAATTCTGGGATACATTTTCTTTCTTGTAATATGAGGTCCAGTGTATCACTTGGTCAGAAAAATAAGTCAAAACTTCAGTAAACCCCTACAAATATCTGGTAGCTTGAATTTAATTGTTAAAAAGTGCTGCAAATCTTGTACCTTTTCTCCTTCCTGTTAAAATAATATCTTGCATTTGTGTGTTGGAATTTAGAGTTGTGAAACATTTCTACCTACATTGTGATTTTTCCCTCCTCTAAAATATAATCACATTAAAAACACTTGCCAAAGGTGAACATAAACTGTTAGATAAGCTTTTATTAAATTTAATGATGAGTTCCCTCTTTCTTGGAAACCTCTTAAAATTTACTGTATTTCCTGGGGACTTATTATTGCTTCTGAAAATGTGAGTGTCATAACATAGGAGGAGGGAGCTATATCATGTCAACAAAACAATCCATACTTCAATTTTCTGCCTCATCCATTTTCACTGATTGAATTAAGGAAAACACATTTAATAGTGTTTGCCAATTTTGGGGTTGGTTTTGACATGCCCCTTGAATCTGGTTTGTTTTCCCGTAGGAGCAAACTTTTGAAAAAAACAGTCCTTCATTGAATGCATAGCTAGGTTTAGGAATCTTATTTCTTATTAAAACTGATTATCTCTGACCTTAAATTTTCTCTAGTAACATCAAGCTAACCTCTGTTTCTCTTAACTCCATTAACAAAACATTTGAAGTTCTGTGGTTTCCCACTTGCTTGCTCTTTCTTTTATAATTTATTTTTGTGGACCAACTAAAGACATCATTTTTACATTATACAATTATTTTTACAATTTTTTTCACCAACTCTTTCACTGTTAATAAACTTTTTTTTTTCATTTGATTTTCTCTTTTTTCCCCCATGGCTTCTCTGCTATCAGTGGTTCAAATGGAAACGTTCTTTTTTTTATCCATAACTGCAACATAGTCACCTTTATATCTTATCATCCCTCAAGACTATTCCCATTTTCACTTTTCTTTCATACCCATCTCCAGCAATCTTGGCAAGGCTCAAGGATGAGCTTGTCATTTGGGATGAACTAGCTTAATGCAATTAGGGCTACTTTTTCTAAAATAAAAATAAAAACTTGCTAGAGAAGAGAGATTAATCTTTTGTCAGTGCATTAATTATCTAATGCTTCTTAACAATGTTATCACACTTTGGGTGCTTAAAATGAGCCATATGTGTTATCTTGAGTTTCTGTGGGTTGGGATTTCAGCTCAGGCTTACCTTGGTTCTTTGCTTCAGGATCTCACAAAACTGCAGTTAAGGTGTCAGCCAAAGCTGGATTCTTACCTGAGGCTTGACTGTAGAAAAGAACTGCTACTTGCTGAGAAAAGATATCTCTTTCTTCCGGGCTGTTGATCAGAGGCAGTCCTCAGTTCCTTGTCATCTGAACCTCTCCACACAGATGCTGACAATAGCCCAGTTTGCTTCTTCAAATCTAGTGAGGAAGAAAGAGTCTCCTCACAAGATGGGTTACAATTTTATGTACTGTAATCAGGTATACATCACTACTGTACCCCCTCACCTTTGCCATATCCTATAGATTAGAGGCAATTCATGGGTCCTATCAACAGCCAAGAAGAGGGATCTCACAAAAATGTATGAACACCAGGAGGTAGAGATTAGGGAGGTTACTTTGAGATTATCTACCACAATGGATATTAGATTCTGGATATTAGAGAGTTTTGTTTTGTTTTGTTTTTGGTTATTTATATATATTTTTTTCCTCCTTGAATGTGTTCATATGTCTGGTGAGAAGAATAATGACTAACAGAAGTAGTCCGGGAATTCAGGAGCAATACCTGGCCATATGGATAGGGGCTTGCTCATTTTCCATCAGGAGAATTCAGAACATAAGAGGTTTGATAAGCTTGAAGGGACACCACTATTTTGGTGCTTCATGGCTTAAAGAGTGAGAGAAAGTGAAACAATTCCTGATGTTTATATACAAGGAAACAAAACATTAGCTGAGGAGCAGTTGTGGGGCTTGCTAGGCATTTGGGAAGACAGCATTAAATATTAATATATCCAGAAGGAGACGGAATATTTATTTATGCCCATAGCTTAAGAAAAACACAGGTGCCTTTAGGAGATCCTCCAGCACAGGATGTGTGTAAAAGTGAATGCTGAAAACATATTTATTCCACAAAGATGCTCCCAGCTACAGAGTTCACCTGTTGAATTAGATGAAAAGCAAAGACATTTTCATTCTACCCCAAAGCACTGCTGGTACTGTAGCCAGTGTCATCAACATGGACACAGAGTAGGTAATGACATCAGCAGTTGGAGAAGCAAAGAAATGCCCTGGACAAGTCATGCAGAGTCATTTTTCTACTAATCAACCATCACCCATTTAAGAAGTGTCTTTATGGCCGGGCGCGGTGGCTTACGCCTGTAATCCCGGCACTTTGGGAGGCCGAGGAGGGTGGATCACGAGGTCAGGAGATCGAGACTATCCTGGCTAACAAGGTGAAACCCGGTCTCTACTAAAAATACAAAAAATTAGCCTAGCGTGGTGGCGGGCGCCTGTGGTCCCAGCTACTCAGGAGGCTGAGGCAGGAGAATGGCATGAACCCAGGAGGCGGAGCTTGCAGTGAGCCGAGATCGCACCACTGCACTCCAGCCTGGGGGACAGAACGAGACTCTGTCTCAAAAAAAAAAAAAAGAAGAAGTGTCTTTATTACCGCCATTGCAAGAATCCATCTAGGAGTTAAGAGTCAGGCAGGAGGAATCATGAAAAGAGGAAACACTTGGAATAATGGAAGGTAAGAGTGCGGTGGCTCACGCCTGTAATCCCAGCACTTTGGGAGGCCAAGGCTGGCGGATCACAAGGTCAGGAGATCGAGACCATCCTGGCTAACACGGTGAAACCCTGTCTCTACTAAAAATACAAAAAAAAAATTAGCCGTGCGTGGTGGCGGGCGCCTATAGTCCCAGCTACTCGGGGAGCTGAGGCAGGAGAATGGCATGAACCTGGGAGGGCGCCACTGCACTCCAGCCTGGGTGAAAGAGCGAGACTCTGTCTCAAAAAAAAAAAAAAAAAAAAAAAAAAAAAAGAGTGTAAGTTGATGACAATTATTGCACTTGACTGAAGAGTTGTCAAATACAATTCTAATAAGCATATTGGTTTAAAATCACTGTACTAGTGATATTAGTACATAATGATATTAAATTGCATTTAATCCCCCCCCCCCCCCCCACTTATCAGAAATCAATCCTGGAGCATTTTAAGGAATTATATATGGATTTTTTAAAATAAAGCAATCTTCATAGTGACTCATATTTGAGTAATGCTTTTTGATCAAGTCTAATACAAATCTCTGACTTTTGAAATGGATCAGAGCAAGCTTTTTTTGGTCATTCATCAGTCTTCTGATCCATTTTCAATGCAATAAATATGCTGATGTAGAAATCTCTTTGGTAGCCCCTTTCACCAAAGGTCGGTGCTTATGGATGAGGCATATTCACTTGACTCTTCACTCTGTATATTTATCGCTGCTGTCATGTCACTAAATATACTGTGATAGCTTTTCTTTACTCCAGAGTAGAGAGTGATTAATAAGTTATTATAAACATCCTTATTATATTCAGCCTTATTTCATATTTCTATAATCATACTGGAAATATCATGAATAGCAATGAAGTCGATTCCTCTAAGTAAGAAGCTGTCATCTGCAATAACAACAAAATTTTAAATAGGTGAAGACACTTTACTCCTACCCTGCTTAATAATATTAACACCAACGCAGATAGTCACTGAAAGAAAAAGAAATCCCATATTTGTTGATTGAATTGCATTCCTTCTAATGCTTCTTTTAAACATGTGAATACATTTTTGCAATTTTCAGTGTGCTCTTTCATACCCTAACACCTATCAAAGGCATCTTTATTAATAATTTATTTTTAATTGACAAATAATTATGTTTATTTCTAGGGTACAATGTGATGTTTTCATCTATGTATACAATATAGACAGATTTATTCAAGTTAATAAACATATTTGTCACATCACCAATGTATCATTTTTTTGTGGTGAAGACATTAAAAATCTATTTTCTTAGCAATTTTGAAATATAGAATACATTTTTACTAACTGGTCAAGGTGAACTGCAACAGATCACTATAACTTACCCTCCAGTCTAGTTGAAATTTTATACTCTTTGATCAACATTTCTTTCTACATTTTTCACATCCCCTGTCCCGGCCCTGGCCCCAGACTGTGGTAACTACTTTTCTACTCTGTTTTTATGAGATCTGCTTTTTTAGAGTCCACATGTAATTGTGATCATACAATATTTGTCTTTCTGTGGGTGGCTTATTTCACTTATCATAATGCTCTTCAGATCCACGTCGTCATGAATGACAGAATTTTCTTATTTTTTAATGCTGTACAGTATGCCATTGTGTATACATATCACATATTCTTTATCTAGTTATCTGTTCATGAGTATTTAGGTTGCTTCCATATTTTGGCTATTGCAAATAATGCTGAGATAAACATGAGAGTACAGATATTTATTCTACACAGACCATGTTCAATTTTTTGGGATATATACTCAGAGGGGGTTGATGAAACATATGGCAATTCTATTTTTAGTTTTATTGAAGAGCCTCCATACTATTTTTTGAAATGCCTCTGCCAATTTACAGTTCTGTCAACAGTTAATAAGGTTTCTCTTTACTCCAAGTCCTTGCCAACTTGTTATCATTCACCTTTTCGAAAATAGCTATTCTAACAGATGTGAGATATATCTCATTGTGGTTTAGATTTGCATTTCTCTGATTACTAGAAATGTTGAAAGTATTCTTAACGCCCTTCAAGACATTCAAGAATCCAGCACAGCCATTTCCTCTGAGTTGCCTTTAGTTGTTCTGATGATTTATCTGGTTTTCCTGTGTTTGTATTTTTTTCCTCACTGCATTGTCTTTTTTATGTCTTTGGTTAGAAGAGAATCAGCAAGTAAACCATACTGTTACTAGGCAGATTAGCTTTCCGCCCATTCTATGTTTTCTACCTTTTCAGACACTGAAATATTCACACTTCCAGCTCTTTCCATATGTTACCACTTAGCTTCAAGTTCACTGCTATATTATGTGCCTATAGCTTCTTCAGAAAAATGAGTCCCAGGCTCTGGAGTACAGATTTTGCTGATTTTTTTTTCTCAACTTTTCCTCCTCACTTCTTTTATACTTTTTCTTTTCAATATTTTCTTTTTTTCAATATCTCAATTTAAGTATTCTTTATTTTTATTTCTGTTATTGATCTTCTTTTTCCCTTTCTCTCACAGATGGTAGTATTGCACCTAAGTCTTTCCAACAAATAACAGTACAGTTTCTTCCACTATTTTATGCTAGGACAATTTAGGTCTAAGAAAAGTTATTTAATTTATAATGTGTCTAGAAAAGTTATTTAATTTAAAATGTGTCTTAACTAGCAGGACCAGGTGCAAATCATAAATTTTGAAATCCTCAGTTTCATTCAATTTCAATTTGTCAGTTCTACTTCCTTCTTCATTATACTTCACAGCACTCCTGTGAGAAAGCTGAATTACAAGCAATAAGAGGGCCATTTTCCAGACAGAGGATTTGAAGCAAAGTAGTTAATTGACCTGTGAGTGGAGAAACCACAGAGAATATAATATTCAATCAAGCAAGCCGCATCATCATAGCAGGCCAGAATGAGTCTTGATTAATGAGAAAAATGTAATAAATTCTACAGCAATAGCTTCATTAATTCATAAAAAGTAAAGGTTTTTGAAATGTTTAAAAATATAAAATATTGAAAAGAAATTATGTTCAATTATTTATAATTTACAGTTATTTAAACTATAACATAGTTTACAAGTTCTGTTAGGCCTGCTTTAAGTATTTGGGATACAAATATAGGTTCATATCCAAGTTGCCACTAAGCATAAGACATTAAGCAACTTAATATTACCAAACACATATTAACACAATTTTAAGTTAATGCAGTTTAAATAAGTGCATACATAACTGAATATATCATTTTAAGTATACATGTACATGCCATTCAAATACAATGAGACAGATTAATGTTGGCCTTTTTTGGTATGTATTATAGAATTGCAATATTTTACAGGGGTTCTGAGAAACAAAGGCCATAACAAAGCAAGGTGCTTTCAAAGGTACATATATTGTGTCCCTTTTGTATAAAACAAATCACTCATAGGGCTCCTTTCCATTCTCACTGCCCTAAATAATTCACTTACTAGAATCAATTTGTGTCAACTAAAAATAATTAAGTATATAAAGTAATTCTAGTACCTCCCTGTGCTTGCTCCTCTCACGCTCCACACTGGTCCCAGATTATGGCCCTAAAGTTTGTGACTGATTTAGTTTCTGACATATAAAACCATTTAATGACTTGTCACACGCAGAATAAAATGAAACTTCCAAGCAGAATATAAAAGCCCCATCACAATCTATTCTCACATTGTTCCTTCCTCAACTCCCATTATAACATAATATACCTTAATAAAACAAGACAAACACATTCAAATTTTATAGTCTGGTGCATTTATTTAGCTTCATGCATATAATAAGTAGCAGGAACAACAGAAATTTCCATTCCTTAGCAAAGTCGGAATGCATTTTTAAAACAGTGATATCAACTTAAAAAGTATTTTCCCCAATTCCTTCAAAATTGTACCAATCCTTTCAAATTCAGTTCACAATATAACTAATTTTTTTGATGACCATCTAAGTGCCTAAAATTACAACCGTTTCTTAATGCTTAAGATAAATCTTTGTCAGTCACACATAGAAATACCTATGACCTGCTTAAGTAATTCTTTATGTATTTTATAACATGGTTGAACATAATTGTCCATCTCTTACATTCCCTTCTCCAAAGTCTATTTATTCTTTTTTATAGCAGAAACAGTCTACTTATACTGGACAAAAGTCTAAGTAATTGTTACGGTCACTAATCTCATAACCATCAAATTCATTTCTACTTTGAGGAACAGTTCAAGTTGACTTATTGCTGTGTCTAAGTAATTAAGAACTAAAGAAGTTGAGAATTTGATGAGTGTTCCAGTGTAATCCAAGCATTACAATAGAAACAACTCTGAGTATTTTTTAAAAATCAGAAATTTAATTCAGGAAATTGGTCTCAGAGGATGAGAGGCTTCTAATGTAAAAGAACTAGACACTGAAAACTACAAACTAAAACTAAAAGACATTAAATCTGATGTAAATAATTGGAGAAATATACCATGTTGATGATCAGAAGAGTTAAAATATCAGTCCTTCCAAAATTGATCTACCCCTTCAGTAAAATCACAGTCCAAGCAGGCTTTTCTATAGAAATAAGCAAACTGATTCTAATAACCATAGATAAATTGGAAAATCCTAGAAGGAACAAAGCAAATATGAAAAATAAGAGAGAAATAGGGGAGCCAATACTTTTTTATTTTCATTTTACATTTTAATACAGGGTGTTTTGGCATGATTGTAGTGAAATAAATCAAAGACCAACCAAATATAATAAATAGATACAGATTTGACAGACATTTATCCAGATGGAAAATAAGCATATGAACATATGTTCAACACAATTAGTCATGACAGAAAATGTATGTTTCCGGAGAAAACTATAGTACACCTATTTTAGATACCAGCCTTGTTCATTGTTTTTAAGTTTCTATTATTTGCCTACAATTCAGATTGAATCCTGAATTCTTCCCTGGCTAAAAGTCTCCTAACAAACGTTTCCAAATTTTTCCTTCCATATTATTTTTGACATGGGCTCACTGAAAATAAATGCCAAATTCCTGAGGCCCTACAATGTGAAGCTAGTCAACTTGGCTTCGAAGAAAAATCACTGCTACAGCTTATATTTGGACAAACTTTACACACAGACTACAATCTAGGAAAATCTGTTAGATGGCCATGGATGTTTTCAGCTGACTGCCCTGCAGACTCTAGAGGACTAGCTTGTAGATGGCTCCATAAATTGACCTTTGTTCTTCCTCTGTTTTCATAGAAATGCCTCTTATTAAATCTGTGTGCCTGCATAATATTTAGAAGCCTAGCTTTTAGGGACCTTCTGCAACATCATCTCCTGAAACAAGACCTACTATTTAAATTGAATTGGCCTATGCCCAGAAGTGAGAGACTGGTTTAATGAGGTCCTTTACTATTTAGTTATTAGATTAACTCAGTTATTATTTTTCCACAACCACCACCTTAGCCTCTAGTATGTGAAAACTTCTTGGGAAATGTTAGGGCTCAGGGACTGATGCCCCAAGATATGGCACTTTACCTGCTGATCTGAAGAAGGAGTCTCAAGTTCTCCCTGACCTTTCCCCATCCTCTCAATCCTATGTCTCTTACAAAGCACAGGATGAAGTTGTTCTCTGACTTTTCCTTATCTGCCTAAAGAAGAAAACATGTATCTCTGGCCCTTTCTCTGAGTTTTCATTAACTGAACTCGTATTGCAGAAAGAAAAACTGAAGCCAGTCAACACACCTGGACAGATTTGTCACAAACCATTATCTGCCCTGCGGGCCCAACAGACTTTGTCCCAGCACGTTGTGTGAACTACAAGCCCATTAAATTCCCCTAAAATTATTTATGTTTCCCCCAAAATTATCCACACTTCCCCATCTCCCATTCTCCTAAAAAGAAGGGCATATAAACATCTGTATCCCTTTGAGTGGTGGAGTAATCACTTGTGATTTTCCCCACCATGCATGTTAATAAATTTGTATGCCTTTTTATCCAATTAATATGCCTTTGTCAGTTGATTTTCAGTGAACCTTCAGAGGCCTATGAGGAATTTTCCGTTCACTCATGTATAACATAAAGGTCTATTTTGGCACCATTAGCAAGCCAGAGCAATGAGCAGACCAGGGGGAGAATGGAACAGACAGACATTCAAAGAAACAAATGGATTGCATCCATTCTTTAACATAGAAAATAAAATAATATGCAGGCTTTCTTTTGCTGGATTTCTGTCAATGTGTAGTGTTAAAGAGTTGTTAGTTTCCTAACAAATAAATCATTTTTGTTTTAAGCACTAAGGATGTAATCCTTACTCCTTAACATGGAAAAAATATGCTACAAGTTATCAAGCTTGCTTTAGTGCAGGCCATAATATTGATTGAATAAACATATGATAATTGTTTCCCTTATATTGAAAAAAAAATATTCTTTTTTCTCTTCTTGCTTCTCATTTCTTTTTCAACAATTTATATAAACTGTCCATTTCTTAGTAGCAGTGTTTAATGAATATTTCTTCCAGAAGCTGATGGAACTTAGACAAAAAATTATCTCTGATTCAAACAGAAAATAAAGTTTATTTCTTCCATGCAATATTCTGTCTTCACAAAATTTGATTTTATCGAACGGTGCTAAACTTTATAAATACAATACTTAAAATACAATTACAAGCTTAATAAGTCAAACTGAAGGTTTAATGTTCATCTAAAGAAAGAAAAATATGTTAAGCATCACTATATACTACATTTAAATGTTTCTGATCTTTTAAAAACATTTATATAGTATGTATTCATAGCCCTGAAATTAGATTCTTTTGCAAGAGTTTGTCTTGATCTCTTGTCATAAATGAAACTTAGGTAAACATACTTTTTATAATGCTGGTGTGAAAAACAATTTTGCTGTCTTCAGAAAGATTGCTTGTTTGCATGATCATGGATGAGGTGAGTGAAAGAAGGAGATAGGAGCTAGGTCAGCCAGTTTTTCCGTATGTATTATAATTTTCACAATGTTTTTTTAAGTTATAAAATACATTTATCTTAATGCAAGACCACAGAATATTTCAGACATGTTTTCTATAATCGGATATTTTATATTCAACAAAAGAAAAATGCAGACATTTCTGGTATGAACACAATCTTAAGGTCCTAGTTAGACTAAATAAATTCAAGCTGTAAACCATAGAATATGACTGTCAAGCTGTGTCTAATAAAAAGCATAAAACTTGATAATTATACTTTGAAGAAAATATAGTGAAAATGAGTAAATTTCAGATCAAATAATAAATTTTAATTACTGGAATTTTCATGTATGGGAACACTAAGGGATAAGGTAAATCTCTCTGAAATTATAAAAGTTGTATTGATAGCTATTTGTGAAGTACCTGCATTTGACTCTAAACATCCACCTTCCAAATTGTTTTATGACTGTTGTTAATATTACTCTTACTACCCATATAAACATGCAAAACAATCAAGATCTACTGTATTGAGCTGTGGTTTTCATAAAGGATAATCAATCTTATTCAAATTTGCAAGTACTCAATGGATTAAAAGATATTTGCTAAATCTCATGAACATTTTGCTAGACTTAGCTCAAAGACATTAGAGATAGTGTCCTATGGAGCTTTTAAATTAAATATCAATTATTTTATAAATTATTGATTATGGGCTAGATGAGGTTTATCACCATGAATTCAGTTTCATTGATAGATTGACTCAAATAATTTTTTTTAATACCCAGAGACCTGGACATAAAAAATGGAAAGACAAACATGATAAATTGATGGTTGTTTTTTTCTCAGCAGGTGTGAGAAAGGACAAAGAGATAATATAGGTTGGGGACATTCACACCACCAAAAATAAATTTTTGTTATTTGGGTTTAAGTCTACTCAGGGAAGAAATTAAATACAAGAAGGGTCCTTTACATTGGGAGAAAATCAAGGGATCAACTAAGTAGTCGTTTATGGATGGTCAAATAATAAGTGCAATTGGAGGTTGTTAATAAAGCAGTGTAGACACAGTTTAGAGATGAAGCAACTGTTGTTGATGTTATGTAGAGAATAATATGGTTGTGTATTTAAGTAGCTGAAATAAAGTACAACTGAAATGTTTTGGATTAAGGAGGTCAGAAAATAAAATGTACTATGCTGTAGAAGTCCCTGTAAGGACATGCAAATCAATAGGGACAGTGTTAGATGTTATGACTTGAGATAGAGAAGTATAATTATTCCACAAATCGAAATCTTCCACATATATGAAACATTTTTTCAAACAAAACAACAAAAATGCATCACCAAATTTCATATGCCATGAATGAGAAAGGAGGTTTTGCAAGAATATGACATATAGATGTCTTGAAGACACCTCTGGAAATCTAGATGAATGTACTCTCTGCTCCCTTGCCTTCGTAAGAAACAAGAGATTTATCCTTGAGAAGACTGAGGGAGAAGTTGAGAGCCAGGTGAAGAAAAGGAAGATTTGGAGTGATTAAGGTACACCAATTATGATTTCCTCTTAAACAAAAGGTTCATAAAGTATAAAAATGTAGGGGTAAAATAAAGGAGTAGTAACTATGATGAAAAAAGAACAAAATAGGAAAAATTAAAGATGAGAGTACAGTAGGGAATATACAGACTGAAAGTAATGTTTAAGTTTTCTGAAGTAATGAAAACATTGGCTTTAAGCTGGCTTCTACTAGCCTAGGGGTAAAGAGAATTTTCTTCCCTCCCACTTCTGAAGTTTTGATGATTTTAGCCTATAAAACAAATGGGAAATGAACAAATTAGTAGGAAAAAAGGCATACTTTTTTTTTTTTTTTTTTTAAGAAACAGGGTCTCACTATGTTGCTGAAGCTGGTCTCGAACTCCTTGGCTCAAGTGATCCTTTTGCATAGGCCTCCCAAAATGCTGGGATTGCAGCTGTGAGCCACCTTGTCAGCCCTATCCAAATTCATTAATGTGCACATAGACATGGGAGTTCCACAAATTTGAGACTCATAAAAGGGCCAAATGACTGAAGTTTTATACCAAACAAAAAGGAAAAAAGGCTTTGGACTTGAAAACAACCAAAGAGAGTGGTAGAAGAAAAGCTATGGTAAGCAAAATCTGTCTTGTTAAAAGATAAAATCTATTAAGTAGCAGCTCTCAGAAAGAATAGGTGGTAATCCGTGGTCAAAATTTTGGAGTCAGATTTGTAGTATCTTTTTACTGTGAGTTAATCTTTCTGAGATCTGAGTGAGTCAGGTAAGCGCGGCTGGGGCTCAGAAAAAGCATTTGCATTGCTGTTTAATTCACTTATGAAGATTCCATCTACAGATGTAAATCAGCACCATAACGAAAAGCATTTTAGAGCTCTTCTTGTGTATGCAGGACTTCTGAAGAGCCATCTTGAAACATGCCAAAGAAGTATATTTTGGGTGTCATATTTTGATTTTCTTCACCATAATTCCAAAGAGTCATATTCCATAAGGCAAATCTACCTATGCCCTTATTTACAAGTATTTTAAAGCCTTCTACAGGTCTCAGGATCACATCTAAACTCCTACATCTCTTTAGTATGACCTAAAATGATATTCTTTGAATAGTTTTTCAATATGCAGTATGCCAACACACCGCATACTCCAGTCATATCAAAACTATTGCTTCTGTTGTGTTTTTGATGGAATGTGTGTACTCTTTATCTTCTTGAACAATTTTCACCCAAGCTATAAGTCTTAGCTTTTGTTTCTTCTGTGAAGGTCATTCAGGATTGTCTCACTTAGAGATATAATTCCCCATGAATCTCTTATGTTTGTTCATGTCTATAAATTAATAATTATTTGTTCAGATTCACTTAAATTCCAGATAGATAACAATTCAATTTCTAGATATATTTAGGGGTAGTATTCATAAAGATCTTTCCCTTTCTCTGTCAAATTTTGCTTAAAATCTAGGGTAGTAAAGATAATGCTTCTCTCCAGAAAGAGGATAGGCACGTTTTCCAGAAGCCCTTTTATAAGGTTCAGGGTTTCCTAAACTGGGTGATCCTTGGCTTTGACAAAAACCCATGGTGAGCCCAAGTCTGTCTCTGCCTTGCCTGAATGGAACTTGGCAGCTAGGAGAATCAATGCAAGCAAAAAACTGATGCTGCCTGCTGTGCCTTAAGTAAAAGTAATAAACTATCTAAATCCATATCTAGGCACATTGTGCCTAACAAGTCAAAGCTATGGAAATGTGACAAGATTTTATATATGTATGACTCCAAAAATTTTATGAAAAATAGAATTAAAAGATAAAACTAAAAATGTGTTTCATCTCTCAACATTAGCTCCATCACATTCAAAACACTTTTGTATGTAATGATGCCAGCCATTTAGTCCATCCTTAAAGAACTGAGGGTTCTGGGAATTTAATCATGTCAATGCAGTCTTTTTACATTAACTGAAGAAAAATGAATGCCCTTTAAATATTTTTTTAAGATTAGAAAACAATGAATTCAGAAAGAGCCAAATCAGGAATGTAAAGTGGATGCCTATGAATTCAGAAAGAGCCAAATCAGGAATGTAAAGTGGATGCCTAATTATTTTCCATCAAAACTCTGCAAAATTGCCCTTGTTTGATGAGAGGAATGAGAAGCAGGCTGGTCATGTTGAAGACTCTAGTGAATCTTTTCCAGGCAGTTTTCTGCTAAAACTTTGACTGACTTTCTCAAATTATTATCATAATAAACAGATGTTATATTCTTTAGCCCTGAAGAAAGACAAGTAAAATGCCTTGAGCATCCATCAAAATGATTGCCATGACCATTTACTCTGGACTGGTCTACTTTTGCTTTGACCGGACCATCTCCACTTCTAGGTAGCCATTGCTGACAATGATTGGGCTTTATCTCCTGATCACACTGTTAAAGCTGTTACATCTCCTGTTACAATTATTCCAAGAAATGCTTTAGGATGTTGATCCCACTTTTAAA
Organism: Homo sapiens; assembly: GCF_000001405.40. Lineage (NCBI taxonomy): Eukaryota > Metazoa > Chordata > Mammalia > Primates > Hominidae > Homo > Homo sapiens. Next base: position 42,382,686 of record NC_000014.9, on the reverse strand, counting down.
ATTTTCGTTGAAACCTCTGCTTTTGTCTACAGCTCCTCTGGGCACAATGGTTTTGGCACCTATTGAGTGGAAGCTTTGCTCAACTTAAATTTTTCAGTCTTGCCTGTGTAAGCTGAACCGATTTAAATGTCTATGATGTTGGCTATTGTTTCTGCTGTTAATCATTAGTCCTCTTCAACTAGCGCACAAACAAGATTAATTTTTTTCTCGCAAATTCATGTAGATGAATTTGAGATGTAGATTATGAAACCTGCTTCAGGTTTCATATTCAACATCATCTCATTTCTTCTTAAAAGAAGTTATGTATTTGTAAACTGTTGATTTCCTTGGAGCATGGTCTGCATCAAGTTTTCACACAGCTGCAATGATATTACCATTCTTCCCCTTAACGTCACCATAAGTTTAATATTTGTTGCTTTAATTTTAGTAATTTTCATTTCTCTCATAAGGGATCTTTTCAAACTAGTGTCTTATTCTTCTTAGTGCCTCAAACTAGATCCTATTCAGAAAGTAATAACAAATTTATTTTGTTGCACAAAATAACATGCATAATTTTTCATATACATATATTTTTATTGAACTTTTTGAATATCCCTCTCTCTCTTCCTCTCTCTCAATCCCTCAATATATATTTATAGATAGATAAATAGATATATATTCAAATATTAGATAAATATATATTGAAAAAGAAAGAGAGACAGAGTGAGATACAGAGACAGAGTGATAACCAGAGTTAGAGAAAACTGGAGAACCTTAACTAAAGGTCTGTATTAGTCCGTTCTTGCATTGCTACAAAGAAATACCTGAGACTGGATAATTTATAAGGAAAACAGGTTTAATTGGCTGATGGTTCTGCAGCCTGTACAAGAAGTATAACAGCTTCTGTCTCTGGGGAGTCCTCAGGAAACTTACAATCATGGTGGAAGGTGAAAGAGAAACAGGCATGTCTTACATGGCCGGAGCAGGAGGAAGAAAGACAGGGGAGAGGTGCTACACAGTTTTAAACAACTAGCTCTTTTGAGAATTCACTATACAGTACCAAGGAGGGATGATGCTAAACCATTTATGACAACTCTGTCCCTATGATCCAACCACCTCCCACCAGGCCCCACCTCCAACACTGGGGATTATATTTCAGCCTGAGATTTGAGTGGAGACACAGATCCCAACCATATCAAGATCCAAAAATTACTTTGGACAAAATGACAATTGGATCTAAATCAAGTATTTTTAGAATGAGATTCAAGACCACATTGGTCCAACTCGAAACTTGTGATATCACCTCCTCTGCCTCTTAATAAGATATTGAAGGTGTTGGTCAATGCCAAAAACTCTAAAATATCAGTAAGAAATGGAATGTTAAGATAAATTTAATAATGTTTCAAATTTATTTAGAATGTATTTCAAGTGAGTAATGTTTGTACTAATACAAGTAATAATGTTGATTAAGAATTCCCCAATTAGCTAATAAAAGCAAGCTGCATTATTCACTTCCTTATTCATAAACTTGTCAGTATCACTCAAGGTCTTCAGAGACATAAAACATTATGAATCAATATCAAAGTTTAAGATAAATAGGCATCACATAGTCACCTCACAAAAATATCAGCAACCCCTAAGGTATCAGTGTTTTTTGAGATTTTTACAGAAAGATAGTGTAGAAATAGAAAGAATTCTATCATCAGTGTTAATGTGTAGTCTACTAACATGTTAACATGCTATTTTTATAGAAATAGGTAAGATTGCACTTTTTCCCCAACATCTACAAAAAAATTAAAGCAAAGAATAGAGAATAATGCTATTTTCACAGTTTACATCATTCTAGTTCGATATTTCTGTGCTCACAGATGGTTGCTTTATATATCTGGATGTGGAATTAAGTAAGAATGAATTCCAAGGTAACAGAAGGGGTTGTCATTAACATTTCAAACAGTTGTTAAGTTGCCTAAAGATATTTTAGTGCTTTTCCTAATATTTTCACAATCAGATTTGCCCTCAAGTTTTTATCACTAGTATTGAAAACAAACTAATTTCAAAGGTGATAACTAAAACACTCAGTCTTACTTTTTATTTATTTTCTTTCTTTTTTAATTTTTTTTAAATTTTATTTTAAGTGCTAAGGTACTAGTGCAAAACGTGCAGTTTTGTTACATAGGTATACATGTGCCATGGTGGTTTGCTGCACCCATCAACCTGTCACCTGCATTAGGTATTTCTCCTAATGCTATATCCCTCCCCCAGACCCCCACCCACCAACAGGCCCCGGTGTGTGATATTCCCCTCCCTGTGTCCATGCGTTCTCATTGTTCAGCTCCCACTTAGGAGTGAGAACATGCGGTGTTTAGTTTTCTGTTCTTGTCTTAGTTTGCTGAGAATGATGGTTTCCAGCTTCATCCATGTCCCTGCAAAGATGGTTGATTTGACTTGAAAGATTCACTGAATGTTTTTGGAGAGGAGAGCTTAGGGAACTAAGTTTCTAGAGTGGCATATAATAAAAAGTTTTAAAATTATAATATATTATCTATGTAAAAGTGGTCATATTTTATCACTGTTTATGATTTGTAATTAAATGTGGTGCTTTGAAAGAATTGGTCATGGTGATCTTCAAGACATTTTGCTCTAGGTAACAATACTTTCTACCATTTGCTCAGTTCCTCAGTAAATTAATATTTGCAAAAGTAAATGTGTATATGTTTAAATGTCTTGCCTTGTATACTGCATAAATGAAAGAGAATCAAATGTGTAATGATCTGTCTCTAACTTCTGCTAAAACATATACTTTTTGGGAATGTATAAGGAGGAATTATGGGTGCCCAATCAACAAGTATCAGTTTTACTGACATCTCCAAAATGTTTTTCTGAGTGATAAGTCTGAGTACTCATGGAAATATACAAGAATGGCTTTCTCTATCAAACTTAAATGGTCAACCCAGAGGTGACTTCCAGGTTTTAGTATATTAAAACATGATATATAATTATTGGCTATGGAAAAAAGGATGAAATTATTTTGTATGACTCACTAAAGCAAATCATTAGAAACTTGCAGTGGGGTGCATGTTAGCCAGGTGCAGCAGGGTGTTAGCAGGTACCAGAGTGCCTGCCTCCATGAGGGCATTTTCTACAGTGGTGGAGGCAGCATAGCTTAGCAGGGCAGAGGTCACCTGCTGGCAACAGCTCATGCAGTCACACTGGTTGTGGTGTTACTACAGGGGTAGGACAGTGGGAAGCACGCTTCTGTGTGTTTTCTCTTTTTGCCACAGGTAGGCGTGGTCGCTCAGGAGAGGGGAGGGTTGGCTGCCCTTTGTGCCCAGTTTCACTCTTGCAGCAGTGTTGGCACAAGGGTGGGGTACTGGTGGGTGCAGGGCTGACTGGCTCTGTGCCCACCAAGGCTCTGACTGCAATAGTGGTCTGGTTGGAGGAGAATGGGTGAGTGCATTCCCATCACAGTAGTGGCAGGTCAGAGTGCACACACACACATGTGCGCTGGCAGGACAAGGAAGGCAAACCTCACCTGTGCATTCATGCACCAGTAAAGCAATGTGGGGCTTTGCCATGGGCCCAGGGAAAGCTTCAGTGTGGGGAGGGAGTGGGTAGGCTGGTGCGTGGCAGTGGGGGCTACCCTGCTGGAGCTTTCTGCCAGTCAAGCATAGTCTACCAGCACAGAAGCTGTCATGCATGCCCCCAGGGCATCTGAGGCTACCCTGTAAGAAGGCGTGGCTAGGCTGGGGTCCTGAGAGAAGCCAGTAGACCAACGGGTGCTCTGGATGGGTCAAACCACCCTGCTGAGTTCAGGTCCCACAATTCCCCTAGGGCTAAAATATTACGGGAGCAAGTGAACCCTATGGGGTAGGGCGTCCCTGGCCATGTTCCACTACAGGTGTTCTCACAGCAAACCTTCTGGGCTACACATCAGCTGCCTTCTGTCCCTACCACTTCTCTAAGCAACTCTGCTTGCCAACTAGAGTGCCCATGATAGTCAAGGGGTATCCTTCTGCCAGGATTCCAGGGACCTGTGTTGAGAGCAGGTTATTTCTTATCAGTGCAACTCACCTGTTCCCCTGGAGTCACTGGGGACCAGGAACAAATCCTGTTTCAAGATAACCCTATGTAGTGTTCCCGGATTCCTCCCCATCAGCCTATCTCTGTGTCTTCCCTCCATCCACTCTCAATGCCTTCTCTCTGAAGGCCTGCTCGGAGTGTGCTAGTCATCTCTGCCTCTTGGTGGCAGCTGTTCCACCTGGCTGCATCTAGTAAGCCATCTTCCCCCATCACCAGGGGGGTTCTTCATTAAAGAGGTAATGTGGAATTAAGTTAAAAACTAATAAATATATTTAAAAAACTAATATTAAAAGACAACACTGGAAATTAGAAAACGGATTAAAATGAATAACATTAAATATATATCAAAGCTTATAAGATATAGCTAAAGCTAATTTCACAGTGAAGTTTACAGCATTAAAGGAATATATTAGAAAAGAATGCTGAAAATCATTATTACAAATGTGCATCTCAATACATTAGTAACCAACTGACAAATTATAAACAAAAAAATTAGAATACTATAAAAAAGAAGAAACTAATAAAGTTGAAATCAATTGTCTAATAGAGAAGACCATATTAGCTACAACTGTATCTTTAAAAATTAAAAAAAAAAAACTCTGTTAACACTAGGCAACAATCAAAAGAAAGAACAAATTTCTCATATAATTAATGAAAAAGGGATATCACATTAGATTCCAGAGTAATTAAAGTCATAATAAAAAGGTATTTTTAACTAACTTGATGCCAATTTATTTTAAAATTTATAAAATACAAATTTCCAAAGTGACTTAAGAATAATGTAAAATCTGATGGGTCATATATGCCATAAATAAAATAAATGAAATCTGTAGAAAAAGAACTTATGTTAACTCATTATGGGAATCACTAGTCACTAGGATTTCACTAGTTACTTATTCAAAAGAGTATAGATAATAGAAAATGAAAGAACACTTCCAAGTTAAGTTATTACAGCACAAATTTGCTCTCAAATGTTGAAAATGGCAATTGGAAAACAATATAGCAAAAACTATGAAGATCATTTATCTCCTAAGGATAAATGCAGAGAATCCTAAATCTAATAATAGTAAACTGAATCTAGCAATATATCAAATGCATACTTCATTTTGGTCAACTTATGGTTTATCTAGAAATGTTAGGTTAACTTAATATTTAATATATAGTAATAATACACAATAATAACAGAATAAGAGAGAAAACTCATGGTTAACTCATGATTATCTTATTTCTGGTTACTTCAGAAGAATTATTTGATAAACATTCAAATCCCATTTATGATTTTAAAACTTTAATCTGACTAGGAATCTAATGAAAAATCTTTAGTTTCTTATAAAAAACCTACTAATAACTTATGACAAATATCATATTATTTCTGAGGTCTGTATGACAGCTATCTCTTGAGGTCATAAAAGAGATTAGGATGTTCCACTATCCCAAGGTCTATAAAATGCTTTGCTAGAATACTAATAAATCTAATGAAGGATGTTCTAAAACCTCTGAACAGATACTTATTATATTATTGAGAGAAATTAAAGGAAACCTCAATCTATGTAGAAATGCATAATTTTCTTGGATTAGAAGGCAGTATTGTAAATCTGTAACTTCTCTCTGAATAGATGGGTAGATTCAGTATGAACCCAGAAAGTTATTATTCTTGGTAATATTATTTTTTATAGAAATTGTCAAAATAATTGTAGCATTTATATGCAAAAGTAAATGGCTAAGAAAAGGTCAAGACAAGTTTTATAAGGAATATAGTTGGAAGGAGTCTAGTACTGTTATGAAACTACAGGAATTAAGACAGTGTTATGATCATAAAAGAATGGACAGAAAGACCAAGGCAACAAAATGAGTTCTGAAATAAACACACAAATACACAGCAAAGTAATTTGTAAAAAGCTCATCCTGCAGAACAAAGCACTGAAGGAAAACTGTGTTCTTAACAAATAGTTTGGATTTCATTGGATATCAATATGTATAAAAGTTAAGCTTGAATATCACCTTACTCATATTTAAAACATCAATTTTAGATGATGTTTCAAATACGACAAGTACAACAGTTAAGTTTGCAGAAGATAATAATGAATATCTTAAATAACTTGAGGTGGTGGAAGGTCTTTTAAACATGACTTTAAATTTATTATCCATAAAATGAAAGACAGAAAAATTAGACTACATTAATTTATTAAAATGGCCAACAGTATATTAAAATGTGCTCAATATTACTAGTCATCAGAAAAATTTAAATCAAAGCCACAATGATGTATTATCTTGCACCTGTTAAGATAGCTATTATCAAAAAAGAAAAAAAAAAAACATGCTGGCAAAGATGCTGAGAAAAAAGAACTCTTATACACTGTTGGTGGGAATGCAAATTAGTATAGCCATTATGGAAAACAGTGGAGGTTTTCCAAAAATAGAGCTACTGTATGATCCAACAATCCCTCTGCTGGTTATATCCCCTCCTCTCCAAAAAAATCAGCACTTTTTAGAGGTGTATACACGCCTATGTTTGTTGCAACATTATTCATAATAGCCAAGATATGGAAACAATCTAAGTGTTCATCAATGATGACTGAATAAAGAAATTGGGATATATATGTACAATGGAATATTATTCAGCTTTAAAAAGGGAAATTCTGTCATTTGACACAATGTGGATTGAACAAGACGACATTATGTTAAATGAAATAAGTTAGAGACAGTAAGAAAAATGCTGTATACTCTCTGTTACACGTGGAATCCAAATTTTAAAAGTATGGTTTTATAGAAACAGAGAATAGAACAGAGAGGAAGACTACTGAAAACAAGGTTGGGAGGGTGGGTGAGAAATTGAGAGAGGTGGGCCAAAAGGTACAAAGTTGCAATTACGTAGGATGAACTAATCTAGAGAACTAAACTAACAGCATGAGGGCTGTATTTAATAATATTGCAATGTACACTGGAAATTGTCTAAGAAAGTAGATTTTAGGTGCTCTGTCAACACACACACATACAAATGTAACCACGTGAGATAATGGATATGTTAAATTGCTTACTGCAGTAATCATTTATATCACATATATGTATATATACATATTATGCATATATATTTATGTACATGTCTATACATATTATGCATATGTGCATATATAATGCTGTACAGCTGGAATTTACACAATTAAAAACAAGAAAAATTATAGACTCATGTTAATTAAAAAACACCCTTATAAGACAAGCCACAGAGTGGAAGTCTTTTTCAATACACGTGGTCAACAAAAACTTCACCAAAACAAATGTGCAAAAGACTTGAAAAAGCAAAAAGTATACACAAATGGTTAATTTCATTAATGACCATAAATATGTAAATTAAATTCCAATGAGATACCACTACATACACAGTAGAATGACAAACTTTTACAGTAGTAAAATTGCAAGTATTGTAGAGTCTATGAAAAAGCTGAGTTTTTCACATACTGCTACAATGATCACAATTCATTACACCACTTTGGAAAACTTGTTGGAATATACATATATATATCATATATGTATATAATTTTATATATACATATGCTATTACCGTGCAATTCTCTCCTTGAAATATGCCTTACAGAAATTGTGATACATGTTCAAAACTCATCTACCATGGTAGAAGTCAGAACAGTTATTACCTTTTATGGGAGGAGATAAAAGGATGATTCTGGTGTAAAGCTAACACTCTTTGTTGGGTGATAGTTGTTTACTTGGTACATTTCTAATTTATATATACTTTAAAATAGGTTATCAAGAAAATGAAATAACAAAAGACATTAAGTAAATTCAGTATGCGGGGTTTTGTTCATTATTTAGACAAATTTGCTATTAATAATTTGTTAGAAGATTGGGGTCGTAGGAGATTAACAATAAGTCTTAAAATTTGCTACAATAAATTGTAAGCAAAATAAGTGAGCAGAAACAACTAATTGCTGGAACATTATTAACTGAAATTTATCCCCACTAACAAGTTTTCTATGCAGAATACATCAAAAACTTCATACTAGAGCAATTTTTTTTGTTATTCCTGTGGCTGTATCTCATACTTATTATATGACTCATATGACTGTTTTGTTGACATGCTTCTATACTTATATAGAGATAGATAATATGTCAACCTGACAGATGTACTGAAGAAGTCTGATATGCCAGTGAGCATTCTGGTCATCTTCAGTTCAGACAATACTATAGCTGTTCTAAAGAAAGGGGAAAAACTATCCTGTGTTGTCTAGGCTTAAAGCAATATATTCAAATATAGTTAGCACTGGCTACCTCTACTATCTGGTGTATATTCTGCTAAACCCTAGAGGAAAGACATTCACAACTCAGGTTAGGCATTTAATCTTTTTATACCAGCTCCAAACACAGAACACACGAAAGTGTGTTGCCATATTTACTAAACTTGAGTTGAAAAAGCTATCAAACCAGCCTGCCTTTAAGGTTTCCACTTTACAAATAATCCTCATGAATGGCCGATGTATAGCTTCCCTTTGTGTCTCGCCAATTTAGCTGGGGAACAATAGACCATCAATGTGAAGAATCATAAATGAAAAATTCACACTCTTGTTTTGAGCCAATAGACATAGAAAGTTGCAATTACTTGAAGCTGAAAAATGGGAAGTTTCAGCATATGGGGAAGAGATTTCTGACCCCTGAGAGAGATTAAACAACAAATGAAGTTGTTGAAGAGCAAGAAGGAGAAAACCAGCAGAATTGGTCTTTGACCTCAGAAGGGAGATTTCTGTTACTATATTAAAGAAGTACATTATAAAAACAGATAGATTTTAAATTGTAGAATTCACTGTGTGAAGATGAATTTACCGTCTAGTTGCTCTGTTTTTTCAATGATTTGTGAGTCTGAGAGTGAGACGGAGGGACCAATACCACAGCACACAGAATTTTGGATTGCTTTTCCTCCACCTATCACTATCGAATGTATCTCAGAATATAAGCTGAAACTGGAAGTTTGCAGGAAAAAAAATTAAGTGATGGATAATATTCACATCAGGGTGGCGAGTGAGTCACGCAATGGAAAAGACTGTTTTCTGAACACTAGTATAATAGGAAAGCTTGGTCTATGAATTTCACCTAAAACCACAGAAGAAAACTTTGAGACTTAAGTCTTAATGTGAACTGAAGGCTGATGGCTTATGGGCTCTGTAAATTACAGACTAAACTATTTTTTAAAAATCAAAGCCATATTTTTACAGGAATTGGGATTAAATGAGAATTCAAGGACACTTTTATGAAAGGTATACTTTTCTTCTAAATGCCCTCCAAGAAGGCAGCATTATCTTCTACTGGCATCTGCTTGACAGTATGAGTTCACTATGTTTTAATGGACATATAATATCTTCTTAAAGGTAGAGAAAGATAAAATAGTAACAAGAGTTCAAAGCATTAAATAATTTGTAAGTTTAAATTCTAATGTTTTCATGAAAAATCTGATTTATCTTTTCTAAAGGTTTAAAGTATCAGATGTCAATACAGCAAGATACAAGAAAATTTAATTCTACCTTCTCATTAAACAGATTTAAAAAAAAACTTTAGCGATGAGTTACTTGTACAGACTCACATGAGGAATAAAAGTAAAATGAGATCACAGGTTTTTGGAGCCTCACACTCATGTTCAGCCTCCAACTACAATATTTAGTAGTCAAATGAAAAGAGAAGAAATGCATAAAGTTAAAGAAATTTTATTTAATCTTCAACTGAAATCAAAATGTCTAGTTCTTAACATTCACTGCTTCTGTTTTCTACATGTTGGAGAAAAATTAATAATTGGTTTTATTTAGTATATTTCAAGAACAACATGATATATTTTGCTATCATGGAAATATGTGAATATCTTATGTAAGAATAACTGAATATCTGGCTGGGCGTGGTGGCTCACGTCTGTAATCCCAAGACTTTGGGAGGCCAAGGCAGGCAGGTCACTTGAGGCTAGGAGTTCGAGACAAGCCTGGCCAACATGGAGAAACCCCATCTCTACTAAAAAATACAAAAATTAGTCGGGTATGGTGACGCTCACCTGTAATCCCAGCTACTTGGGAGGCTGAGGCACGAGAATCACTTGAGCCTGGGAGGCAGAGGTTGCAGTGAGCCGAGATTGTGCCACTGCACTCCAGCCTGGGTAGCAGGGTGAGACTCTGTCTCAAAAAAACAAAATTTAAAAAAACCCTGAATATAGTATATAAGATATTGGTATTTCTTTCACTTCTGAAGTAAAATGTTTCACTTGATAGTATTTCATTTCTAGAAAATAGTTTAATTTGAATTCATATATTTATAGCTTTTGTATAACATTCAAATACACTTTAAGAAATTCCCAAAGCTCATGAATTGATGCACTGTGCCCTTTTAATATGTTCCCCTTTGCAAGTTTGCACTTATTATTTAGCTTATAAAAGTGAATGAATCACAGAATAAAGACACAAAGCATCGCACCATTGAGACTTTGGGAAGCCTAAATGCTTGTGAACTAAATTTAACAAGAAGTAGCCACTGCTAGAATTCCACTTTTATTTTAAAAATGACTTTTTTGTCTTTAGGAAGAAAAAAAGTATATTAGAAAGCAGTATCGTAAGAACGACAAGATCAACTTTAGAGATGGCAAGTATAGAATGAATTCCAGAACCTACATTACTTTCAACAAATATTTACTCAGCACCTTCAATGTTGCAGGCACTAAATAAGATTTTGAGCATACAACAGTGAACAAAACAAGAAAACTTCTGTTTTTAAAATGATCATGTTATAGAGGGGAAAGAGAGACAATAATAAGCAAAAATTAACAAAATATATAGTTTCCAGAACATATTAAGTATAATAGGATCTTTCTTTATAAACAGTATGCATAATATTTAATCAGATAACAGTTGAGGTTGCAGCATTGTAATATAATGGAATGCTTGAGCCTAGATATCTTGCAGTCCTGACAATTCAAGAGTTCCAAAGGTGTTTATTATCTTTCAAATATAACAGGGTCCTGGATGCAGTATTGTACTGCCGGGTGGTAGTTGTCCACTCCAGTTTAACAACTGATTGGAGGATTTTGATATTGTTTTCCTATAATTTATTATAAAAGAGAAACAGTTTTTATAATGAAAGAATGAAATGTGATACTATGAATATTCTATACCAAGACAACCAGCATAAGCCAGGACTCTGTAGGCATGCACAATCACTCTACTTCTGTGCTAAGATTGGCTGGTACACCAGGAACCACTGAAGAGATTTCAGAAATTTCTGAATCTCTTGATGAGGGGTGTCCATTTTGGAAACCTTATCTTGGGAAATCAGGCCAGAGGATATTTAGGAATATGGGAACCATAGGTTTCTTTTTTTTTTCAAATACATAAGTGCAGTATATTTATGCATAAAAATATTAAACAGCAGTTAAAAGTATCGATAGAATTTAATATATTGATATCGATAGTTTCAGGAAGTACTGGTGCATGAAAAAAGCAAGTTAAAGAGTGATACATAAAGAAGGATATATTTTATATATAAAAAGACATCAAATAATACTGTAATATGGGAATTTGTATATATGTATGTAAACGTATATAATAGGTCTGGAATTTCTTGAGAAAAGGTTGACTACCATTTCTCTAATGGGTCTAGTCAACCTATCCCCTCCTTTATGAACAGAGAGCAGACACAATTCAGTTGTCAAACTCTAGACATTCTTTTTGAATTTGTGTTATTACAATGTATTATAATGTTATTAAACGCAGTAAAAAAGAAAAGGTGGGAAAAATAAGAACTGAGTGAAAGGGATAGAGAATTGTATGGTCCAATTTTAAATAGTGTAGCCACAGAAGAACTGCAGGAAGTGAGGGGTATAGCCAAATATCTTCAAAGTGTGTTCCAACAAGAGTTAATAGCATAGGTGCGTTAAAGAAGCAGAAAGGATGTTGATGTGGCTGAAGTACAGGGAATGGGAGGGACAGTATATGAGTATATATCTATATCTATACATCTATCTATCGGCAGACAGGCAGAGAGAGAGAGAGAGGAGAGAATGAACTCTCTGGTATTTCTTCTTATAAAGACCTAATCCTATTTAATCATGGTCCCATCCTTATGACCTCATTTAACTTTAATTACTACCTTAGAGACCCCATCTCCAAATACAGCTACATGGTGGATTATGGCTCCCACATATGAATTTGTGGTGAAGGGGGGATTCAAACATTCAGTTCTTAAACACCCCCATGGACCTGAAACACATGCATCTGAGAAACTGGTGTTACACAGTGGTTGTTTGAGCCTTTGAGCATGAAGGGTAAGATCTAAACCTCAGAGGAGGGCAGTTGATTCAATTTGTGGTAATGTCTCTGGAGGAGTATGATGAACATGACTCTGAAAATCATAGAAAACTGCAAACTTGCTCTAACTGCTATTACTAGAATGACTTGCCACCACTCTTGAAGTGAAAGTGTTACTGACAGTAAAGGTAAAGATGCAAGTCTGTTCTTTAGCATAGGAAGGAACAACAGCAACAACAACAATTATAAAAAGGGGCACAAGAAAACTTTTGGAGGCGATGAATATGTTATCTCAATTGTGGTGATACTATCACAGGTGTATAAATATTTCTAAACTGATGAAAGTGTGTGTATTAATAATACACAGTTATACCTAATTGAGGTATAATATACATTATACCTCAAGAAAAGCTGAAATAGGTAAATAAATTTGAGAGGGAATAAAATGGGAGGAAATATTCCCTTCTTCCTCCTCTTGCCATCTAGTCTTGCTTTAGCTCTCTCTACTCTGCCTATTGGCATTAACTCGCAGGCAATAAGGTGGTAAATCAGCAGTGTGATTTGCAGAATTCTGAGCCAGCATCACAGAATATAGATCTGGTTTAGAGCTGAGAGACAAGAACTTAACAACTGTCAAGTAGAGTCAATGAGATTTGTTCATGAGCAGAATAGGCAGGAAAAACGAAGTACAGGATGACTCTAAGATTTTGGACTTGAGCAACTGGCAGATGATGTTCTCATTAAATGACAGGAAAACTGTGGGAGGAGCATATTTGTAGGAGAAGAACATTATTTATCTTTTGACAGACTAAGTGAAGGATCTCTAATTGGTTTTTATAAGGATTACAATTCTTGGGATTCTCCTGTTTCTATTTTAAATAATTCATTAAATGAAAGAGAAAGAGAAAAAAATTCATAACATTTAACTGCAAAATGTTATTACTTTTATTCATCTGTAAACACCTAAAGACAGCACAAGTTTTCTAAATCTTATAGAGAAGTATTTCATATTTTATGACAGATTTTTTTCAGAAAAACATTTGATGTGATGAGTTTACATTGATTTGTGTTTAAATATCCATTCTAGCATAAGGAGACTCATTTTTGAAAAGTTAAAACTTTTAGTTAATGTAAAGAATAACCTAATTAATGTTCAGAGTAACATATTGCCATATTGTCTTAAAAATCACACTTTACTGAATGATGTCTGTAAGTTATTAATTTGCAGAAAATTCTGCCTATTTATACTTTGGTTGATGAACCTTTAAACATTAATATTACTTATGTTTTAAAATTTTACAGAAAATATCTATTTTTACACTTTACCCTAATAAAAGTAAGTTTCAATAAATTTGAACTATAGTGAGATGTTCTGTCACAAATTAAACGGAGAATTTCTCTGGGAATTAAAAGATAAAATAGAAATATTTGAGGGCAGGAAATATAGAAATAGAATGATTTCTATGGACATTTTAATCATGAGTTTTCAGAAAAGGGTCAAGGATTAGAGGCAGGAATAGAGTTTTAGCAAACAGTATTGGTTGTCTCTGCAACAATCATCATATATCTTCTTTTCTGAAAGAGACCCAATTTTGTTTTCCCATAACATTCAAAGTTGTTTTTCCTATAACCCTAGTTCCAAGGGTAAATCCTGTTTCCCTTTGCACTGATGGATGTAGCAATGACATATTGATAGTCAGTGAGAAGTATGGGAGGTTACTGAGAAACTTTCTAGAAATTATTTTGCTCCCAAGAAAAACATCTTTGTACATCTGGATACTATTTCACCTGAGATTTATGCCTAGAACCACTGTAGCCAACTTTCAAATACAAGGAGAGATGCAGGCTGGCAAATTGAAGATGACTGAGAGGAAAAATGGAAATCTACATCCATAATGAAACTGCCAAGTCAGCCAAAACTGAAAACGACAATATATCTTTCTTCTGGTTAATTATTGTAATATGCTTCTTTGGCCAATTTGAGTTAAAGTCTTCTTGTGGGTGAAATTTTCCTAACTTGAGTGATCATATATCTGATTTACCTGGGACAGTCTACTTTATATTTTGTTAGATATCACATGCAGTCATGGCTCTTGTTTACCATGAAATGTGTCCAAGTTTGTAAGAAAAATTATATGGTCACTCAACCAAATTTATGCAAAAATGACTTTAGGCAAAAACAATTTACTTCTTAAATAGTTTATAAGCAACTAATCAGAACTAATTCCAAAAATAAAGTGTAGTAGCCTTTTTTACATGTCTGTATCCACTTGAATTGTATAGTAAGTCATTTGTAGGTTTAGTTTTTGTAATATTAAAAAAATAGTACAAATTTTCTCGAGTTTTACTTCAACTAATAAGAAAAGGCTTCTAGAGTGCTTTAAGCATGTCTTTTCTTCTTTCTTTTCTTTCTATATTGTTCTTGGAGTCAATACCATAAGATATATTTTAAATATAATATTAAAGACCATGATTTGTGTATCTTATTGATAATAACTTCTCAGAACTATAAAAATGATATTTTTTTTCATGCAAACTATGTGAATGTGAGGAACCATCACAAATTTACTTGAGGAGTTTGCCATGGACCCTCTGAGGTATAAGCAAGAGAATAATTTGTTTTTATTTTATTTATTTATTTATTTATTTATTATTACACTTTAAGTTTTGGGGTACATGTGCACATTGTGCAGGTTAGTTACATACGTATACATGTGCCATGCTGGTGTGCTGCACCCACTAACTCGTCATCTAGCATTAGGTATATCTCCCAATGCTATCCCTCCCCACTCCCCCTACCCCACAACAGTCCCCAGAGTGTGATGTTCCCCTTCCTGTGTCCATGTGATCTCATTGTTTAATTCCCACCTATGAGTGAGAATATGCGGTGTTTGGTTTTTTTTTCTTGCGATAGTTTACTGAGAATGATGATTTCCAATTTCATCCATGTCCCTACAGAGGACATGAACTCATCATTTTCTATGGCTGCATAGTATTCCATGGTGTATATGTGCCACATTTTCTTAATCCAGCAAAAGAAACTACCATCAGAGTGAACAGGCAACCTACAAAATGGGAGAAAATTTTCGCAACCTACTCATCTGACAAAGGGCTGATATCCAGAATCTACAATGAACTCAAACAAATTTACAAGAAAAAAACAAACAACCCCATCAAAAAGTGGGCGAAGGACATGAACAGACACTTCTTAAAAGAAGACATTTATGCAGCCAAAAAACACATGAAAAAATGCTCACCATCACTGGCCATCAGAGAAATGCAAATCAAAACCACAAGGAGATACCATCTCACACCAGTTAGAATGGCAATCATTAAAAAGTCAGGAAACAACAGGTGCTGGAGAGGATGTGGAGAAATAGGAACACTTTTACACTGTTGGTGGGACTGTAAACTCGTTCAACCATTGTGGAAGTCAGTGTGGCGATTCCTCAGGGATCTAGAACTAGAAATACCATTTGACCCAGCAATCCCATTACTGGGTATATACCCAAAGGACTATAAATCATGCTGCTATAAAGACACATGCACATGTATGTTTATTGCGGCATTATTCACAATAGCAAAGACTTGGAACCAACCCAAATGTCCAACAATGATAGACTGGAATAATTTGTTTTTAACAACCCAGAAGGCTAATGCCTAAAGCTGGTTGAAGCTGCCTGCAAGCCATTGAGAGAAGTGAGAAAGTCTGTATTGAAAATGAATTGCACCTTTCCTCACAACAGGGTAAGGGTGCTGGTTGTGGGTCATCCCTACTAACCATGAGTCAATACAGTCAACTAGAAACCTGCCAGATCCCAAGGGCTGAAGTGGAAACTGAAAAGCAACCTGCAATATGACCCTTTTAAAAAGAACTACAGTATGAGATACCTATAAAGAGAGCAGAGTCTCTGAGGATCAAACTAATGTGTCTCAGGAGCAGATGATCAGCAATTTTGTGTCGTCTGTAACCATAGGCAGCCATTGTAAGATCATTACTGTCTGAAGCAGGTAAAAGCTCCTTACCACTCACTTCTCCACCGATAAGCCAGAAATTCAGCTAATATGTGAGGAATTTGGAATTAGGAAATGTTGAGGAAGCCAACCTCTTCCCTACACCTCTCCTGAGAAAACTTGTATGTGTATATAAATCCTGTATCAGGAGAAAAGAAAGTCTCTTAATTGGCTCAGATATTTTAGTTTTGATATTTCACTGGCTGGTGCTTTTTCACTAAAAAAAAAAAAAGAGAGAATTCTCTTCTTAGTGAAACAAAAATGTATTGAACAATTTTTATTAAACACATATATTTTCTTATATTCTAATTTAATTTTTGCACTAACCCAGTAGGTTGATTCTATTATTATCTTTGTTTTATAGATACAAAGCCTGAGCTTTTTGCAGCATTCTGTATGAGCAGTAGATTCAGAAACCTGAATATTTATTTGTCAAGCTTAATGGTATTAATCTACACTTTTCTGAATTCATATTTCTAGTCATTTAATTTATCAGAAAGACAAAAATGACAAATTAAACATCACCCTAATCTAATGAATAAGCCTACATGTTAAGCTAACAACATCGTATAATAAGTTATATTTTATCTTGCAAAAGCATTCTTTGTTTCACAAAAATGTGTATCATGTTTAGTTCTCCTAAATATTTCTTTTTTTTTTTTTAATATCAGAGAGTACTGTACTCGGGTGTCTGCATTAAAGTCAAAGATAAACAAATGCATTCAGGGTTTCTACATGTTTCCCAAGTGTGTAAAATAAAAATATTTGATTTATGAGAAAACATAAAAGTATCTTTATTAATACTCAGAGCATACAGGCAATATAAGCTATTAAAACTAAACACATCATTTTGATGCAGTGATTCTTATTAAACATTCATGTTGGTAGAACAGACTCTTAACCTGGAAGCAAGTTTAGAATGTATCTTGGCCAATCTTTCATCCATTGTATGACTCCATTATCCAAAAAGATTGACAGAAAAAGAGATAATAAAAGCATGAATTACATTTTGGTTGATATTTGTAAATGTTGTAAAAGTTTTTTATATAGTGTATCTGATGGAATTTTAAGTATAGAGTAGAATATTTCTGATGCCATTTTAAGCCCATCCATTTTTACTTAACCATGTAATTGGAGCCACCAATTCTATTATTCATTCAATAAATAATTACTGACATAATCTACTGGGCCGCATGTTTGATGAAGGGGTTTCAATGGAGACCCAAACCAGAAATAATCCATGCTCAAATGGAGCTCACAAGCTGAACATGAGGCAGAAAATTAAATATGACAGCAAAAACGAACATGAATTATCACAGCATAAAACTGAAAGTACTGCGAAGTGTATGATGCTATGAGAGCATATATGGTAATTTCCTTAGAAAGTGAAATCTTGCAAGTTTGAAAAGAAACATTACATCTTTGACATATGTTCTTCAAATAGACTAAAATAAGTCACCGCAGTCTGAATGAAGGAGATTAGGAACTGTATGAATGTGCATGTGTGTGAGTGTGTGTGTGCTTGAATGTGCAAGTATATTTATGAGTATTATTTTGTCAATCAAGAAACCTTACTCTTTAGTCTTCCTTGTTGGTTCACAGTAGGGAATACATTGGGGTAAATTAGGTAGAATTTATCAATGAAATAACTTTCACAGGATATTGAGAAATAAGAATTCACAGAAACTATAAAAGTGACTCTGTGGTACATACTGTACTTGTAACTGATTCTTGGTTTGGATGTTGTTGCCAAATTTTCTTTTCTCTATTTCATGGGTGTTAGTTTTATTTCTTCTTTCTCTGGCAGAACTCCAAGGTTAAAAAAATGTATGCTGTTTTTATTTTGGGCAACAAGAATGTTTGGAAATAACTGAGCAGTGGGAAGATAAAACAATTGAGGAGGAATGGGGTACATATTTCAGCAAGGTAAATAACTAAAGATGGCTAAATGAATTATGGCACCCCAAAAATTGAAAAGAATAACTATGTACATGTAGCCATGGCCAATAAAATATCTTTAGGAATTATTTAATTTTGTTGTTTATTAATTTACACATAAGGGAACAATGGAACATAAATTTTATCCACGAATACTTAAAGCAAAATTTAGAAAGAAGCACCTATTACCCTAACACAGTATGGGAAAGTATTGTTTTCAAAGAAATCTGGAAATATTCAAGACAAGTCCATACTTAATTATTAGTATACATGCATAAAAATGCATTCACTTTGATTTAAGTTCAAAAGGATGCTAAGATTTGATCATTATCAGACAAATTTGATTAATGCAGGGAGAAACTGGACAGACTAAGCATAAATAAATTAACATGGCAGAATTTTGGAATTGGACAAAGCTCTATAGATCACCTAGTCCATCTCCCTTATTTCATGGATTAAAAAATTGACCCCAGAGATTTTAGATGGTGCAGATGTCATGAAATTAGATAAAAAGCAAGACAGGAGAGGAAACCAAGGTTTCCCAGGGCTGTGTTAGTTCTAAAATACTAAACAAATGAATTTGATGAATTTAAAGGTAGTAAGCTATTCAAAGTTACAAACAGATAAAGCAAAACAAAAAGCACAAAACTGCACATTCCCTATTTGCCACGTCTACTGTTAAACTGCTTACCAAAAATTTTAGTATTTATAATGAAAGCCAATAGGTATAGGTTACGTGAGATCAAATAAAGCCAGTAATTGCCAGAATATAGTCTTACTATAAATAACTCAATTTCAATATTCTTGCAATATATTTTTACATGTTGAAAAATAACTAAGGAAAATTATAGAATATTTAATTAGCAAACATCTGCCCTAATTATTTAGGTAGTATACTATATGGATTTTATGAACATGATATATTTATTACCACCACAATTTCACTCACTATTACCTCAATTATCTTTCCTGTTTTTCCGTGGATGTGCTCAGTTACAGGGTATGTTATTAGCAAAAAGTATTGCATTATGTGGACATGGTTGATGTGGACCTAAATTATGTGAGTTTTTTAAGTAAAGTAAATAATTCTGTCTAACTATCCTTAAGAAATAAACACAACTCCTTCCAAAATTCTACAATACTGATGGAAGGAATTAGTGACAAGTAGGCTGCTGCTTTCTCTATATGTGTTTCTCATTGATCACGGAAACACATTATGATGTCCATATTACTAATGCAGATTTCTCCTATAGAGGGGCAGCTTTACACTAACTTTAGTCTCTTGTTTTCTCTCCCTTCCCTCTGCACATTTACAATGATTCCTGGCATACATTACAGTCAGATATAGTATATTGAAAAATGAAATAAGTGATTAATCATGGTGGCTCACCTCTGTAATCCCAGTGCTTTGGGAGGTCCAGATGGGAGGATCACTTGAGGCCAGGAATTGGAGACCAGACTTGGTTACACAGTGAGACTCCTTCTCTACAAAAAAAAAAAGAAAAATTAAAAGTAGTCAGGTATGCTGACACGTGTTTGTCCTAGGTATTCCAAGCTGAAATGAGAGGATCACTTGAGCCTAGGAGTTTGAAGTTGCAGTGAGCTATGATCACACCATTGCCCTTCAGCCTGGGCAACATAGCAAGGCCTTGTCTTTAAAAAAAAATTAAATAAGTAAGCTGTAACTGCTGTATCAGTCAGGGCTAACCAGAAAAGCAGAAACAACAGCGCGCGCGCGCGCGCACACACACACACACACACACACACACACACACACACACACACACACTAGTCCTGTTTCCTGTAACAACATTTTAGTCAACAATAAACCACATGTATGGTAGTAGTCCCTAAGATTATAATGGAGCCGAAAAAATTCCTATCTAGTGATGTCATAGCCATCAAAAAGTTGTAGCACATTATCCACATGTATGTGGTGATTTTGGTGTAAAGAAACCTACTACATTGCCAGTCATATAAAAGTATAGCAATGCAATTATGTAAACTGCATAATACTTGATAATCACTATATACTGATGTATGTTTAGTATACTAAGCCTTTATTGTTATTTTACAGCGTACTCCTTCGTCTTATCAACAACAAAAGCTAACTGTATAACATCCTCAGGCAGTCCCTTCAGGAGCTATTCCAGAAGGAGTTGTTATCATAGGAGATGACAGCTCCATGCATGTTACTGCCGCTTAGGATCTTCAAGTAAGTCAATACGTGGAAGTGGAAGACAATCACATTGATAATCTTGACCCTGAATAAGCCTAGGCTAATCTGTGTGTTTGTGCTTTAGTTTTTAACAAAAGAATTTATAACGTTAAAAATTCCATTTATAAACTACAAGAAAGGTTACAGAATAAATAAATAAATAAATTTGTATGGAGGTAGTACAGTATATGTTTTAAGCTGTGTTATTACACAAGAGTCAAAAAGTTTTTAAAAACTTTATAAAGTAAAAAAGGTACAGTAAGCTAAGATTAAATTATTATTTAACAAAGAAATTATTTTTTTTATTTTTATTTATTTATTTTTGAGACGAAGTCTCGTGCGGTGGCGTGATCTCGGCTCACTGCAAGCTCCGCCTCCCGGGTTCATGCCATTCTCCTGCCTCAGCCTCCTGCGTAGCTGGGACTACAGGTGACCACCACCGCACCCGGCTAATTTTTTTTGTATTTTCAGTAGAGACGGGATTTCATCGTGTTGGCCAGAATGGTGTCGACCTCCTGACCTCGTGATCCGCCCGCCTCAGTCCCCCAAAGTGCTGGGATTACAGGCGTGAGCCACCGCGCCCGGCCAAGAAAATTTTTAAAATAATCTTGTGTGGCCTAGGTGTACAGCATTTAATAAGTCTACAGTAATATACAGTAACGTAGTGTCCTAGGCCTCCACATTCACTCACTATTCACTCAGTGACTCACCCAGAGCAACTTACAGTGCTCCATTCATGGTAAGTGCCCTGTACATGTGCACCATGTTTTATCTTTTCTATCATATTTTTACAATATATTTTCTAAGTTTAGAAATGTTTACATAGTTAAATTAGAAAGAATATTTAAAATATCCCAGTAGCAAATGTTCCCAATAGCAAGAATGAGACAATTTTCCTTTTTTGAGAGAGAAAATTTTGTAGAAAAATTGCCACATCACATCATTATTTAACAAAAAAAAGAACATTATTTGCTACCTATATTATTTTCATAGCACTTTCTCAATAAAGTGGAGAAAGTGATGGCACAGGCCAATGATACCACGAAAATGACCAAAAATCATTAGATTACAAAGACTCCCTCTCAAAGCTAAACTCGTTGATCTAGTCATAGTTAACACAAATACCATTCCATGAGAGAGAATTAAGATAGCTCTATAAATTTGTGGCTAAACAGTTCAAAAACCCCTAATATGCCAGTGGAATTGTACTTTCAGAGAAGCATGTCTAGAAAGAAATTATTTTAGCAAGCAAAAATCTAATCAACTGAAATGTACCCTGTGTGGAGAACTAAATGTTAGCAGAATGGGCATGGTTAGTGAACATATTGACAATATTTTCCAGCATGAAATTAGGGGAAAAATTTTTAGATGCTATGATTTTTTTTCTCAACTCAGCTGTAAAATCTTATATTGACTTTTAAGGAAAACATTCTCTTGCATTTTCCAATCTCTTATATCAAGAGAAAAAAAAATGATGTCCTTAGCAATGAACTTAGGACATACATAGCATTCAATTAATTTTGATGAGTGATTGTTTTATTAATAGATGAGTAAAAAGGGCACATGAAACCTGCTTTTGTAGCCTTTAATATATTAATATATTTTTATTTGAAAACTTTGAAAATGAAATAAAAGCCTCTGGTAATTTAATTATCATTTTTTTCACATTAGAATTTACAAAGAAGATTTACTATTAATTAGACTGAACAATAAGAAATCATTGATTTTTATATATGTGACCTAAAACTATGTCAGTAGTAAACAATCCAGCCTTTAAATTCAGGTAATCTTTCGAACAAACTTCTTTGATAGTACTGACTCCACTTGATAGACAATGAAAATGATGCTGAGTAGATGATTTGCCTAAGCTTACAAAGAGAGCTAGCAACAGCACTGAAAGTAAATTTTTAAAATTATGTTCAATGTAACAGATATTGAAAGCTTAATGTGGCCCAGGCACTCTTCCAGCTAGTGAGTATATATGAATAGATAAATTCAGCTCTCTGGCATGAAGAGTTATTTTAATCTCCCACCCCAATATACCTCTGAAGAAAAATTATTCAAAATTTATTTTGATTTGTATCTAAGGATTTTCCTATGGAGATTTATTCCTACCCTTGTCAAACTCCAGGGCCTACATTTCAATTTCTGAAAGTGTATATTTAATGTTTGAATGTAAGATTTATTTTCTTTTTTTATTATACTTTAAGTTCTAGGGTACAGGTGTACAACTTGCAGGTTTGTTACATATGTATACATGTGCCATGTTGGTGTGCTGCACCCATTAACTGGTCATTTACATTAGGTATCTCTCCTAATGCTATCCCTCCCCCCTTCCCCTACCCCACAACAGGCCCTGGTGTGTGATGTTCCCCTTCCTGTGTCCAAGT
Source organism: Homo sapiens (assembly GCF_000001405.40). Lineage (NCBI taxonomy): Eukaryota > Metazoa > Chordata > Mammalia > Primates > Hominidae > Homo > Homo sapiens. Next base: position 42,359,782 of record NC_000014.9, on the reverse strand, counting down.
GTTCTCATTGTTCAATTCCCACCTATGAGTGAGAATATTATGGTAAAGTAGTCCTTATTAACTCTTCATCACTGATCTACTGCATAGAAAAGTATCAACCAAACACCGTTGAGGAAGGTAGAAATTGAATTTGAAAAATCAGTATTTCAACATTATAAATGTGTCTTTCATTGTAAGGTAAGAGTATATGCTGAATGTCCTCTGTGTGGTCCTCTAAATCAACTGTCTACTCTTCCCTTCCCTGCTCTGTGTCTCAGAAAGCTGACCTCTACTAACTCTTGGCCAGTAGAATTTGGCCTATAGGAGCATTTAGTGAAGTATTGAGGAAGAGAGACAAGAGGGGGTTTGCTATTTATTTCCTCAGAAACTTCCCCCAAAGGCCAGTAATCACTTGGTAATGATTATCTTACCTGTATCAAACATTACAGCTCTTTTTAAAAGGCCCCATGATTTCAGAACCTCTGAGGTTCTGTGACGTAACATGTACCTTCTCTTTTTCAGGATAAGGATGGTAATAGCTTTGCCCTGTTACCAAACCTGGGTGCATCAAGAAAGCCTGTTGGTTTTCTTGACCCTTTTCATATCTAATCACTTAAACTTTTCTTTAATTGTACTTTGACTACAATATTTGCTTTTTGCCAGAATCTTATTGCAGAAAAACAATTTTTATACAACACTGAGTGCCCAGATTAACATAATATATGGAGCTAACTCATCAAAATCAAAAGAAGCTGAAATATATAACCAGAATGCCTATTTACTAATTTACAGAGAAAAATATTTTTCTTGTCAGAAAAATGGTTATACTTGGTAACTAGACTTTGTTAACATCCACCTTGAAACTAGTACTTATTATCAAATTATTTAGCAGATTATTTTCTTTTCAATTACTTAAAAGCCAAAGTTTTCTTTGTTAACATATTTATCTGTTAATGATTACCACGGTGATTCTCAAGAGAAGGTATTCAATACTTTCTCTGAATTAAAAAAAAAGTAATGGAGAGGCAAATGAAAGAAAGAAATAGCTAAAATGTTGCTTTATTAAAATACTCTTCATAAGTCAAGGGATATAGAGCACCTTTCATTTCTTTGAGAAAGTAGCATTTATAGTCTTAATTATTAAGTGAACATTTTATATAAATTATTCTGTTCGTAGTTAACTTCCTTCACCATAGAAGAAAAATGATTTATTAATAATTTTGAATAAAATTGAAAGATCTATATCATGGTCTTAGCCTCATAAAGAAATGTTAAGTTCTTTACAGAGAGATATAGTTATTTTACAACTGTGAAGTAGAAATTCTTGCACATAGTTAATCTTGCTGTGTAATCACCTAAACCCTGAGAGGATGAACAATCACCTCATGTAAAAGAGCAGAGCAAAGCAGGAAAGAGATATACAATTTTCAGTTAACTTTTAGAACTAAAATGATAAAGAAAAAGACTGTATGATTAACAAGTACCATTAAGGTGACATTTTTATGATACTGATGAATCTCCAGACATCAATTAAATTGGTCTTTGTGCTTGAAGTTATTGAAATAAGGACTAAAGTGTAGAGTCAAAGACACACAATGGTTTTTGAGATTTCCTATACCCCTGATTAAAGAGATGAAACTTAAAAGCTGCATATAAAAATGGTGAGTATAGGAAAATATGAATAAGACTGTGTTGTGACTTTATTCAAGAGACTTCTATTATGCACTCATTGCCAGGCACTACACAAGTGCTCGTGAGATAAAGATTAATGCTATTGTCTCTTATGTGGAGGAAACATGTGTAAAGAAAAATTATAATTCAAAATGATAAATTCTATCATAAGAAAATGACTAAAGGCTATTATATTAGAGAAGTTGACATCACTGCTGGGACAAAAAACTTAAGGAGAAGTTTCTAAACAGTAATAGAAGAGTGTGCAATCTTGAAGAAATGAAATAGGAGAAAACATTCAGGGTGATAGATGTGATCAACAAAAATAAGAGCGAGGTAGATTGGGGTCATATTATAAAACATTTGAAGTCTATTAAATATAAGTGTTTTTTTAAGTAAAATTTCTTCTTCTATAGGTCACAGAAATAAGAAATTATAAGCAAGTAGATGGCATAAACAATGTTCAAAGGTGGACTTAATGAAATTCTACTCAGAGATTGTTGTATTACATATAATTTGTGTCAGATCCAAAGTATGAATTATAAGTGCTTAGAGATATTTTACAATTTCATCATAACTTAATGCTCACATTCCAAACATTGCCTAAGTTTTCTCTCCACCTCCCTAAAAAGATTTTTTAATGAAATTAAACTATATTTCTCCATTAAAAATGAACAAATCCTAGTATTTTTCTTTTGGTTTTCCATTTTATATTTCTTATATATTTCCCCTTTGTGTTTCCCCATAAATATATTTTCTCCTCCTATTCCTCCATGTTTTTTTAATAAATCCTAGAGGGCCAAATTAATTTTTCATTTGGTGATATGAATGAATGAATGATTTGCAGAAGTTAATTAGTTAAGCATAGGAGGAAGTTTACTAAGAGCTACTAGTAATGCTATTTTTATGCATTGATTTGCTGTCAGACATTCTAAATGCTATGAGAAAAAATCAAACCTGTTGTTAACAGTCAAAAATATAAGGGGAAAAATAAATAATGTGTATAAATATTATCTGTGAAAATAATATTTTTACTGGAATTCAGTTATCAGCATGGATGTATTTTTAAATCATTTGTTTGATTGCATATGCTTTAGCTAATCTGGCTATACTATTTTAAATACTCAATTTCCTTGACAATTAAATTTGGTATCAGTGTTGGGATTGACTGGAATATAATAGAAATAAGACCACAAGTAGTGTGCTGAAGAGAAAATAGTTACTTTCTACCTGTTGTGTAAACTAGTGACAGCTCTCATTAAAGTTCCCTACATTTTCTTGTGTGTTTTAAATGAAATAAATGTTCTCCATCATCCTTCATTCCAACATAATCAAAAGCTTATTTTTAAAAAATTATAGCTATCACTGGAAATGTACCCAATTAAATATCAGATGAACTACAATTTTTAAATACTTTCCATTTTTACATATTAAAGTATATAAAATACTTTTGCTGCAGGTGCTAACATCAGCTCACCAAAAACTGAGCAAAATTGGTCGAATAATTTACAACAGTTTGCATATTTATGTAGTCTTTAGAATTTTTGTATTTTAATTTTTTATACTAATGCCATATGGTGACATGTCATTCCACTTCTAGTCATTACTCAGCAACTTAAAATTCCTCTCCTGCCATTATGCTACCTACTGAAAGTTTTCTTTTTCTTTCTTTCTTTTTTTTTTTTCTTTTTTCCTAGAGACAGAGTCTTGCTGTTTTCACCCAGGCTGCTGGAGTACAGTGGCGAGATATCGGCTCACTGGAACCTCCACCTCCCGGGTTCAAAGGATTCTCCTGCTTCAGCCTCCTGAGTAGCTGGGATTACAGGCACGCGCCATCATACCTGGCTAATTTTTGTATTTTTAATTGAGATGGGGTTTCACCATGTTGGTCAGGCTGGTCTCGAACTCCTGACCTCTTGATCCGCCCACCTCAGCCTCTCAAAGTTCTGGGATTATAGGCGTGAGTCACCGCGCCTGGCCTGAAAGTTTTCTTTAAAGGATCACAATTAATTGAATCAAGAAATGTACTGGCCTTTCCACAGGCTTCATCTTCCTTAACATCCTCCTGGAATTTTGTTTCGAACAGCTTCTCTTCTAAAAAATATTTTATCTGGAACATCCCTCTTTTATTTTTGCTTTCTTAATGTTTCTTCTAAAGCCTTTGCTGATTCTGGTTACCCCTACCACCACCACCTTTCAAATATTAAATGTTTAAGAGCCTTGTCCTTGGTCTTTCTTTTTTTTTCATCACAAATTTACTGCTTATTTTTTTAAAAATTGTTATTTTATTGGAGGACTTTAGAATATGGCAATTTTTGTTTTTGTAAACTTAAGGTTGACTTCTACTTTACCCAGTCAACACTTAATGTTTTCTGTATTCATCTATTATTTGTTTTTGTGTTTTCACTGATATTTTGTGTATGCAGGTCTATCTAGAATGTATTCTTTTAAGATCACTATGTTTATTCATAATAGGCTTATCTATGTACATCCCCCAAAAATAGTTTGACATAGAGTGGATGCTTAAAAATGCCTTTCCTAACATCACTTCAGAAAATTGTGTTTCCTAAACTTACTTACTTGTCCTAACCTTACTTTAATAACATTCTAAATGGCCAAAGTAGACAAGCTACATCTAAAAAAAACATAATATTAAATTATTGTCTGCTTTTCAAACGGAAGGCCTTTTCATCAGCTGGATATAACAAAAATAGCCTGATTAATTGAAACTTTAAAACAAAGGGGACTGCTGATAAAGAAAACATACAGCATGTTATTTATTTTCCAGCATATTATTATGCACACACATAAAAATGTACTTGCCCCATTTTTGTATAAGTGACAGGCTAATTCACACTTTGTTACATGTTTTATTTTTTAATAATTTCAATAGTTATATATGTAAGGAAAATATTTTGTTACTTAGGCAGTTTGAATAATTACAGTAACTTTTATAATAAAGGTTATGATAAATTCTTTAAAAGGGGTTTTTTGAAAATATACCCAGCATTTTTCAAATGCATTTATATAATTAAATCTTGTTGTTACTGGTTATTTAATTTATAACTGATACGGTGTTTTGCTGAAGAATATTGAACATGTTGTATTACATAAAAATCACAATCCAATGTGTATTCAACAAAACAGAAACTTCACATCTACTATAATACAAATTTAAGAAATGTATTATATGCAATGTAGTCACAACAATATAAATAAAATTTTTACAAAATCTATTATATAATTTAGATAAAAGATTCCTTTAAACAATGGCTTTGTTTCATGCATATATTGTCTAATATTTTAAAGTATTTTTTACTTCAGGAAAGCATGAGAATTATCTTTATGCCTTTATTGTCAATATACTTTTTGTCAGTTTCTACCTTTATCATTGTCCTTTTTTATCCAGGTAGCGTTCACTGTTACATCCTACATCCTGGCATAATAAATAGTTTCCTTAAGGCATATTAGAAACATGTGGTAATAACCCTTAAGTGGGGCAACCTCATTCCTTAGGAATCTATATTTAAGGTAATGAGACCAGGAAATCAGGTCATTTGTAAATGAAGAATAATGAAATGAGAAATCTGCCCCAATGCACATTAGCTAATGTCACATTCTTTTTATGAAGCAAAAATGTTGAATATTTCAAATATGGTAGATGAAAGATGTCAATGAGCTCCCCAAAAAATTCTCCCCACTTTCTACCCCACCTCAGGTGCCAATCTCCAATAAATTCCTAGGCACAGTCCACAGGGTAAAACAAAAGCAAATTCTGGCCATTCATTCATACAGCAGTGTTCCAGGGCTGAAATAATCCAGGTAATGTAGGACAAAGAGAATAAATCAAAAAAAGTGAACACTAAGGATTATAAAATTAATTCCTTCAATTAAAAACAAATACACAGCAAGAATGTTTAATAACATGAATACTAGATAAAATTAGTTTACAATCCAATTAAATCTCAACAAGATTTGCTGAGGCTATAATTGTGTATATTAAATTATTTTTGAAACTGTTATGCAAATACTTAAACCTGAATATGATAATTCTGTGCTATATCTGCACGATACATTTATAAGACACTAATAAAACTGAACTGAACTGAACTTTTCTAAGGTAATTTTTAAGTAGGAATGCCACCCATTATAAAAATACATTTCAAGAGTGAACTTCGATTTTTTTGTGTACAAATAAAAGCTTCTTAAGCACAGAAGCATTCATAAGTATAACCCCTTCCTCTACAGCTCAAATTCTGTTGAAGTAATCCAATAATGTAAAATAGAGGTACTACGTCCATTCTGACATAATTTCACTACCATTCTACATGGAATAGAATTTACAGTTGTTTGTTACTGTAAAACCAACACACACACACACACACACATAAACCCCAGTCAGAGATTCATTAGTATGATTTAATATTTGAATTTCCTAATGGCTTTCACATTTTATAGTCTTTTATTAACACATCTCTAAAGAAAATCACTAGATCTTTAGCCAGCATATATGGTCCAAAGAAGAGAGTTACAATAGATGAGTGATTTCATTTCCTGTTTTTTTAGATTCAGGTTTTATTCTCAGTTCTGTATCCTCTGTCATACCACAGACACTCACTTATTATTCTGTGAGGAAGATTTATGCTGTTAACCTTTAGTCTTATACATCTGTGACAGTTCTCATCAAAGAAGACCTGCTAATACGATTGTGTTCTGGGTTATTATTTCTAGAATGCCATTTTAGCCTGGGGTGAACGGGGGAGGGTACAAAAGTAAGCACCCAGCTACATGTCACAACTAATGACTCAAAATCTTCAACATTCTTACAGATGGAGCTTCACTTTTATCTTTTAAAATTTTAATAAATTGCATTGTGTATATTTAAAGTATACAGCACAACATGATGTTACAAGATACATATAGATAGTACAAGATACATATAGATAATGTAGGGTAAACTCACCTAAACATCCAATATACAACATAAAGACTATAGTTGCTAATAGTGTGCTGTTTTGGGCACTTTTTCTTTGGTTCTTTAAGTAAAGCAAACTGAGAAACTCTCTATTCACCCAGACCGTTGTATTGTTTACCATTTAATTAGCTGGCACCTTGGAATCTTCATCTCAGACTTCACAGTCAATGATTCAAGGCTCAAAAACTTAATTTTCGAAGAACTGATTTACAATCTAATCATTTTGATTCTAGACACAGTAGACTGAGCCTAGTTCTGGGATACATGTGCAGAAGGTGTAGGTTTGTTACATAGGTATACACATGCCATGATGGTTTGCTACAAACATTAACCCATCATCTACATTAGGTATTTCTTCTAGTGCTCTCCCTCCCCTAGGCCCCCACCCCCTGACAGGCCCCTGTGTGTGATGTTCCCCTCCCTGTGCCCATGTGTTCTCATTGTTCAGCTCCCACTTATTTTACACACTGCTAGTAAAGACATGCCCAAGACTGGGTAATTATAAAGGAAAGAGGTTTAATTGACTCACAGTCACACGGCTGAAGAGGCCTCACAATTATGGCTCAAGGTGAATGAAGAGCAAAGTCACATCTTACATGGCAGCAGCCAAGAGCGCTTGTGCAGGGGATCTCCCATTTATAAAACCATCAGCTCCCATGAGACTTATTCACTGCCAAGAGAACAGTGTGGGAGAAACCGTTCCCATGATTCAATTATCTCCACCTGTTCCTACCCTTGACACAGGAGGATTATTACAATTCAAGGTGAGATTTGGGTGGGGATACAGCCAAACTATATCAGAGTTCATTGAGGAGAACTGACTCACATGATCAAAAGGTGAAGTCCCACCACAGGGCGTCTGAAAGTTGAGGAGCAAGGAAGCCAGAAATGGATCAGTCCAAGTCCCAAAATCTCAAAAGTGGGGGAGCTAATAGTGCAGCCTTCAGTCTGCGGCTGCAGGCCCAAGAGCCCCTGGCAAACCACTGGTATAGGTCCAAGAGTCCAAAAGCTGAAAAACTTGGAGTCTGATGTTTGAGGGCAGAAAGCATCCAGCGTAGCAAAAAGATGAAGGCCAGAAGACTCAGCAAGTCAGCTTCTTCCACCTTCTGCCTGCTTTTTCTAGCAATGCTGGCAGCTGACTGAATGGTGCCCACCAATATTGTGGGTGGGTCTTCTTGAGGGTAGGTTTTTCTCTCCTAATCCACTGACTCAAATGTTACCATCTTCTGGCAACACCCAGAAACACCCAGATACACCCAGAAACAATACTTTGCATCCTTCAATCCAATCGAGTTGACATTTAATACTAACCATCACAACATATGAGTACGATTATGCAGCATTTGTCTCTGTGTGCTTGCCTTATTTCACTTAACACAATAGTAAAAGACTACAAATTGCAAAAGTAATCCTCAGCAAAAAGAAGAAAGCTGAAGGTATCACAATACCTGATTTCAAAATACACCACAAAGATATAGTAACCAAAGCAACAAGATACTGACATAAAATTATACACATAAACAAATGGAACAGAATAAAGAACACAAAAATAAATCCACATATTTGCAGCCAACTGATTTTCAACAAACGTGCAGAAAACACTGTGGGGAAAGGACATCTCTTCAAAGTTTTGTTGGCTAAACTGGATATTCACACGTGGAAGAATGAAACTAGACTCCTATCTCCCACCATATAAAAAATAAACTGCAAATTGATTAAAGGTTTACATGTAAGACCAGAAACTATGAAACTACTAGAAGAAAACACAGGAGAGGCCGGCGCGGTGGCTCACTCCTGTAATCCCAGCACTTTGGGAGGCCGAGGCAGGCGGATCACAAGGTCAGGAGATCAAGACCATCCTGGCCAACATGGTGAAACCCCGTCTCTACTAAAAATACAAAAAATTAGCCGGGTGTGGTGGCAGGCGCCTGTAGTCCCAGTTACTTGGGAGGCTGAGGCAGGAGAATGGCGTGAACCCAGGAGACAGAGCTTGCAGTGAGCTGAGATTGCGCCATTGCACTAGAGCCTGGGAGACAGCAAGACACAGTCTCAAAAAAAAAAAAAAAAAAAGAAAACATAGGAGAGAAATACTTCATCAAATTATACTGGGCAAGAAGTTTTTGAATAAGACCTCAAAAAGGACAGGCAACAAATCCAAAAAACAGACAAATAGGATTACACCAAACTATAAAGCTATGGTACAGCAAAGGAAACATTCAGTAAAGTGAAGAGGTGACCAACAGAATGGGAGAAAATGTTTGCAACCTACGCGAAGGAGGAGGGGTTAACATTCATAATATGTAAAGAACTCAAGCAACTCAATAGCAGAAACAAATCCAATTTTACAATGGGCAAAATACTTAAACAGCTCTCAAAAAAAAGACACACATGGCCAACAAATATATGAAAAAATGTTCAACATCACAGATCATCAGATAAATGCAAATCAAACTCACAATGAGTATCATTTCACTTTAGTTAGAATGGCTATTATTAAAAAAAAAAACATGCTGGCAAAGATGCAGAGAAAAGAAGTCTCCTTTAAGCTGTTTATGAGTAGGCAAATTAGAATAGCCATTATAGAAAACATTATGGTGGTTCCTCAAAAAATTAAAAATCAAACTTCCATATGATCCAGCAATCCCATTGCTGGGTATCCATAGGAAATAAAATCAGTATGTCATGGGTGTCAAACTGCACACCCATGTTTACTGCAGTGCTATTGGTAATAGTCAAGATATGGAATCAACCTAAATGTCCATCTTGAATAAAGAAAATGTGGTATATATACACAATGGAATACTATTCAGCCATTAAACAAAATGAGATCTTGTCATATGCAGCAACACGAAGCTGGAGGATATTATAAGTGAAATTCTATAATGTTTCTTACAAAGGAAAAAAAAAGCAGCAAACATTCTTTGGTAAAAGTCTGAAGAAAGGTGATTTTACTAATGATAGACCAAAAGCAATCTAATGACATACCTATAAGCTGGGGCTTTATTTAAAAGATTGTGAAGAGACATTTTAGAATATTGATAGCTAGAAATAGTACACAGATGTCATAAAAAGCTGATTCTGATTTCTGTTCTTTATTTGAAACAGAAACACGGTTAATATATTGTAAAAAGGTCAATAATAAAATATTCTTGTTGAATCAATAAACATTTCATGCTATGAATGAGTAAAAAAAAATCATTTTTTTCTCTACCTGAACCCAACTAGTCATTTTTTTTTTCTGAGAAGTAGACTTCGGGAAAATAGAAGAAAAGTTTCATAGCCAGCATTTGTTTATAAATAAGCAATCTATATACAGGAAACTCTGAGTAGCTATACAAAATATGGAAATATCTAAATAATTCAGAAAAACAACTTAATATCATTTTAAAAATTTCAGTCCAAAACCACATTCTTCTCTATACTGTATATCCTGTTTGCCCACAAAAATGAAAATAATTTCTTAATGTCCTTCTTTTATGCATAGATAACACAGATAAAACTGTCATATGTAATACTTCATGTGAAGCTTTCTGGCTAAGCCACAAAATACATGAAAATTTTCAAATATCATTTTATATATAAAAAGATCTTTATGTTCTCAAATTTCCTTATAGAGACAAATGATAACTGACATTACCATGCTGCTGGGAAAAGCTAAAGCTGTAACGGGTAAGAAATCCTGTTTGAATTAAAGATGATAGGTTACAAAATTTTTATTAAGCTCATATTTCATCTATATTAAGAAAAGAAGATTAATGTCAGATTACAGATCCTGAATGAAACTATTCTAATTAAGTGCAAAATAAGATTAAAATGGATAATAAATAACATTTACCCTGGCCTTTCCTAATCTATGTTGCCCAAAGTATCTGTTTTATACATGTCTTTCTACTTTAATTCACCCAAATAAAAGTTGTATAAAATAAATATGAATTGAAAGGCAGGTTATACTGACTTTTTTTGTTTAACACTGAATTACAGTTGTGCAACCAATGGCAGTTGTGAAGGAAAGAACAAAATGTATGCAATGAAAAGCAGAAGATGCAATGAAATGTTATTTTTCAATATAAGAATGAATGGTAATCCTTATCACCAAACACCAGAAAAGAGCGAGCCATTACCCCTTATTCTTATTGTGTCCTTTATTTTTGTTATTTCTAAATCTCAGGTTATTATAAGCATAATTATAATTCTTTTTTTCTTCAAGGGGATATGTGTTTTGCTATCTATATAATATACATTGTAACTGAAAAAATACTGCAACACATTTTCTCGTGTTCTAATCAATAAATTTACTTCAGCACCTTTCATATGTGTTGAAAAGCCACTGATCTAACATCATGGCTTATGTAGCCACTGTATTTGCTTCTCCTTCACCCTTCTTTGTTCACTTAGAGGATAATGCTGTTATTTTTTCTGGGTGGCAAAGACACTCCGGATTTGGGGGTCTTTCCTCATGAGAATGCTGCACAATGTTTAAAATGTTCATTGCTGCTTCCTTCTTTAACAGCACTATTTCTTGAAACCATATCACTTGATTTTACTAAACAAAATTATAGAAATTCTTGAATTTAATATATATGTAGTTGAAAGTTTTTGATGATATTCTAAAATATTCTTCCAATCAGACACACTGCATTCTGCTCACTGTGCCAACTAGGTATTCATATATTTAGGCCAGGTATGAAAGTATAATTGATGAGTTTTACTTTTTAAAATTATACATATGTGCATTCATATTTGTGTGCGTATTTGTAAAAAAATCTCTTTATATATATATATGTATACATACATATATAGAGAGAGAAAAAGTAACTATAGAGAAATATTTCTCTCTATATATATATCTTTATATATTTACTATATATAGAGAGAGAGAGAGTAGTAAATTCCCATACTTTTATGTTGCTTTGGCATTCATTTTTAAATAGAAGTTTAATTTTCTTATATCAAAAGCAGGACAGAGCCACCCTTGACATTTTCCAGTTCCAGTTCTCCACCTTCTCATAGTTTCTCCATGTACTTAACCCAGATATATGCCTTATACCACCTGCTTATGACCCAGCTGGATGCTAACTACTTGACTTGTCCCACTGGCCCCCACAGCTGGTTTGGACTGCACAGATATGACACAGTGACCATGTCTCAGTCACAGTTTGACTCTTACCTCCAGGGAACTGGTGCCTACTTGTCCTAACCCACTAATTAGAATTTCCTGTGGAAAACCTGCTTGGATAATGCCCTAGACCCTAATAATGTCTTTAGTCCATAGGTTCATTGCTCCATTTCTCTCTCCTCATCTCCACCAACTGATTAAGTATGCATATCCTAAATGGCTCCTCCTTTTCCATTGGTACTGCAAGGTGTGCTGCCCTCTTCTATGTAGGACCCGTAATAAACTGCCTTTCTAATTCATGCTTTTGCTGAGTTGCTTTCTCTGTGTCTGGCCTGACCCAGATACCTAAACCTAGCTTGTTTTCCTATCAGGGGTCTATCCTAGAGTGTGGCTATCTTGGTAGCAATAAACTGGACATAGTTCAAACAAGAGACACAAGGGCATCTGCAAGTATAAAAAAGTGTTCTGTGAGAGAACTACCTGGTAACAAGCTGGACACTTAGGCATTAGGCTGTCAGACAGGATAGAGACAGCACATCGTAAACTACTATGACCAAATCCCTGGAGCCCTATAAGGTCAAGACTAAAGTTTTTGTAGAGTTTATAGCTACTCTCCTGAGACAGACAACAAAACAAAATTAAAGTACTATATATATATACACTCATATATACACACACATATATGTGTATATATGGTATTTTATGATATGTATATGAAACAGTACTCATGGTATTAGCACTGGACCTGAAAAGGAGGAAGTTTCACATATCCTATATGCCTTATTAAGATATGTATGAGAGGGTGGGAGAAACACCTCATGGATGTTTGGTAGCCAAAAACATCAGTTAAATCCTTAAGGTCTGAGACATGTTGCAGTATGTCTTCTGAAGTGAGAGACACCTCGCTTGACCTCTTAAGATATTATTGGTTACAAATAATCTATTAGGGAAAGCTATAACTCTTTTTTGCATCTCATATATACATATATATACACACACATGCATACATATACGCATATATACATATACACACGTATATACATATACACACGTGTGTGTATATATACGTATATACACACATTTATATATACATGTGTGTGTATATATATATATATATATATATTTTTTTTTTTTAATATGAATTCTTACTCTGTCACCCAGGCTGGAGTGAAGTGTCGTGATCTCGGCTCACTCCAACCTCTGCCTCCCGGGTTCAAGTGATTCTCTTCCCTCCTCCCTAGTAGCTGGGATTACAGGTACGTGCCACCACGCCTGGCTACTTTTTGTATTTTTAGTAGAGACAGAGTTTCACCACGTTGGCCAGGCCAGTCTCGAATTCCTGGCCTCAGATGATCCATCCCCTTCGGCCTCCCAAAGTACTGGGATTACAGGTGTGTGCCACCATGCCCGGCCTCATATATTTATTGACTTACCTTGTCACTATGTTCTCATTACAAGAGGTCCAGCCCCATGCCTCCTCTCCAAAAATTTCCTATTCATTTCTCATTCTTGTTCCCATTTTTCCTTTCACATGAAGCATATAATACCAGTTGTATAATCTGATACTAGTTGTATCACCTGAAATTCTTCTCACTGTGAAGATTTCACTTTCCACTGTTGTGCAGAGCCACCTGTTAGTGGTGCAGCCATCCAGTTCTGTGAAAGATGGCATACGGTGAAAGATGGCATCCTTAAACAAAGGCTATTTGTTTTTCTACCATTAACTGGTCAGAGGCCATAGGTCCCCTTGACAGAGAAGTAGCAAACCAAACTTCTGCAATTAACTTGGGTCTTTTGGACCAGTTTTAGCCTGCTATTTATGTGTAATTTTTATACTATAATAAACTTCCGTTATGCACATCCCATTTTATTGTCTAGTGAGTTACACAAACCCAATTCACAACGGGCATTTTAGGTTGCACAGTTACTTGGTGCCCCATTGTCAGTCATTCAGATTTACTAGGGCCCAGGAGCAAGTCAGGAGATGTTTTTCTCCCACGTTAGTAGTCGGCAACAAATGGATTGGCCTTGCCCTGAAATCAAGAGCTCTATGTAGCATTTCTCTACTGAGGTTACCATAGGTAGAAAGTTTCTGTCTGCCCCAGGCATTTGACTGCCTATGTCTGATAGAAAGATAGTTCCAATTGATTGTGCAGCATGTACCATAGATCTGAGTCTCTTTTAAAATGAACAGCCTTACAAGTTGCCAAGTAAATGACTGAAGCAGCTTTCCCTAATAGATTATTTGTAACCAACAATATCTTAAGAGGTCAAGTGAGGTGTCTCTCACTTCAGAAGACATATTGCAACATGTCTCAGACCTTAAGGATTTAACTGATGTTTTTGGCTACCAAACATCTATGAGGTGTTTCTCCCACCCTCTCATACATATCTTAATAAGGCATATAGGATATGTGAAACTTCCTCCTTTTCAGGTCCACTTATCATGATGTAATGCGTCAGATTAGTGCTGTGCAGTACGTGAAGCCAGTCAAGGTCTCTGGACTATATTGTGACAGATACACAAAGAGTGTTATAGTCTAGTCTGAGAATAAATTTATCCTGTGGTCACATCAAGAGTAAACAAACTCCTAATATTCTTTTCTGATTTCATTCGCTGATTGAAGATGGAAATATATAATGATTTTTCAGGTCAAAAGCTTATACCAGGGCTAGATATTATGCCCATTATTCTATTAAATATATATACCTGGAATCACAGCTGCAGTTACTGTGTGGAATTGCTTTTGGTTTATATAATAGAAACATATTTGAAATGTGTGAGAGTTACAATGGTTTCCATTTGCCCTTCTTATCATAAAATACCGTCTATGGGTGAATCTAATATCTAGAGATTGTGCTTGTAATAATAATAAATATGTCAATACACTTTATATTTTGGTGCTGGTCAAAGAACCAAAACCATAGCTATAATCTCCCTGGATCAATATGAGATCAATTAGAGCCAATGCTCTACCCATTACCTGAACTTCTTTAAACTTCTTTTTGAGATTAAACCACAACAGTGAATTAATTCCCCAAGGATTACCTTTAGTTCAGAGCCCAAATCAAACAACTCACAGAAATGCTGAGAATTTTTATTTTCTAAGGGCAAATTCATGCTAACAAGTGGCTACTAATACTATTGAGGATGAATTGCAGAACGATTCACTGGTGTACACTTGGTGATTCATAGCAGTGTTCTGTTTCAAAGGGATAGTCTTGGGTTAAACATTGTGAATCTCCACTACAGTGTGCTACCTTTAAGTAGGTTTTTTTTTTTTTTTTTCCCATAAGAAGTAGAAGTTTGCTACCTGTAAGTATCAAATAAACACACCTTAACAGGCTGTTCCCCTAGTTCATTTTTAAAGGTTCTGTAATCAAATAAACCACAGATTCTTGCATGTCAAAACTCTGATTACAATTTATATGGTAATTGTTCTTACCTTGTCTCTGAATATAAATTGTGTCTACCTGGCTTCTACTGTTCTGTGATCCCATTATCCTCACTAAGATAAGGAAACACAATTTCACTGCAGCATACTCATCACTATTGTTACCCCAGGCAGGACATTTACTTTAGAATTTTTCAAGGCTAATTACATGCTCACCAATCAATATCTTAAGATGTGACAGCTTTACATATCTAGATAGGAATGAAGACTTTGAGTCAAAAAACCTGTGCTTTCAGTAGTGAGCTACCAATCAACTAATTAGAATTATCACTTGCTGTTCATTTCTTGGTTAAGAAAAATTTATGGCATTACGAAAGAATCAGTGGGCTCAGCCCAATCAACAATGACATGGTGTATGTCTGTGAGTAGGAGGGAGTTTGGAACAGGTGTTACCATTTACCTGAGAATACAGACTGACAAGGGAATCTTGCTTCTATTTTCTAAGGCTCTGAGATTGGCACTTAAAGTTATATGTATTATTGGCATTGCCCAAGTAAGTCCTGACATAATCATACTACACATAAATTAGTAACATTGAAAATGTTACAAGATCTATTCTTAATTGGGCAGCACTTCTTTTAGGACAAATTTAGGGAATGAAGTTTTCTACTTGTGAATGATGATGAATCTCCCGAACAATATATATTTTGATGAAAGTTTTTCTTAAAAGTATTACATGTTTCCTTGTGTCCTTACATAGTCTATTGAGCATAACCCAAATGTTTCTTCATGGTTCAGAGTGACAATAAATACCGATAGAATGACTACTGAAATCCATAGCAGTTGTTCTCAAGTATGAGCCTCAGACCAGCAGCATCAGCAACTGGGAAATTGTTGAAATGCTATATCTTGGGCCCCACTCTTGACCAAATCACCAGAAAGCTCCAGGTGATTCCGATGCACACTACAGTAAAAGAATGTTGATCTGTAGGACTGTTTTTGCCTCTGCTTCAACATATGCATTAAGTTCAGAAACATTTAGGTTTAAAAGTAGGTCTTGCCCATTTTTAATCTTTTTGATCAAGGCAAAATTATCTAAACTACCCAATGTCCAAATTTCTCTGATGTAAACTCAACTCTAAAGAATTCTGGGGATTATATCAGTAATTCAATGTAGGTCTTAGCATGGGGCTTTACACACAGCCGCAATTTAATGAATGGCTGGGATGTTACTTTTTTTTAAGTTACAGCATATGGCTGTGTTTCATAGTTGTGTTCCCTGATAGCTGTTCTATGCAGATTTGTCCTATTTTGATCTGCATTCCAATTTAACATACAATTGTCTCATTAATGTCCTGAAGTTGCCACATTATGGGTTATAACATATATTTCCAATAAATGAAGGCCTACATTGAAATTTTTTTGGTACTTCAAGATTTTGAGTTCACTTTCAGATGACTAAGGAAGCCAGAAATCTTCACAATGAACCAATTTTATAAAAATATTGATTTCACATAGAATATTCAATTTTAGATAGAATATTCAGTTGTATAATTCTCTCTGGTCTAGGTTAAGCATATTGGAAAAAATAACATGAGTTTGATTTTCAAGTATCTCACTGTAAAGAAGAAATAAATTCAAACTAAAACACATTGCAGAATTATATTTGTCCCTTTAATACATTTTTGTATTTTCAAAATACTGAGAAACTTACAAGGTTAAGTAAAGAAAAATAGTTTTTTAACAGCCAACAGTTTTAATTAGCTTTCCCTGAGGCATGCAGAGTTAGAAAAATAACTTAGCAAGCAAGTATAAAACTGATTCTTTTTCAGTGGGTGGAAATAGAAGGATGTATTAGGTCTCAATGGTAAGGAGACATTGAACTCCTTTTGAATAAAAAAATAAGACAATATTATTGATTCAATTACTTTTTATCATTTGATGAAGGGAAGAATGGCTTCCAATCAGCAATTCTAAATTTTTATATATATTAGATTTTTTATCAACTGCTCAATAATATAGAACACAACAAGTTTGTAACTTCATAATTTCATAGTTTGGGATTAAATTCAATCTTTCTTATCATATGTAAATTTAAAGTCAGCTTATTAAATGTGTAGGATTTCCAAAGATGTTTTTTAACAATGCTTTGTATTAGACCAGATATTTATAAACAAAATAAGAAAAGTATACATGGCCTTGCAAATTAATCTCACACATTTCATTTCAACTTACATTGAAATGTTAACTTGAAAAGTTTACCTGAAGTCAAGTATGTGATGCCATGTTTGCTATTTTATTTATTTTCTGGTCAACATTGCTCTTATCTTGTGTTTTGAAAAAAGGTCCAGACAAGGATCTGTGGAGAAGTGAAAATAATAAATGTGGAAATGTTGCCATTCCCACCCTCGGCTCCTTGAAAATGGCAAGACTTGATTCCTCTGCCACACAAAATTCCACAATCCAGCCTTAAAATTTGTCAACTTTCTAATCCGCTTAATAGATTAAATTACTCTTTTACAAACTAAGGCAAGTCACTTTTTTTTGCATTCCAATCTCTTTTAACTGCCTGGGAATCTTATCCCTATAAATTATTCTATCCTTATTACAGAATCAATTTTTCTTCTCCAGTGTATTCATATCAAAAAACACCAATATTTAAGTAGCCCTTTCTTGGCCTACAGTCTTATTTATCTTCCTTATAGCCATGCTCCTATAAAAGTGATTTGGTTCTTACTGATATCTTTCCTTAATTTCCCTTTCATTTCTCTACCATGGCAATCCATTGCATTTAACAGAAATCTACTGAAATTTCTTATCTTACAGTCAACGTAGGCTACATTATGCTGCAGTAACAAATAATCCCAAATACTCAATAGTTTAAAATAAAAATAGTTTAATGATCAGAGAAAGCTGGTAGAGGCCCACCCAATTCTCATCACATACTTCCAAAATGATAACAGAAGAGAACAGAGCATAGAGAATATCCTTTTGTTTTTTAAGTGTTTCAGTGCAAGAGTAAGAGTAAGATTTCTGTTTACCTTTATTGGAAAAACCAAGTGATTATTTATAAGGAAATGCTAGAGGTGAGTGATAGATTTTTTTTAAGCGGAACTTTAAATAAAAAGTAGCAAAAGAACAAAGTACTTAGTTATACAAAAGGCTCTGAGAGGTTAAGTATGTGATTCTCATATTTTCTCAATCTAAACAGGGGCCTTAAGGAAGCTTGAGGCAATTGTTCTTTAGCAATTGTTCTTTCAACGTAGAAAGACAAAATAGCAATAGGATTCCATAAGAAATGTGTCCTGTTTAATGCTATGAACCCCTATGACATATTAGGAGATGCACAAAGTGATAGGGATTTATGTAACAGCAGAAAGATTGATGGCTTGAACTTAAAGGGGGACAAGTAGCACGAAATGAGAGAAGATTCTTGATCCCCAGAAATTCTGTTGGCTGATAAATCTATTCAGCTGTAAACATCTGCTTCCTTTAATGAAAACAAAAGAAAAAAGGAAGGATGGATTCAAAAACCATAGAAAATTATGCTCATGCCTTAAAAGCTAACAGGGTTTTTACTACTGGATTTTAAAATTTCTTAAGACTAATTACTCGTTTTTTCCCTTTTATTGTCTCCCTTTTTACACCGAAAATGTCTATAGCTGTTTTCCTACACCTGTTTTGCCACTTTATTTTGGGGACAGATAAACTATTTCATTGATTTCACAGGTCATTGGACAAATTATGGTAAAAATCTATTAGACTCAGAACCTCACTCATACCTGACTGAGAGGATTTAGATGATGAAATTTGGGGTTTTTATTTTCTTTGAAATGGGGTCTGTTGTCCAGGTTGGAATGCAGTGGTGTACTCACAGCTCACTGCAGCCTCAAGCTCTCTGGGTTCAGGTGATCCTCTCACCTGAGCCTCCCGGTAACCTCAGCCTCCCAGTAATTGGGACCACAGGCATGTGCCAAAACACCTCACACCCATGTAATTTTTTTTTTGGTCTGTTTTTTTGTAAAGACAGAGTTTCGCCATGTTGCTCAGGCTTGTCTCCAACCCCTGAGCTCAAGCTATCCACCCAATTCGGCCTACCAAACTGCTGGGATTATAGGCATTAGCCATGACACCTCATGGTAGTTCTATTTTTAATGTTTTGAGGAACCTCCATGCTGTCTTCCACAGTGACATTCCCACCTACAGTGTACAAGTTTTCCCTTTCGTCCTTCCACACCTTTGGCAACACTTGTTACTTCTTGTCTTTTTGATAAGAGCCATCCTAACAGGTTTAAGTTACTATTTCTTTGTGGGTTTGGTTTCTATTTCCTTGATGATTAGTCATGTGTAAGATACCTTTTAAAAGAATCATATTAAAAAGTATTCTCTTCACATACAGGACACTGGTCACAACTAGGGTCACAGATAAGCTATCATTAATTCCCCAATACTTGGCCTCATCTACTTCTAATTTATTTTCTGTCTACCTCAGAGAAAGTATTGCTACAGTATCTGAGCTTTCTATTTTCAATTAACTAATCATTTCATATTTCTTGCTTCCCTAGAGAGGAATATGGATAAGAGAAATATTAAAAATGGTGGCAAGAGGCAGAATAATATTTCTGAGTTGACCATAAATTTATCAGCCTATAAATTAATGATTACTTATTAGAAAAACAACTTTTTATCTCTGCTATACACTGGCCTTCTGTTTTTGTAATTTACTTAGGGATCTACGGAGCTCATTTGTAGCAATGTATTTTCATAGATATGAAAATCTGTGATATTACTTCACCCAGAGAAATAAAGGTGCAGGATTATAGATTGTGATTTAATCCTCTTACTGCACACTCTCCAATGTGACTTTTTTAGGGGTATTTTCCTTTTATTATGACAGAGAATTGAAAGACAAAAGGCCAGTGGCAATGCATCACTAGTGTGAGGAAAGTCCAGTAATAAGAAAACTGTAATAAAATAAGTGTAAGAAAACCTGAGAGCCTGGCTGTATAGTAATAGAGATAAAATAAATGGGCTTGGGAAAGATAAGATTTATCTACTTTCGTAAGCAAGAAATAGACACAATTGACAAGCCAAGCTAGAAGTGTACATGGACAATTAACCTCAAATTTAACTAATAGAGAATTGGAAAAGTTTACACAAATTGAATAGAAATTACAAAGTTTGCCTTCGTTCCCTGCCAAAAGGCAAATAAAATTTGATCTAGAATGCTTTTCCTAAGAATATATGTTTTCTAATTCAAGGAACTGTAATGAGAGATCAATGGCCATGAGAAGCATGAGAATTAGTACCTACAGACCCAGTTCCTGATGAATTCCCAGCTCAAAAGAATCACCCTGATAACTTCTGTGTCCTAAACGCCTCAATCATTAGACAATACTGTATAGCAAGAATGGGGAAGGACTTCACCCTTCCTGTGGGAAGACTCAGCTGCCTTGAGCAAAAACTGCATAATAGTACCACAAATTTGCAGCCACCTAGTGGAGTTCAAATCACACTAAGAAAAATCCATTTAGTAAATTCCCAAAGTTGCAAATTGTGTGGACCCACCCGGAGTCCCACCGGGACTGGACAGCCCCCACTGGATTATACTGTGGGCATAGAGCTTATGCCAAATTACTTGACCAGTGGGCAGGTAGTTGTGTTACTGGCACTATTAAACCATCTTTCTTCCTACTGCCCGTAAAGACAGGCGAAATCCTGGGCTTCCCTGTCTATGCTTCCTGTGAAAAGAGAAGTATAGCTATAGGGAACTGGACAGATCATGAATGGCCCCCTGAGAGAAGCATACAATATTATGGGCCTGCTACTTGGGCACAAGATGGCTCGTGGGGATACCGGATCCCCATTTACATGATCAACTGAATCATACGGTTATAAGCTATCTTAGAAATAATCACTAATAAAACCAGCAGAGCCTTGACTATTCTGGCCCAGCAAGAAACTCAGATGAGAAATGCTATCCATCAAAATAGATTGGCTCTCGACTACTTGCTAGCAGCTGAAGGAGGGGTCTGTGGGAAATTTAACCATACTAATTGCTGTCTACAAATAGATGATCAAGGACAAGTAGTTGAAGACATAGTTAGAGATATGACAAAACTGGCACATTTGCCCTTGCAAGTGTGGCACGGATTTGATCCTGGGGCCATGTTTGGAAAATGGTTCCCAGTGCTAGGAGGATTTAAAACTCTTAAAATAGAAGTTATAATAGTAATAGGAACCTGCTTACTGCTCCCTTCAAATGATAAAAAGCTTCATCGCTACCTTAGTTCACCAAAATGCTTCAGCACGAGTGTACTATATGAATCACTATCGATCTGCCTTGCAAGAAGACTTGGGTAGCAAGAATGAAAGTGAGAACTCCCACTATTGAGTGAGATTCTCAAAGCGGGGGAATAAGGGAGAATACCGCCCCTCATATTGTCTTATGCTCAATTTCTGCCTCCAAAGAAAGAAGAAGTAAAAACTAAAAGGCAGAAATGAAATCCACAAGCAGACAGCCCGGCGCCACACCCTGGGCCTGGTAGTTAAAGACTGACCCCTGATCTAATCAGTTATTTGCATAAGAAAAGCACTGTGAAGATCCCTGTCCTGTTCTGTTCCATTCTAATTACTGGTGCACGCAGCACCCAGTCACGTACTCCCTGCTTGCTCAATGGATCATGACCCTCTCACGCAGACCCCCTTAGAGTTGTGAGCCCTTAAAAGGGACAGGAATTGCTCACTCAGGGAGCTCGGTTGTTGGAGACATGAGTCTTGCTGAAGCTCCTGGCCGAATAAAGCCCTTCCTTCTTTAACTCAGTGTCTGAGAGGTTTTGTCTGCTACAGGATAAGATTAAAATTTTAGAGCCCATAATACAATGTGTAGCACAAAGCAAGGACTAAAGAAATATGGGTTAATTTTGTTGTCAACGATCTAAAGTAGCTCTGTGATAGTTAATTTAGGTAACAACTTTTCTGGATTAAAGAATACCTGGATAGCTGGTAAAGCATTATTTCTGGGTATGTCTGTGAGAGTGTTTCTGGAAGATGTGTGTGTGTGTGAATCGATATATGTATATCTATCTATAGCCTATTAGTTTTGTCTCTCTGGAAAGCTAAGGCGCACTCCACCAAGGCATAGGCCCAGAAACAAGCAACAACTTCATTTCCTCTATATTATCTTGGCTAAAGCAGCCACAAAGCCCTCTCAGATTCAAGAGAGAGAGAGGAAGTAAACGCTATATCTTAATGGGAGGAATGTCTATGTCTATACTATGGAGGGAACATAGAATTCCCTCAATATTATGTTTACATGTATTTATATTACTCATATAGTTATTTTTCTTTGTTTTTATTTTGGAAATATATATCAATATACATATATTGATATATACTATGTATATACTATATATATATCAATATAGATATATAATGTATATATAGAGATCCATATATATGGAATTTTGTTATTTTCAAGCAAAGATTTCCAGGTTTTTTATATATATATAATATGCTCCAAGTTAATAATCTACCTTTTATTATAGAAATATGAGAAATTTATTTTTCCATATATACAGAGACATAAAATCTGAAAATCTTTGCTTGAAAATAACAAAATTCCAACCCAAACAAGCTAAAGCAAAAAGTGGAGTATGTTAAGACCCTTAACTAAGAAATACACAATGGAGTCTGACTCCAGGCATTGCTGCATCTCAAGGTCTCAAACTATAAAGCACTGATCTCTCATTTTCTCTCTTCATCTCGGCTCTGGTTTCCTCTCAATTGGTTCCATTCTTAGGTAAGTTCTCCAACAAGTGACAAAATTGACGTCCTCAATTATAGGTCAACCTGTCCTTAGAGCTTGTAATCTCAAAAATGAAGTATAATTTCCCCCAGGCATTCATATGAATCCTGGGGAAACAAGCAAACAAACAAAAAACAAAACTCTGCTATAGCTTGAATTTTGTACTATCTCTGGAGAATGGAACCGATTGACTGAAAATAAATAAATAAATAAATAAAATTTGGAATGAACGAAGTTTACTCACCAAAAAAGAGGGCAGACCAAAAGGAAGAAATATTCTCTACAATATTAAAAGGAGAAAAATAAACATACAATAGATTCTTAACCTTTGGGAAAACAAGTGATTAGCTATGCTAGGTGAGGTGTTGGGAATGAAGGAAAAGAAGAATGTTTATTAGAATAAACATTCTAATTTATTATTACATATTTCTATTTTTAAAATTGTTTTACAGTATATGGGTACTAATATATTACTGTTATCATACATATATGAATATAAAAACTATAAGAGTAGATGCACATCTGAAAAAAAAATATTGAATTTTCCTAGACGGGAAAGATATATCCTTCTTTCATTCCTTTTCTTAAAACATTTATTTTGGAAAACCTGTAATTGTAAATGCTTTCTCTGCCCCTTTGAGATGTATGTAAATCTATTTAAAAGCTAAGTAGGCCTCCTGCCAGGTTTACAATCCAGGAATCTTTTCATCAAAGACCTGGGAACCAGCTCTTTGAAATGCAATCATCAAGAAAGACAATGCCTCCATCTTCAAGCCTCCCTGGGAGGGTAAGATTCTACCTTGAGCTGGTGCCTTGCTCCAAGTTGGTAATCTACCTTCCATTACAGAAATATCAGAAATTTATTTTTCCTTTAGATAAAGACAATTAGCAAAAATAGGTGGCTATCCCAACTACCAGGTGAATTTAGGATGAGCTATGTTTGACAAATTTTGCTATCAATTTCTCTTACTTGTGTACTAGTTATCGTTTGAGAACACATATGATGAAGAGGTGATTTTTTGACTATATGAACGAATGAGATGTCTTTCTATTTTTGCAAATTCTTTAGCAGATTGCCTGTGTTGTGCATCACATGCTGATTTAATACCTATTGAATTAATTAAAACACAAACTTCTCTTTTATTTGTGGAGTGATTTTCTCTGTTAGCAAAAGATTTTGTTTTTAATTATATTTCCCCAACAGAACATTACTAAGAAAGTAAGCTAAAAAGGGTGTGAGAGATTTTAGAATGCAAAAGAGCACTGTCCAGTAGAATCATAATGCTGGTGTCACTTATAATTTTAAATTTTCTAGTAGCCATAGTAAAAAGTAAAAGAAAAATATTTTGAAATTTGATCTGTATTTTACACTTAAACTACTTCTCAAATCAAATGTTTCTTTGAAAATACTTGATCTGTATTTGGATTTTTTTAACATGTATAATTGAAAAAGTAGACTCATATAATCAAGTTGTTCCAAACATACTTAAAAATTATTCAGTAACTCAATGATTAGTTTAAAAATTAAATTTTAAAGATTAGCACTTCAGTTACAGTAGCACATGCTCAATATTCAATTGTGGCTGGCTAGTCACTATTATATTGAACAGCATAGATTCAAAATGTCAACAAATGGTATCAGCAAAAGGAGACAGTATAAACATCAGAGTCCATGACATAGTCGATCAACAGTACTACGAGACTATAGAAAAGCATGATCAGCAGTTCTGGAATTGTCATTAGTTATTAATCTAATAACTGACCAGTTTTGAACTGTGAATGAAAAGAGACAGAACCTAAAGTGTTGCAGAGGAGGAACATGGAAATGCTTTCTAGAAGACCTTAAATGAGATTTTGGAGCACATATAAGGTGCCCTCTTGGGATTCATATCACTAATTTGGGGAAAATTAGTAGGGTCTCTGAGGAGAATTCTGAAGGTGCTTTAGAACCAGAGCTTCTATGAAATGTTCTTTTTCTGTCTCTTTGTATTCAAAGCAGTGCAGTGTAATGACACTAATGTTAAAGAAACATTTCTTTGAGTGAGACCTAGTAGAAACTGTGGGGGCGTCTAAACCAAGAAAATAATATATGCACTTACATCTGATCTTTCAAATAAATGTTAACATTAATAGTCTTGTGACGAGCTTACCATTTGCTTTTCTGAAAACAATTATTACCTGGAATATGTAAAATTTTTTAAAAAGTACTGCAATAAAGAGTTTGGAAAAATGATGTAGTTTAAAATGTACAGCAGTTTATAAGTATAACACATAGAATAAACTACTAAGAAATAACTTCACAGTGCCTGTATTCCGATTACATGAATTTGGGAAAATCGGCATACATTAAGCTCAAAAGATTATGCTCAAAAGAGTTATCTACGGTTTTCTATTCATGGAAGAGAGACATTTACCTCTGTGTCTCATCAATGTTCAACTTATACTGATTTAAACTTGATAAAATAAAAACTTCAGCTGAATTAAATTTAAAGGAGTTTAACTGAGTAATGGAACCACTGGCGCATTGGGCAGGCCGCAGAATCACAGCAGATTCACAGAGACTCCAGTGCAGCCACGTGGTAGAGGAAGATTTATAGACAAAACAAGTGAAATGACATACAGAAATCAGAAGTGAGGTACAGAATGGCTGTATTGGTTACAGCTCGGCATTTGCCTTATTGGAATGGAGTTTGAACACTCAGCGGTGTATGAATTGTTGAAGTCTGGCCAATGGGATTGGCCAAGACTTAGTTATTGTTACAGGTGCATACTCCCATATTAGGTTTTCAATCTTGTCTACCTATTAAGCTGGTTGCAGTTCCTCCACAAGGACTCAAATATAAAAGTATGGAGTCCTTCTCAGGCCATATTTAGTTTGTTTTAACAAATGCAAGCATCAGTCAAGATACTTTCTTAGGCTTTGTGACCTCAGTTGATCTTCAAGACAACACATACGAACAAAAGTATTCTGAGATACATATGTCAAACTGAGGATAATATTCAGGAGATTGTGTTAGCAAGCACCCTATCTACATCCACGGAGCACAGAATATTTCTCTAGCTGCAGCCCCACTTTGCCTTCAGCATCTGAGACTCTGCCTGAGGGCCCTCTGTTGACGAGAACCTACTCTGCTCCCACATGCCAGATTGTAAATGCCTGGGAAATAGGTGCCCTGGGAATAGACCTGAACCTCACACCTCATACAAAATAACTCTGAGGCATATATTCTATAATGACTCACTGATTTCCAAAGAGGGGTTAAGTTCCAGGTACCAACAGTATAAATTTGCTTGGGAATACATCTTTTGTTGCCTTTCTTCTCTGTCCTTCTCATCGTCCCAATCCTCTACCAGTGTTCATCAATAAACAACTTGTTTCCGGAATGTTTTCTCACAGTCTGTTTCAGGAGGAACACAAACTAAGGCAGAGACACATTCAAAGATCTGAAAAGCTAAAGATTACATTTCTCTGGTCAATAAACTGTCTTTTATCAAATCCTAAAAAAATAAGGATCCATGACAAAAATAAAACTAGGCACTTAGTTAAGCAAAATGTTGGATTTTGTTTAAAAATATCAGGTTACAGTTATTGTTCCTGTGTTTAATTGTTCATTCAAAGTAAAGGCCTTTAAAAACTTTCTATATGAATTTATCAGGCGATAATTGATATCTCATATGCATACTGCAAATGATATTTGGCTATTTTAAATAATCAGAAATATATATGTGTTCCACGTGATTACAGTGGGAAATATTTTTAACTCAATAAATCAAATTTATTTCTTTTGTTTAGAATAAAAACTATTATGACCAGAACAAGGTCTAAAGGGAGAAAATAAAAAGTTATTAAACTGTGTATATTATTATTTATTTTCCTTTTCTCAAAAAATATGTAAAAACACTATACAACAGTATTTTTGCTTGATATATGAGATACCACAGTTTAAAATAAAAGCAAACTAATGCTTTTGGGATATTTATATTATAATGAATGCAAAAGGTAATTCCTAAGAAAACAATTGTGCCTATAATATTTCATAAGAAGTGTTAAAAGGTATAAGAATTCATTGGAGGTTTGTAAGCAGGAATGGTAAATCTATGCTTAGTTTCCAATTTAAAAAGACCCACACCATGAGTCACAGAGATCATGAAATTTTAGAACACTAAACACAAAGAACATAATAGTCTTTAAACAGAAAAATTATTTGAAGTTCTACAGTCAAAAATCAGGAGCATTGGAAATTATAATCAAAATATCTAGAAAACAGTGATTTAAAATTTGAGAAACTAATAATTGAATGTGATGTATATTAAACTAAACTGCAACTAAAACATTTGCATAGATGTTTTGATTAATTTCTTAAGAAAACAGTATTGCCTATTCACTTGTTCTCGAGTATCTCTGGAAGATTTGTTCCATCCAAATGAAAGGAGATAGGAGATCTAGGAAACAAGGGCTGTAACTCCAGCAAAAGAAGAAAATTCTATATATACATACATGCAGAGAGAGAGAGAGAGAATTCTGTAGGTGATGATAAATTGGTAAGAATGTATGATAGATAGAAGAAGTAGACTTTTGGATTAAAGCCTTCAATTTAGAGTACAACTATTTAGATAGCTCTCAAACTGTACCAGAGTACTGACTCAGGATTTCCAGGATTCTATTTTTTTTTTTTTTTTTTTTTTGAGATGGAGTTTAGCTCTCGTTGCCCAGGATGGAGTGCAATGGCGTGATCTGGGCTCACTGCAACCTCTGCCTCCTGCTTCAAGCGATTCTCCTGCCTCAGCCTCCTGAGTATCTGGGATTACAGGCATGCACTACCACACACGGCTAATTTTATATTTTTAGTAGAGACAGGGTTTACCATGTCAGGCTGGTCTCGAACTTCTGACCTCAGGCTATCTGCCTGCCTCGACCTCCCAAAGTGCTGAGATTATAGGCATGAGCAACCGTGCCTGGTCTTTCCAGGATTCTTAACGAGTAACTTCATTAAATTGGATTCAAGTAGCATTAATTACATAGACTAAAATAAATGATAATATAATACTAATTGTGTTATTAGTATTTAGCTTAATGTATATTTTTCCAAAAGTATACTTTTCTAAATATTTTAAGTGAATGTTATATACAAATGCTAAAAGTTGGCATAACAATTATTTAACCCATCAAAATAAATTGGTTTCAGGTGTGTGTATGTATATATATGAGTGTGTGTGTGCGAGTGTGTGTAATGATTTTCTCAAATTCAAACATATATATCCATATTATCTGTATATATGTAAAAATATGTGTTGTTTTTATAAATATACACAAATCACCTATACATGCTGCATCTAAACACAGAAACACACAAATTGTACAGACTTGTCCCAACAACCATCAATGGGGAGACATATAAGAACAGATTCTTCATGAACTTATGCAAAAACTTACTTTAACGTATAAAGTGAAATGAATTTAAAGTATTTGTTACAGAATTTTAAGGGATCAGTGAGAATACTTTACCATGTAAAGGATATTTCATTGCATTTTGAATAAGTGTAATCTATTAAACTCAGATTTAAAGATAAGTCAAGAAAACTCAACAAAGGCTTACCATATGTACAAAATTGAATAGTTTAAAATGCAACACAGTATTGCAAAAACAACCTATCAGGCAATACGCTTTATTACCTGGATGATGGTATTATTTGTACATGAAACCTCAGCAATGCTCAACTTACCCATGAAACAAACCTGCAGATATACCCATTGAACCTAAAATAAAAGTCAAAAAAACAAAAAATAAAAAATACAATGTAAGCATCAATAAAAGAGAAAAAAAATCCAAATCAAAAATATTACAAAAGAAATAAGCATAGTAGTATTACATTATCATTTCATTTAGTCTTATGTAATAATTTATGCCTAGTGTTCCATTATTGGCACATTAAGCATGTGAGTGTTATTTATATCCTACTGCTCAAGGTCATCGCCAAGGTCTGATTACAAAAATTCAAAAAATTGCAACCTCAGGCATAAATGGGTTAGTGCTACTTGAAATCCAAATTCATGAAGTTATTCATAAAGAATCCTGGAAATCCTGAGTCAGTACTGTGGTACAGTCTGAGAGTTATCTAAGTAGTGGTGCTCTAAACTCCAAGGTTTTGACCCAAGAACCTTCTTCTTGAACTATCAATAGTTAAAAATATGTGGTGCAGTCCCTCTGAGAGTGTTCCTTTTGTAGAAGATGTAATTTTTAGCTGAAAGCTTATAGCTGAGCTTTCAAGCTAATATAAGAAAAAAATCAGAAACCAACTGCTAATGATGTTTTAATAATTCTGATTAATTTACTACATTAATCAGCAATATCAAATGAAGAAACGTAAAAAGACATTTCAGGATATGTTTTATGAGGATTTGATCAATATTTATCACGAGTGCAAGAACAAACTAAGAGAGCAAGATAATACCTAGTAGTTTTGATTTGCATTTTCCTGATGACTAGTGATGTTGCTCTTTTATATATATATTATAATATATAATATATATTATATATATATTATATATATAATATCTATATATAATATATATAATATATATAATAATATATATTATATATATATAATATATATAATATATATATTATATATATATAATATATATAATATATAGATATTATATATATATATCTGTTGGTCGTTTGTATGTCTTCTTTAGAGAACTGTCTATTCATATCTTTTGCCATTTTTAGACAGATTTTTTTTTGAGATAAAATTTTTTGAGTTACTTCTATATTCCGGTTTTTAACACCTTGTCAGTTGCATAGTTTGCAAATACATTCTCCCATTCTGTGGGCTTGTCTCTTCACATTATTGATTGTTCCTTTCGCTGTGCAGACACCTTTTGGTTTGATATAATCCCACTTGTCTATTTTTGCTTTTGTTGTCTGTGCTTTTAAGGTCTTAATCAAAAAATCTTTGACCAGTTCAATTTCATGAAGTGTTTCCCCTTTTTCTCAAAAAATTAAAAATAAAACTACCATATGACACAGCAATCCTATTACTGTGTAAATAAAGAAATAATATCAGTATGTTAAATAGCTATCTTTGCACCCATGTTTATTGCAGTATCCACAAGAGCCAAGGTATATAATCAACCTGAAAGCCCATCCAATAATGAATGCATAAAGAAAATGTTATACACACACACACACACACACACACACACACACACACAACCTGAGAGAGAGAGGAATGCTATTCAACCATACAACACAATGAAATTCTGTCATTTGCAGCAACATAGATGAACCTGGAGGACATTATGTTAAGAAAAATAAGTCAGGTGCAGGAAGACAAATAACGCATCATCTCACTCTTATGTGAAAATTTTTAAAAGTTGATTTCATAGAAGTAGAGCGTAGATTAGTGGTTGCTAGAGGCTGGGGTGGAGAGGCAGGAAGGTGCTCTGGGAGACCTTGGTCAATGAGTACAATCTTACAATTATACAAAAACAATAAGTTTTGATGTTCTATTACCACTGTGGGTTGACTACAGTAAATAATAATGTATTGTGTATTTCAAGATAGCTAGAAGAGAGAATTTTGAATGTGGTCACCACAAAGAAATCATAAATGTTTAAAGTGACTGGTATGGTATTTACCCTCATTTGATAATTATACTATATATACATGCATTAAAACATCACATGGTTCCCTAAAAATATATACAATTATTATGTGTCTATTATAAATACAATTTTTAAAAGAGAGCAAGGGCATTGATACCCCTTGTGAAATGTTCAGTCCTTCCTGTAACAAATTTATATAATAATATTTTACTTGTATTAACTAACCTAGAGAAAGCTGAGATTCATTTTTGCTTTTACAACTGTTCCCATACAGCTTTAATTATTTCTTGAGCTTAGGCATAAATATAAAACATACCAATGAAATTTAACTGGTCAGGTGCGGTGGCTCACGCCTGTAATCCCAGCACTTTGGAAGTCCAAGGCGGGGGGCGGATCATGAGGTCAAGAGATCGAGACCATCCTGGCCAACATGGTGAAACCCCATCGCTATTAAAAATACAAAAAATCAGCTGGGTGTGGTGGCCTGTGCCTGTAGTCCCAGCTACACGGGAAGCTGAGGCAAGGGATCACTTGAACCCTGGAGGTGGAGGTTGCAGTGAGCCGAGATCGTGCCACTGCACTACAGACTGGCAACAGAGCAAGACTCCATCAAAAAAAAAAAAAAGTAGATGTTTTCAGTTTAAGATTTAGTAGAATTTAACCACTTAATTTATGTTTTTGATTACTTTCCTTTTTTAATATAAAAAGTAAGAGACTAGAAAAATGGTCAATAATTACAGACACTTTTGGGGAAGTTTAATTATGAATGAATATAGACAAATAATATGAAGCTAGGGGGATGTACTGTTCAAATTTATTTTTCCTTTGTTTTCATTTAAAAATAGAAGATGTTACAACATGAGTTTGTTAAGAAAATTACTGCACAGTGTATTATTCGGCTAGAGCTGCTGCCCACAGCAGTAAGAACAAAATAAGGTGATAAAGAGGGAAAAAGGAACATTGGAAGGGGCGAAAATTTGAGTATGTGGAGGAGAAAAGTTTCAGTGTACAAGGTGGATTGGCCTCCATGGTGGGAATAATTCATTTTCATTAGAGGAGAAAAGGAAAAATTTATGAGGCCAAGTCATACAGAGTTTGTGTCAGAAAAACACTAAGTTCTCTTTGGACGATGGTAATTTCTCAGCAAATCATAAAATGTGATCATTTGAGGGAATTGAGGAGAATGAAAGAGATGTTGGAGAAGGGAGTTGGAGAAAGGCAAAAGGGTGAGATAATTTCTTAGACAATAGGAGAGTTTTTAATTAAATTGACTAAGGAATACAAGTGGATTTCCTGAGGGCTGACAGCTGAAGGCCTACTTAATATCTGTGGTCATAAATTTAGAGTGAGACCGTTTTGATTCAGCACATAGGGTGCAGAAAAAGAGAATAATTGAATTCAAAGAGAATTGAGTATTTTCCAGATAAATGTGATAGACTGAGAGAAAGAGAAAGGTAAATCAGTAGAAGGTATGTTTAAGCAAATGAAGTGAGTGACACAGATGGGTCAGATAACTGTTTAGAAGGTAGAGTAAGCAGTATATTAGAATAAGCAAGAGGAAAATATAAGAAGTAGTGATCAGATTATGGTTTTACACTTATTTCCATTTTCTGCTTCAGAGAGTTTCCAAATCATCTTTTTATCCCCTTCATAGAGGAAGTAGATAAATCTTTACTTAAAAGTACTTAATCCAATTTTTAAGACTAAATGTACAATATTTAAGTCAAAAAGTTGGTGTAATCAAGAACTTGAAAACAAATGACATATTCACTGAAGAAAGGTTGAGGAGAAGAAAGAGATGGGGTGTCAAAAACAGAGAGAAAAAGAAGAAATAATGATAATACAAAGCTGAATTTGGTGAATAATAAAATAGAAATTAATAAACCAAATTCAATTGAGAATATTATAAAAACCAATGATTAATAAGGGATCAAATTGATTAATTATAATGAAATAGTTTCAATAGTATTAATAAATCAAAAATGATTTTTACTGTAACTAATTTATCATAGAAATGCTATCCTAACAGATGCTAAGTGGTAATTTTATAAACATGACATCTTTAGAGATTTAAAAAATATTGACCTAGTAACAGTTATACTAGTAATAATAGGTATAAGAAAATGAGGGGGAATGCTAGTTACAATTATAAGTTTAGATCTACATCTAGATCAATCTAATTATGCATATAATCTAGGAACACCCTAAACAGAAATCATATTACAGTATATGGCATGTGGCATTATAACACTGAAAACTGTCACCTCCAGATAACTGGTTGTTTATATGATGCTTCTGAGGCCAAAATGGGTTACAGGATGACTGTTTTTCAAAATGTGGTCATCACTCAGTCACTATTCAGTGTTCAACGTCATATTGAAGTAAGAGACTGGCATGACTTGTTCTCTAGTCACAACTCTGCTGAGAAAAACAGAAGCTAATCCAAACAGAATAAAGTGAAGAAACTGGCAAGAACCAGCAAATGGCAAAGAAAGCAATCTGTAGCTGCTGTCATTGCTCATTAGCATAAGACACTCCCACGTGGTAAATAGACAATATGCAGAATGAGAGAAAACTTTTGTAAACTATGGATATGACAGAAGTCAAATATTCAGCATCTATAAGGAAATAAAGCAAATTTACAAGAAAAAAGCAAACGACCCCATTAAAAATTGGGAAAAGGTCATGAACATACAATTCAAAGGAAGACATACATGCAGCTAACAAGCATATGAAGAAAATCTCAAACTGATCATTAGAGAAATTGCAAATTAAAACTACAGTGAGACACAATCTCACTCCAGTCAGAATAGCTATTATTAAATAGTAAAAAAATGACAGGTGCTAGTGAGGCTGCAAAGAAACAGGAAGGCTTATACACTGTTGATGGGAGTGTAAATTAGTGTAACCATTTTATGTGGAAAGCAGTGTGGCAATTACTTAAAGACTTAAAAACAGAAATAACATTCAACCCAACAATCCAATTACTGTATATATATGTCCAAAGGAATATAAATTATTCTATCATAAAGATACATGTACATGTACATTCGTTGTAGCACTATTCACAAGAGCAAAGAAATAGAATCATCCTAAATGCCCATCAGTGGTAGACTGGATAAAGAAAATGTGGTACATATTCACCTAGGAATATTATGCAGCCATAAAAAAGAACAAGATCATGTCCTTTGCAGGAACATGAATGGAACTGAAGGCTTATTACCCTTAGCAAATTTACACAGGAACAGAAAATAGAATACTGCATGTTCTCACTTGTAACTGGGAGCTAAATGATGACAACACATGAAAATGTAGAGGGGAATAACATACACTGGGGCCTACTGGAGGGTGGAGGGTGGGAGGGAGAGGATCAGGAAAAATAACTAATGGGTACTAGGCTTAATACCTGAGTTATGAAATAATCTGCACAATAAACCCCTGTGACACTGGTTTACCTGTGTAACAAACATGCACGTGTACCCTGAAGTTAAAACAGAAGTTAAAAATGAAAAAATAAAGTGGGTTTATGTGAGTATTAATACAGTTGCCAAGAGCCCATACGTTGCTGACTCTGGGCATGCTGCCTATGAGTTAGTCCTGCTTTGCAAGGAGAAATATCACTCAATAAAAGATTGCTGTGTAACTCCACTGGCTTACCCTTGAATTCTTTTCCAAGAGAAGCCAAGAGCCCTTCTTTGTAAGCCCCAGAATTGGGGCTTACATTTTCTGTATTATCTGGCAACCAATGAATAAATGAAGAAGGTAACTTAGAGGCACTGACCTACACAGCAGTGAGACAGCAGAGACAGCAGTGATCAACAGTGAGACAGCAAGACAGTGGTGGTCAGTAGAGAGAGAGGGGAAGATGGCAGAGATGGTGGTGATTGGTGGTTGGCTGGGAGGCAATGACAAGAAACTGAGAGATGGCAAAATGGCTACTGGTGAGGTGGCGAGAAGGGGCAATTGGAGAGGTGGTGTGATAGTGATCAGTGAGATGGCAACAGGCAACAGTCAGAGAGAGGCAGTGAGACTGAAATTAGCACCACAGAGTGCTAACACCAGCCAAAGGCATTTTTAAAAGACATCATCTTTCCCAATGTGCAGTGGAGCTCAGCAGACAGGCAAGTGGCCATAGTGCCACTGCAGCCTCATATGGGATCCCCCACTTTGACTATCAGGCCAGAAGGTCACAGATTCCCTCACTGGCCCCCTTGCATGGCTGCTGAGCCCCCCAGGCTGAGAGAACCTGGGAAGACCTTCGTCTGGGCCCTACATAGAAGAATGGTCAGTGCCATTTTGGCTCCCCTGGATGGGCGAGTGTCCTCTCTGCCCTCTCCTTCAAATACTGGGTGAATCAGGGAAAAAAGCCTCCAGCTAGGTGGTCAGTTTAAAGTTCCCTGTAATCTGAATACCTTGAATCACGTCCTTGTCACACCATCCCCAGTCCTTTTCCTCTGACACCATTTATTACTCTGTCAGCCTTTAAATCTTCAGTTCTAAAATATATGTTTTATTTGCAAGGTTTGTTGTTGTTGTTTTGGCTGTCTGTTAACTGTATTTGGGCAATTTCTTAAGGCAGGACACTTGGTTATGAGAGGTCCCCCATTGTGTTGACTCGGTGTTGCTTGAGTCATGTTGTTGTGTGGCCCCAACCAAGCCTTTCAAGTTCATAGCTGGTCACTTCATAGATGCTCTGAGTTTTCAGTATTTGGTGTGGGGACCTTAGTTGGCTGATTCTTGGGTACTCTTGGGCATTTGGTATTGCTGGCTGCCCCCTGGATGCTCTGGAATTTTTGGTATTGGTGTTTTGTCTAGGACTGTGAGTTGAAGTGCTACCCTAGTGGAATCTTGGTCTTGCCTTTTCTTGTTTTCTGCCCTAAAGTTATCATTTTTCATAATGGCATTTTATTTTCTTATTGTCACTGGATTTATACTTCCTTCTAAACTTTGCTTAATAAAAATACTCATTTTATCATATTTCATTCACTGGGAAATGCTTATAATCCACTTTTGTAATACCGTGCTACCTATACTTACACCTCCTCTTCAGGAAGTGGGAATCTAGAAGGAAAAAAAAAATAGCAAGAGTCCAGTTGCTTTTCCTCTTGCTAGACTTAAGAAAATTGTATTTTCCTGTATTAACTGGAGAGCAATGAAAGGATAAAGATGGCAAGTGAGAGGCACTGACCTTCACAGCAATGAGACAGCAGAGATAG
Organism: Homo sapiens; assembly: GCF_000001405.40. Lineage (NCBI taxonomy): Eukaryota > Metazoa > Chordata > Mammalia > Primates > Hominidae > Homo > Homo sapiens. The sequence continues at coordinate 42,324,011 of NC_000014.9, read as the reverse complement.
CAGTGATCAGCAGTAAGACAGCGAGACGGTGGTGATCAGCAGAGAGGCAGGAAAATGTGCCCAGTAAAAATCCTGATGGATGTGGGGAAAATGAAAAGCATCCCAGAGGATTGTCTTCTGGGGCGTTTTTTAGGCTACTGGAACAAATTCAAATTCAGCTTAAAGAAAAAGAAACTCATTTTCTCCTGAAACATTGCTTACATCTATTACACATTAGAAAACCAAGAGATTTGTACTAAACATGTTCCTATACATTATAATGCTATTTTAAAGTAGAACTTACTCTGTATAAAGGAAGGAAAATGAAAGTCCCTATGTACAGGATTTTATGACCCTTTATTGGCTCATGTTACTTCCAGGCACCAGGAAGCCACACCTAAGGGATCACTTCCTAGCTGCTCCCCGTAGAAGGCCTATACCTTCCCCAGTCTCCTCAGTCCCACAGATCTGAAGACAGCCCTGCCAGTTTTCTAATGCAAGATTCCACCCCAGTGTCATCAGGCATCCTTCCCTCTTATACAACTAGCCTCAGCCTATACCTTCACTGACCAAGAAAGTAAGTCCAGCCAGTACCACCAGGATTGGGGCCCCATAGCCCCTAAAGTCAAACCTGTGTCTATTGCAGGAGATAGCTGATGGGAATGGGGGAACACTTAGAGTACTTGTGCCATTTTCTAGACCTGATTTGCTTTGTAAAAGGAAATATTTAGCCAGCTTTCAGCGGATCCAGAAAAGTTTATAGAGGAGTTTTTGTTAAATTGACAATGTTCTTGATTTAACTTGTCATGACTTACAATTATTGCTTCTTCTTGCTGTGCTGCTGGAAAAAAAGCAGAAGAGAAAGTGTGTGGTTAAGCCAGTCAATTATGCCAAGGCTACAAAAATAACTCAGGGAAAAGACAAAAATCCCACTCTGTTTCAAGGTCATTTGGTTGAGGAACTTAGGAAATATGCTAATGCAGATGCAGACACTCCAGGAGAGTATATATTTTATTACTCAATCTTCCCCTGACATTAGGAAGAAGCTACAAAAAGCGGCCATGGGACCTCAAACCCCTATGAGGCAACACTTAAACGTGGCCTTTAAAATTTACAACAATAGAAACAGGGCAAAGAGGTTAAAAAAAAAGGCTCAAAAGTACAAATGTTAACAATTACTTTAAGCCCCTTGCGACCTGAGGGTTACCCATCCCAAGAAAGTATCATGAAATCAACATCTGGGATGCCCAGACAAGAGCCTATGACTTGCTCAACCCTGGACAAAACCAGTCAGCTTACTGTAAGCAAGAGGGCCATTGGCAATGAGAATTTCCTAACCATCCCCAGTGAGAGGGAAAAAAAAAAGCTCTCTGTCAATACTAGAGCTAACCTTCCTTCTTCCACTGGCCCCAGTGAGCTATCTTAAGTAAGTTTGCTGAGGATCTCAAGCCCTTGACCTATCAGACAGCTTTCCTCAGTGGCAGACAGGCAGCTGCCTGAACATTTTTCTTTGGTGTCTCCACTGCTAGGTGAGCTTTCTGGCAGCTCTGTGACTCTTGAGTTCTTCTCTTGAACAACTCCATTCGCCCCTCCCTTCCTTATTTGATGGTGTGGAATCCACTCCCCTGCCTCTCCCTGTCTTCCATACCTCTTGGGACAAACAAAATTTGGCCATGTAGACAGGTCCCAATTTTGTAAATAACTTGAATCCAGTGTCTTGTATAAGTCACTTTGTGTGTTGTCTGTTGTGTCTAGCAAGCTATCAGATTGGCTTATAAATAAAAGAGTTCTCATAAATTAAACAAATAACACTAGTCTAAAATTGTTAGTTTAAAAAATGTTGTGTTTTTAAATTTTAACTTTAATATTTTCACCTTGGTAAATGACTGGTGCTTATAGGCTTTAGAATGGCTAAAGTGGCTTTAAAATGCAAGCTTTTTATAGTAAATAATCTTAAAATTGTGGTACGGGTTCTCATCTATAGAATGCCAATGTCTGGTGGGCAGTTAAGAATTTCTTACTCCTACCTTTATATAAAATGTGCCAAAGAAGATGTATGCTTTATTGGGAAATAATTGTTTTTGTCTAACTTGGAAGTTATTAAAAGACAGATTCAAAATATAAAGAAATTAGTGAGTAGAAAAGAGAGATGTGAAGAAAGTTATAGACAGAAGTTTTTTTTTGCAAAAAATTATATAAAGAGTAATTTTGCATGAAAAAGGGTCTTGTATAGTAAATTCTTGTCCTAGAATAAAATAACTGTTTTTTAAAAGATATAACACAAGGCAGAAAGTCCAAGCATTGTATAGATGGTTTGTATACGTTGTGAAGTAAATTTGTGAAAGGGAATTTATGAAAGAAGTTTTGTGTATGATTAAGCTTGCTATGATTGAAAGAAAATTGCTCCTGGTAGACTTTCTAGAAAATGGTTTACATATTAGAACCAGGTTTTCTTAAGTTATTGATTTGGTAAATTATAGGAAATTTTGCTTTCAATGCTATAATCAGTTTCTTTTAAAACTTCTTGGATATATGTCTCAGAATTCAACTGCTGTTGTGTCTTGCTGCTTTCAGCTCTTTTTGCCTTTAAGAAGGTCTGGAATGATGGCTCTCTCTTGTGGCTTTTTCATCAGCTCCTGTGAGTTTTTCTCCTCTGATGCTGAAAGTTATGGCATGATTCTAAAATGTTTTGTCGTAGAGGTCTATAGGAACAGCACTTTCCCCCAATATAGATGGTTTCTAGGTTCTTGGTTTTTATTAATGTGTAACCTTATTTTTATTTTATAGTTTTTGACTTTCATATTGCTCAAAAGGTTTTAAGGGCTAATGAACTCCTTTCCACCTCCATTTCCATCTGGCCCAGAGTGCTTAATTGGCCATAAGTCTTTTGACTCTAAGTCCCTTGGCCAAAAGAAATCCCCAAAAAACCTTAAAAACTAACTTAGGTCATGACAGGAAACAGGGCATCAGACACACTTCACTATGCTCCCCTTTGAAATTTAGGCCAAGTTCAAAATGCTCTTTCAAAAATTACATAAACAAAGTATTGTCCTTTCCCACAAGTGGAAAAATAGCTCCCCTCTTCAATTAAAATATTTAGTATTACTTAAACTTAAGAAAAAAATAAAAGATCCCTGAAGGAACAATTACCACCAAAATAAAAGGGCCCTTATCAGATATTGTTAAGTATTCCCACTGCTGTTAAACTTCAGGAAATCACTAGTTGGGTACATCTGTCCAGAATCAAACTTGTTTCTTATGAGTCCCCGCAGGCAAAAAAAGAGGACACCACAACCTACATTTATAAACCTAGAAAACTTAAGGCTGCTGTTTTGCAAATGAATACATAAATAACATGATACTTTGGGTGGGCACAGAAGCATTAATTTATCTCTTCCTTCTAATTGTAATTTTCTTGCTTAACCTCCTAGTGAAGCGTATATTTTCTGGTTCCATATAAAGATGATACTGGCACAAGGCTTCCATTCCATTCCCTCTTCTGATCCAGAAAATGAAAACATCCTGTGATTGGGCCCCTTAGATCAGGTATCTGGAGATTTTTACTCTTCCAATGCTAGGCAGGGCCTATACTCATAAAATCAACAAGAAGGAGTTACAGAAGATGGACCTCTACCCTTCTGCAGCTCCCTTAAGATTAGAGAGGAGTATCTAATCTCTGAGAGGGAAATGACAAAGGAGACTAGCAGGACTTGTTTTCTGGTCACAACCCTGCTGATTAAAACAGAATCTGGTCCAGACATGATAAAGAAACCAGCAGGAACCAGCAGATGGGGAAGAAAGCAATCTTTAGTTGCCCTCATTGCTCATTCACATAAGATACTCCCACCAGTGTCATGACAGTTTACAAATGCCATGACAATGACCCAGAAGTTGTATGTGTACAAAACACCCAGAAGTTACCAACCCTTTTCAAAGCAATGACCCAGAAGTTACTGCTCCTTTCTTAAAACATTCTAAATAACACACCCTGAAATCTGTATATAATTGAAATGGGTTAACTTGAGTATTAATATGTAGAACAAGATAAGGACATGTACAACAAAATGTTAGATGAAAATAGAATATGTAAGAAATTAAGTTAAAGATTATTTTATTTTTAATTTTTATTTTTTAAAAATAATTGTCGGGCGGATCACGAGGTCAGGAGATCGAGACCATCCTGGCTAACACGGTGAAACCCCGTCTCTACTAAAAATACAAAAAAAAATTAGCCGGGCATGGTGGCGCGCGCCTGTAGTCCCAGCTACATGGGAGGCTGAGGCAGGAGAATGGCGTGAACCCGGGAGGCGGAGCTTGCAGTGAGTCGAGATCGCGCCACTGCACTCCAGCCTGGGCGACAGAGCAAAACTCCGTCTCAAAAAAAAAAAAAAAAAAAAAAAAAAAAAAAAAATTGTGTTTACCCATTTATATATTTTCCTCTATTTTGTAAATTTTCTACAGTTCCACTAATTTCTTTGTGTAGTTGGAATAAGAAAAGTTGAAAGACTTGACTCAGAAATTATGTCTGTGGTAAGTAAATTTGCAATAAAAATTTATTTTAAGAATTATTACAGTATATGATAGATACTCTGTAAGTTATTTATAAATGTGTATTATTCAGACATGATTTGTGTTTTTGTTTTTCTTATTTTTGTTGGGAACATCCAATATTCTCCCTTCTAGCTATTTGAAAATATATAATATTTTATTGTTAACTATAGTCCTCCTGCAGGGCTATAAAACACTCAAACATATTCCTCTTAAGTAGCTGTAATTTTGTGTCCTTTAACAAATCTTTCTCTATCCCCACCCCTCCTCCATATCTTTGCAGGCCTCTAGAAACCACTGTTCTACTTTTAACTTTTATGAGATAGACTTTCTTTTAGCTTTCAACTTTAACTTTTTGTTCATGGATTACTTCACTTGATATAATGCCCTCCAGTTCCATTCATGTCACTATAAATGGCAGAATTTCATTCTTTTTTAGGCTGAATAGTATTTCATTGTGTATAGATAGTACATTTTCCTTATCCTTTTATCTGTTGTTGGGCAGTTGAGTTGATTCTATATCTTGGTTATTGAAAATAATGCTGCAATAAACATGGGGTGTAGATATCTCTTCTGTACACTGATTTCCTTTTCTTTGGTTAAATGCACAGTATTGGGATTACTAGATCATGTGGTTGTTGTGTTTATAGTTTGAGGAGCCTCCATACTGTCCTCCATAGTGGCTGTACTGGTTTACATACTAACAATGCATACAGCTTATTTTTTCTTTACATTCTTTTCATTATTTGTTATTTTTGTATTTTTGATAACAACCATACTAACTGGGGTAAGATGCCATCTTAAAATTCAAATGAAACCATGGCAAAACTAAAGGAACCAACAGAACCCTAAGCAAAAAGAACAAAGCAGGAGGCATCACAGTACTAGAATTCAAAATACACTACAAACCTATAGTAAGCAAAACAACACAGTGTTGACATAAGCATATATATATATGGGCCAATAGAATAGAATAGAGAACCCGGAAATTAATCTACATATTTGCAGTCAGCTGATTTTTCACTGAGGTGCCAAGAATACTTATTGGAGAAATTTTCTCAGTACTTTTCATAAATAGTGCTGAGAAAACTGGATTTCCAAATACAGAAGAATGAAATTAGACCCTCCTACTCTCACCAGATACAATAATCACCTCAAAATGAGTTAAAGACCTAAATGTCAGATCTGAAACTATAAAACTACTAGAAGAAACAGAAAAAATTCTTCAGGACACTGGCCTGGGAAAAGATAATATGAATAAGACCTCAAAAGCATAGGCATGAAAGCAAAAATAGGCAAATAGGATTATGTCAAACTGAAGAGCTTCTGCAGAGCAAAGGAACAAACCAATAAACTGAGGAAACAACCTACAAAATGGGAAGAAACATTTGCAAACTATTCATCCACCAGGGGATTAATATATAGAATATTAAAGGAACTCAAACATCTCAGCAGTGAAAATACAAACAGTGCTATTTTTGAATGAGCAAACTAAGCAGACTTGTCTGAAAAAACCTTTCATATCACTAATCATCAGGTAAATGCAAATCAAAGTGACAAGGATATATCATCTCAAGATACATTTTTACCAGAAGGGATAATGAACTTCACGGTAAGTTAGTCTGTGAAATCTATATTCCACTTAGCAGTCTTGGAAAAAAATCAAAAATAAAATAAGTGCATTTTTATTTATTAAATTGGCAAAGATTATTGGAAACAAGTATTTTTAAATTTAGAACATATAGAAATAAGAATTTTCAAACCTTCTTAAAAAGAAGTTACACCAGTACATTTTTAAGAACAGTCTCATACTATGACTTTTTTTCCTAGTTTTCTTTACTAATCCTAAGTAAATAATAAAAGACGTAAGTTATTGAAATGTTCACAAATATCTTAAATGCAGTTTTATAGGAGTGATGTCAACTCCAAGAATAAAAAGCCAACATTAAGGAAATGGTCAAGTAAATAATATTACATGTAAAAAAGTCAGGTTTTAGTGTATTATTTTTAACGGTGTGCTTTATATGTGTAATTCAGTTTACAGGTATATGTGGTTTAATCCATTAACAAGACTGAGATATAAAACTGCATATTTGTTTTTTCCCTATTGATCAAATAATATTTTCTTCTAAAACAATAAAAATGTCAATTCTGATTTCTTAAACTTTGCACACATACATTACAGATTTCTCCTTTTTGTGTGTACACAAGTTACAAGCGTGCGTTCACTTGATTTTCCTGAGTGCCATCAGATTTTACTTTGGCTGCCTAATAGCTCACATAGAATAGCAAAAATGTCAGGCAATGGATTATAAATTTCCTGGGCTCCAGGCATAGGTGGTCACAAACATGTAAATGCCGTGTTGATATAATCGGTAATTGTCTTACTAATGCTTTTAGAGAAACAAGTGCAATCATGCTGGCAGCCTGTAGTGCTGATGGAAAATTACAGAATCAATTTTCTTGTCTGAGAGACTACTCTTCCCAGTTCCTTTGCACACTCCAGGAACTTACCCTCTCAGCAGGAATGCCATTATCTGTCTGGAAATGTTTCAGTTTTTATAATTCTATTTTTGGTACATTCATTCAAGGCTGAATGAAAGCTTTGCTCTTTTTCTCTTTGCTTTTGAAAGGCAAATCCCTCCCTCACCTCACATCAGAAATGACATTTCTTTCTAAAAGGCAGCTCCAGATGACACAATATAGCTGTTTTGAAGCAAAGCTCAGCTCATTGGTCTAGCTTTCTATCATTGAGTATGTATGCCCCAGCCAAGTGAAACCTACTGGAGATTGTGGATTGCCAATAGTTTTGAGCCTGTGTTCCCTCAGTCTTGCACCTGAATTGCTTCAGTTTTCTGGCTCCCCAATCTAGTGCTAATCTTACATATTTTAGCAGCCTTTTACTGAAACACTAATACAGCACAGGGCTTGGCAAAACTCAAGATGAATGGAAACATAGATTTCAACTAAATTTACTAAAAGCAAATATCATAATAACAATGGACAATTGGGATAAATTTTTATATTTAGTTGAATTTTTAATCTTTAAGTACCAATTCTAACATGAAAATAAGAAAATATAAGAATTCAAGCAAAGGAGAAGTACAGTAATTTGGGGAAAATAAAACTATTTAAAAATTTTAACTTGACACACATTTATAACTTTAACACACATTTATAGCTGCAAATTATTTTATATCCTGTTTTTCAACTTTTGAATGTTTTGCCTTATGGAAATAACAATATTCCTCAATTTCTTTTTCTTTAAAATTAGTGAATATATATATACATATTCTGCCTCAGAAATGTTATGCATAAATAAATGAACCTTCCTGGCATGTTATATGCACACAACAAAGACAGAAGTACTGAGCTATTGTGCACAATATTGTCATTATTAAAAGTATTGCACAAAATCATGTTGCTATTTTACCTGTTATTTTAAACAGTTATTAATTATAACTTAAACTTTTAATGACTCAAGATCAACACTGTGAGCACCGCATTTCCATATTGTAAAATGTTTGATGTTCTCAATAATCCTTTGATGGCTACTTGCCTTTATGCTTAGTTTTGCTTTTCAAAGTTTTCCTCCACTGTCCTTCCTATTCCACTCGTGGCTAACACGTTTACTGCTGTCAGACTGCTTTCTATGGCATTTCTTCTCCTGCTTCTGTTATATTGTGGTTCTATCGGAAAAAAATTGTACTGACAGCTGTTAAAATAATGTGACAGAGAAAATAAAGTGTTTTCAAGTGACTGCACTAAGCCCTACTTTTAAGCACATATATTGAGACTTTAGTGTATACAGGTTCTGTGTCATCTGTTTTGGGGTCTCAAGACCATTTTTTGCCCTTGTATGTCCTACTCATTTTATGAATTAGTAATGTTTTTCTTTGTTTTGAGACAGGATGTCACTCCGTCTCCCAAGTTGAAGTGCAGTGGCACAATCAGGAATGGCTCACTGAAGTCTATTTCTCCCTTGGTTCACACGATCCTCCCACTTTAGCTTCCCAAGTACCTGGAACTACTGGTGCACACCCCTATGCCCAGATAATTTTAATTTTATTTTGTTAATTAATTAATTTAGAGACAGAGTCTTGCTCTGTTCCCCAGGTTAGAGTGCAGTGGCAAGATTCTGGCTCAGTGCAACCACTACATCCTGGGTTTAAACGATTTTCCTGCCTCAGCCTCCCTAGTAGCTGGGATTACAGGCATATGCCACCACCTCTGGCTCATTTTTCTATTTTTGTCGAGACATGGTTTCACCACGTTGCCCAGGCTGGTTTTGAACTCCTGGGCTCAAGCAATCAAACCTTCTCAACCCCAAAAGTGCTGTGATTACAGGCATGAACCACTCCAGCCAGCCGGGATAGCTAATGTTAACATTATACTTATCACACTATTAAACTTGAGGAAATATTGCAATTGATCAGATGAAAAGAAAAAGTAGCACAATATTGAAGGGTCATATATTTACAGTTATAGCTACTTTTAAAGAGTATTTTAAAAAAACAAGCAAAAGCTTTATTTTTGTTTCTGAGATTAACTCAATTATTTAAAACAGTGATCCCCAATGTTTTTGGCATTAGGGACTGGTTTCATAGAAGACAATTTTTCCAAGGTATGTGGCTAGAAAGTGTGGGGGCAAAATGGTTTCTGGATGAAACTGCTCCACCTCAGATAAAGCATTAGCGTCTCATAAGGAGGGCACAGCCTACATCTCTTGGATGAGCATTTCACCATAGTGTTCATACACCTATGAGAATTTCATGCCACTGCTGATCTCATAGGAAGCGGAGCCTAGGCAGTAATGCTCCCTTGCCAGTTCAACTCCTGCTGTACAGTTGGGTTCTTAACAGGCCATGGATGGCTACTGGTCTTCTGCCCGGGGTTGGTGATCCCTGATTTAAACCATGACAAAATGTATTATTATACACGATAAAATATACTATTATCTGGAATTTTAAGAGTCCTCTATTTTCATTTCTTCAGTTTAAGATGAGTGGACCATTTTAATTATAAATCCTTATTCAAATTAGCTACACAATAGAGCCAAAACTCTTGATTTCATAGGTTATTTTAAGCTAAAATCATGACCTAAAGTACCTTATGTTTTTATATTTTATATTTAATTTGCCCAATTTATCTAGACTGTATTTCACTATTAAATCTCATTTGTGTTGAAATGTCTGTTTTGAGATAATTGTAGATTCACGTGGTGTTATAAGAAATAATACAATAATGACAGAGAGATCTTGTATATCTTTCACTCAGTTTCCTCCAATGGTAACATGTTGGGAATAGTCCCCCAAATCTGGCCATAAACTGGCCCCAAAACTGGTCATAAACAAAATCTCTGCAGCACTGTGACATGTTTGTGATGGCCAGGACACCCATGCTAGAAGCTTGTGGGTTTCCTGGAATGACAGCAAGGAACACCTGGCCCACCTAGGGTGGAAAACAGCTTAAAGGTGTTCTTAATCCACAAACAATAGCATGAGCAATCCGTGCCTTAAGGACATACTCCTGCTGCAGATAACCAGCCAGAGCCCATCCCTTTATTTTGGCCCATCCCTTTATTTCCTGAAAGAAATGCTTTTAGTTAATCTATAATCTGTAGAAACAATGCTTATCACTGGCTTGCTGTCAATAAATATGTGGGTAAATCTCTGTTCAAGGCTTTCAGCTCTGAAGGCTGTGAGACCCCTGATTCCCACTCCACACTCTATATTTCTGTGTGTGTGTCTTTAATTCCAACTAGCACTGCTGGGTTAGGGTCTCCACAACCGAGCTGGTTTTGGCAAGTGGCGCCCAATTGAAGGCTCGAACCTAGGTTGAAGGGTTGCCGGAATGACAGTTGGAGAGCAAGGAACTAAGCTGGAGGGCACCTGAATACTCCTAAGCAATCCCCGTGGTGATTAAGAAGGGGTGCTCGGAAGCATCAGGGTAACAATGGGATAAGTGTGGGCTCTGGTTTGTTCCACCTTTTCACACTGATGATGAAGAGGAAGGAAAGTATAATGAAGTAACACAAGAAGTAACAGAACAGGTTTGTTTGCCAGTTAAAGCTAAAGCAGCAAAGGAGGAAGAAGTTCATCCCTGCCCTCCTGCATCCCCTCATTATTTTGAAGAAAAAGAGTGGCCTGACCCTCCAGATCTTTCTTTTCCAGAGGACAATGGGTGAAAAGTAGTTGCCCCAGTGACTATTCAAGCAGCACCTCAAGTGACTGCTCTCACTTCTATTCAGGCAGGAATTCAGCAAGCTAGAAGAGAGGGCGATTTAGAGGCTTGGCAGTTCCCTGTTAAAATACATCCCCCAGGTCAACAGGGAAATATTATAGCTACATTTGAGCCTTTTCCATTTAAATTACTCAAAGAATTTAAACAAGCTATTAATCAATATGGACCAGGTTCTCCTTTTGTAATACGGCTATTACAGAATGTTTGTGTTTCCAGTTAGATGATTCCTACTGACTGCCACACTCTTACTTGAGCTTGTTTAACTCCTGCTCAATTCTTACAATTTAAAACTTGGTGGGCAGATGAAGCTTCCATTCAGACTGCTCACAATGCCCAAGCCCAACCTCAATATAACTGCAGACCAACTTTTGGGGGTTGGTGGCTGGGCTGGTTTAGATGCACAAGTGGTCATGCAGGATGATACCACAGAACAGCTTAGAGGAATGTGCATTAGAGCTTGGGAAAAAAATCACTTTGGGAGGAGAGCAATACCCTTCCTTTGGTGCTTAAAACAGGGACTGAAAGAACCGTATGCAGATTTTATAGCTCGGATACAGGAGTCTCTTAAAAAGGTGATGGCAGATTCAGCTCCTCAGGATATAATGTTATGGTTATTAGCTTTTGACAATGCAAATACCGATTGCCAGGCTTCTCTGCATCCTATTAGAGGGAAAGCATATTTAGTTGATTATATCAAGGCCTGTGACAGTATCGGAGGTAACCTGCATAAGGCCACTCTGCTAGCCCAGGCAATGGCAGGACTGAGAGTGGGTAAAGGAAATACTCCATTTCCTGGAGCTTGTTTTAACTGTGGGAAGCATGGTCATACTAAAAAAGAATGTAGAAAAAAATCAACGACTCAGACTGCCAGATAAGGGAAAAAAGAAAACTGCTGAGCCTGAAATATGTCCAAAATGTAAAAAAGGAAAGCCCTGGGCCAATCAGTGTCATTCTAAATTTGATAACGATGGGAACCCGATTTCCGGAAACACCATGAGGGGCCCGTCCCATGCCCCATTCCAAATCAGGGCATTTCCAGCTCAGGCCATTCCCTCATCCCTGTACAATGTCTGTCCCCTGCCACAGTCGGTAGTGCTACAGTAGATTTATGCTGCACAAAAGCTGTGAGCCTTCTGCCTGGGGAACCCATGCCAAAAGTTCCAACAGGGGTCTGTGGACTCTTGCCAGCGGGAACGATAGGATTACTTCTAGGAGGGTCTACTTTAAATTTAAAAGGGGTACAAGTACAAACAGGAGTCATTGATTCAGATTACAACGGGGAAATTCAAATTGTTATACCTACTTCTGTTCCCTAGAAAGCAGAGCCAGGAAAGCATATAGCGCAACTCCTGATTGTGCCGTATGTGGAAATGGGGAAAAGTGAAATTAAATGAACAGGAGGATTTGGAAGCACAAATAAACAAGGCAAAGCAGCTTACTGGGTGAATCAAATAACTGATAAACGTCCTACCTGTGAAATAACTATTCAGAGAAAGAAATTTAAAGGTTTGGTAGATACAGGAGCAGACATTTCAATCATTTCTCTACAGCACTGACCATGTGCGTGGCCAATTCAACCTGCTCAATTTAACATAGTTGGAGCTTGCAAAGCCCCTAAAGTATATCAAAGTAGTTATATTTTGCATTGTGAAGGGCCCAATGGACAACCTGGTACTATTCAACCAATTATAACTTCTGTACCTACAAATTTATGGGGAAGAGATTTATTACAATAATGGGGAGCACAAGTTCTAATTCCAGAGCAATTATACAACCCTCAAAGTCAACATATGATACATGAAATGGGGTATGTCCCTGGTATGGGACTAGGAAAAAATTTGCAAGGTTTGAAGAATCACTTCAAGCAGAAAAACAAAGTTCCCGCCAAGGTTTAGGATGTCATTTTTGATGGCAGCCATTGTTAAGCCTCCAGAACCTATACCTTTAAAATGATTAACAGATAAGCCAATGTGGATAGAACAATGGCTGCTAAGTAAAGAGAAACTGGAGGCTTTAGAGGAATTCGTTACTGAACAATTAGAACACGGACACATAGCTCCAACATCTTCCCCTTGGAATTCTCCAGTTTTTGTAATTAAGAAAAAATCAGGTAAATGAAGAATGTTAACTGATTTAAGAGCCATTAATTCAGTTATACAACCTATGGGATCATTACAGCCAGGATTGCCTTCTCCTGCTATAATTCCAAAAAACTGGCCTTTAATAGTCATAGATTTAAGACTGTTTCTTTATTATCCCCTTAGCTGAGCAAGACTGTGAACAGTTTGCATTTACAATTCTTACAGTAAATGACCTACAGCCTGCTAAGCATTTTCACTGGAAAGTGTTGCCAAGAGGCATGTTAAACAGTCCAACAATTTGCCAGACTTATGTAGGGCAAGCAATTGAACCTACTTGTAAAAAATTTTCACAGTGTTACATTACACATTATATGGATGATATACTTATTTTTTGCCCCCACTCAAGAAATATTGCTCCAATGTTATGATCACTTGCAAAACTTGATTTCTCACGCTGCTTGAATTATAGCTCCTGACAAAATTCAGACTACTACTCCTTACTCCTTCTTGAGGACCTTAGTAAATGACACTACCATTGTGCCACAGAAAGTAACCATACATAGGGATCAACTGAAAACATTAAATGACTTTCAAAAATTACTAGGGGACATTAATTGGATACGACCTGCTCTAGGCATTCCTGCCTATGCCATGAGTAATCTATTTTCTATCCTTAGAAGAGATCCTAGTCTCACTAGCCCTCAGCAATTAACAAAGGAGGCTGAGGAAGAGTTACAGCTAATCAAAAAGCAAGTCCATAAAGCTCAAATAAATAGAATAGATCCAGAGAAGAATCTAGATTTGCTAATTTTTCCAACTCAGCATTCACCTACTGGTGTTATTATCCAAGAGCAGGACTTAGTAGAATAGCTTTCTCTTCGACATACTAATTCATGGACTCTAACTCCTTATTTGGATCAAATTGAGAATATGATAAGAAATGGGAGAACTCGGATTGTTAAATTACATGGATATGATCCTGGAAAAATTATTGTCCCTCTCACTAAGGCACAAATACATCAAGCTTTTATAAATAGTCTTACTTGGCAAGCCCATTTAGCTGACTTTGTGGGTATTCTTGATAACGATTTTCCTAAAACAAAACTGTTTCAATTTTTGAAATTCACTGATTGGATTCTCCCTAAAATAACTAAATTTAAACCAACGGAAGGTGTTGAGAATGTTTTTACAAATGGGTCTAGTAATGGTAAAGCTTCTTATTCTGGCTCGAAAAGTAAAGTTTTTCAGATGCCCTATACTTCAGCTCAAAAAGCAGAGCTTGTAGCTATAATTGAGGTATTGACTGCATTTTTTTTTTTTTTTGAGATGGAGTCTTGCTCTGTCGCACAGGCTGGAGTGCAGTGGCACGATCTGGGCTCACTGTAAGCTCCACCTCCCGGGTTCATGCTTGACTGCTTTTGATATGTCTTTAATGCGATTTCTGATTCTTCAAATGTGGTTCATTCCACACAATTAATTGAAAATGCTCAGTTACAATTTCATACAGATGAACAACTGATGACTTTATTTACCCAATTGGAAACAGCAGTTAGGAACAGAACAAACCCTCTTTACATCACTTACTTTAGGGCTCATACACCTCTTCCAGGACCTTTAACTGAAGGGAATCAAATGGCTGATCACCTAGTTGCTAATGCAATATCTAATGCTAGACACTTTCACATTTTAACCCATGTTAATGCCTCTGGTCTCAAACACAGATACAGCATTACCTGCTAAGAAGCTAAAGCTATTATCCAGTGATGCCCAACTTGCCAAATGGTACATTCCTCGTTTTTTACAGGAGGAGTTAATCCTTGAGGATTGGAACCTAATTCCCTTTGGCAAATGGATATCACACATGTTCCCTCGCTTGGAAGACTACCTTATGTACATGTATGTGTGGACACCTTTTCTCACTTCATCTGGGCTACATGCCAGTCAGGAGAGTCTTCTGCCTGTGTTAAACATCACTTTTTGCAGTGTTTTGTGGTGATGGGCATTCCCGCTTCTATTAAAACAGATAATGTCCCAGGCTATACTAGCCAAGCTCTAGGTACATTTTTCTCTATATGGACTATAAAACACATTACTGGTATCCCATATAATTCTCAAGGGAAAGCCATAGTGGAAAGAATGAATCACTCCCTGAAACAGCAGTTGCAAAAGCAGAGGGGGAAAAACAGGGACTATGGGACACCACAGAAACAAGTGAATCTAGCGTTATTAACTTTAAATTTTTTGAGCCTGCCTAAAGGCCAGATGTTATCAGCAACTGAACAGCATATACAGAACAGAAACCAGCTGCAAAGACAGAAGCAGAACAACTGGTTTGGTGGAAAGATCTGATAACAAAAAGTTGGGAAATAGGTAAAATAATAACTTGGGGTAGAGGTTATGCTTGTGTTTCTCCAGGACCGAATCAACAGCTGATTTGGATACCATCAAGACATCTGAAAACTTATCATGAGCCAGATGATGAAGAAGAGATTCCGGGAGGATCCCAAGGACCCCACAGTTGCAGTCATGTTGAGACTGATGCTGAGAAGAACCCCAACTGTCACGAGCAACACCCATCAAACACAGCCACCTACCTGGGGACAGATCAAGAAGCTGTCACAGATGGCGGAAGAAAATCTGAGAAAAGCAGGACAAACAGTCACAATGAGTAATTTAATGGTAGCTAGGATAGCGGTGATCACCATTGCTGCGAGTATTCCTTCAACAAGGGCCGACACAGAGAACAATTATACTTATTGGGCATATTTATCAATCTTGGCTGGCAATAATGCCTGGATGTAATCACTCTATGACACGGTTACACATGCTTTCTGACCTCAGTATTTATCATAATAAATCTGCTTCTATAATTGAGGCATACTGCCCTCAAATACCTATTTGTAAACAGATTTGGACCTGGCCAGAAAAAATGAATGTACTTGTTTGGGAAGATTGCATTGCAGAACAGGCAGAGGTGCTGCGCAATGATTCCTATGGAATCATTATTGATTGGTCCCCTAAGGGGATGTTTAGCTTGAATTGCACCTCTCAATCTGTGTGCCACAGCCTCACTATGTTCAGCTGGTCTGAACAAAACAGTAAGATTGTAGAAATGGTAAGTAGTACAGCAAGAATTCCTATTACCTGGAAACATGGCGGCATAGTGGTACTCAACCTCAAATGATATGGCCCATTGTAGAAGCTAAACATAAGGATTTGTGGAAACTATTAAAGGTTCTTAATAATATCAAAATTTGGGAACAAATATTTAAAGCATCCCAGGCACACCTGACCTTAATGCCTGGAACTAGAGTGCTTGAAGGAGCTGCAGACAGATTAGCAGCTAGTAACCCATTAAAATGGATAAAAACACTTGGAAGCTCTGCAATTTCAATGATGATTGTGCTTTAATCTGTGTTGTTTGTCTTTGTATAGTCTGCAGATGCGGATCCTGACTCTTGCAAGAAGTAGCTCACCATGACAAAGCTGCCTTTGCTTTTATCACTTTGCAATACAAATAAGGGGGACATGCTGGGAATAGGCCCCCAAATCTGGCCATAAACTGGCCCCAAATCTGGCCATCAACAAAATCTGTGCAGCACTGTGACATGTTCGTGATGGCCATGACACCCACACTGGAATGTTGTGGGTTTACCGAAATGACAGCAAGGAAGAACTGGCCCACCCACGGCAGAAAATGGCTTAAAGGCATTCTTAAACTGCAAACAACAGCATGAGCGATCTGTACCTTAAGGACATGCTCCTGCTGCAGATAAGTAGTCAGATCCCATCCCTTTATTTGGGCTCATCCCTTTATTTGGGCCCATCCCTTTATTTCCCATAAGAAATGCTTTTAGTTAATCTATAATCTATAGAAACAATGTTTATCACTGGCTTGCTGTCAATAAATATGTGGGTGAATCTCTGTTTGAGGCTTTCAGCTCTGAAGGCTGTGAGACCCCTGATTTCCCACTCCACACTCCATATTTCTGTGTATGTGTCTTTAATTCCTCTAGTGCTGCTGGGTTAGGGTCTCCTCAACTGATCTGGTCTTGGCAGTAGCATGTTGTATATAATATTAATACATGATCATAACCAGAACAATGACATTTACACAATCAACCTTATTAAGTCTTCCTCAGTTTAGCAATCAATTCTTTATGTATACATATATGTGTGTATGTCACAACTGTTATCTTAAGAAACTCTGTTACTTTACAGGTAAAATTTTTAGCAGCACACACACATCACTTTTCATTTCTAAAGCAAACACTTCTAGGGTGATGATTAAACAGCTGAGATATGTAATATAGGTCTTACTTCCGCAACTAACCTAAAATCATGGTGTTGAGATTACAAAGGGTTTGCTATTCCTGATCTATCAAGAGTTATTACCTAGGAGTTAGTAGAGCTTCATTTATGTAATTCTAGTCATTACAACAAATAATTAGGAGAGACATTCTACTATAGAGTAATTAAAACTTTTGATAAGGACAGTCTGGTATATTTTTCTATTCCCAATTTTTGAGAGTAATGGCATTTTATTTTGTCAGATTGAGTAAAAAGATAAAGCATACACCTAACTATTTTGGAAGTTATAGAATATTTCCAAGTTTGGCTAGTTGCAATTTAGCAGCTAAAATTGAGATTAAAATAAATGGAAATCCTATTCAAACAGATACATGACAATCATTTAAAACATATGAGATGTGTTTGCTGAAAATTAATGTAGGGGATATTTTTAAATGGACTGCCTTAAGTCAATTCATTTTATTAATAGTTTTTAAATCTATGATGTTAAATTGATGATGTATTATCTTTATGGTGTACTAGGGAATTACATATTTTTATATAAGGAAAGCATCCAGAAGATATACAAAATTTACATTAATTTTTCCATAAAGTTGAAAAAAAAAAGCTCTAAACTCATTTTAAAGGACCATAAGCATGATACCAACATCCAAGAACATTCCGAAGACTAAAGTTGGCCAGATGTGGTGGGTCACACCTGTAATCCCAGAACTTTGGGAGGCTGAGGCGGGTGGATCATGAGGTCAGGAGTTCAAGACCAGCCTGACCAACATGGTGAAACCCCATCTCTACTAAAAGTACAAAAATTACAGCATGCCTGTAATCCCAGCTACTCAGGAGACTGAGGCAGGAGAATCACTTGAACCTGGGGGGTGGAGTTGCACTGAGCTGAGATCATGACACTGCACTCCAGACTGGGTGACAGCAAGACTGTGTCTCAAAAAGAAAAAAAAAAATCTGAAAACTAAAGTCAACATCATTTATAAACATCTATGCAAAAATTATAAATACAATCAGCCAACCAACACAGTACTAATACAATGCACCACTGTTTATTAATTCTAGTGAAAAAGGGAAAAGCAGTTTTGGCTAACCAGAAGCTGAACTGGCACTATAATTTATGACTTGATGTTGCCAAGAGCTATCTTGGTAATCACAGCTAGGTTTTGTTTTTCTCTTGCTAAACATAACCAATTTCGTAGCACACCAACATCAGACAAAGCCACTCTGTGATCATGGTAAATCAAGCCAAAAATAACCACTTCATTACCATGTCTGACACAGAACAACAACAACAACAACAACAACAAAAATAACATGAACATTTTCTCTACAAAAGAATGGCTAAACATCCTGCTATATTAGTTAATATGGGTTATTGATGTTTTTTACCAATGACAACTTTGTCCTTATTTCATTTCTCTCACTAAATACATAAAATTTAGTAAATTATCCCATTATAAAATTGTCTCCAGATCCTCAAAGTATCCAATACAAATATCCTGCTTCCTTGAACCCTCCTGAAAATCAGGTAAGGCACTCAAATTCTGTAAGTTCTATGAGCTTCTTACTAAGACATCCTGGAGTTTTTCATGGTGTGTGTTTCTGCTTGCTGCAAGAATCAATAAACTCAATTTCTAAAATGCAGATGTCTTCATGGTGGCCTTTGGCTCAAAAGTATTGGCATCAGAAAAACAAAGACGGTTTAAGAGCCAAAAGTCAACCAGTGTAATTTAATGTTTAAAGGTAATTAAGGAGAAACATTATATGTTAACAAAGAAAAAATAATAATTTAATAAAATTCAACTACCATTCATGAAATATAAAGTCTCAGTAAATTTAATTTAGTCATACTTAATAAAGTAGGAAGGAAAAGCGAATTTCCTAATCTGCTAAAGTTCACATACAAAAAAATAAAATAAGCTACAGTGAACATACATAATGATGAAATGCCAAAAACTTTCTCTGAGTGAAGGACCAAGGAAGGAATGCCCATGAAAACTACTTTTAATACACATTGTATTTATGGTCCTATCCATGTGATAAGCCAAAACCTAAGTGAAAAGATTGGAAGGAAATACTGACAGATGACATGATAGTATAGGTGTTGTAGACAAATCAATTGTGTTTTTACACATAAACGAAAACAACTTAGAACTGATATTGAATATATATCACCGTAAATGTTATTAAAGTGCCCATAAAAACTAATAAAATATGTAATTTTTTTCTCCTGTATTTCTAAATACTAAAAATATTATTGCAAGAAATTAAAGAAAATAAAATAAATTATATACAGTTGATTCTTGAATGACATGGGTTTGAACTGAATTGGTCCACTTATACATAGATATTTTTTCAAAAAATACATTAGAAAAATTTTGGGGTATTTGCAACAATTTGAAAAAACTCTCAGATAAACCATATAGCTTAGAAATATCAAAAGAAGGAAAAATTATATCATGAATGAATAAAATATATGCCGATACTATTCTGTCACATGCTATCATAAAGTAAATATAAATCTATTACACAAAGTTAAAATTTATCAAAACTTTCCCACACAAACACTTACAGACCATACAGGGCACCATTCACAACAAAAATAAATGTAAACAAGTGTAAAGATGCAGTATTAAATCATAACTACATAAAATTAACTGTAGTACATAGTGTACTACTATAATTTCATAGTCAACACCTGTTGCTATTGCAGTGAGCTCAAGTGTTGCAAGTATTCGCTTAAAATGCCATATGACACTAATTATTTTTCTGTGAGCAATTCCTTTCTCTAGTAAATGGCGTATAGCAGCAAAAAGTGATCTCTTGTGGTTCTTGCATATTTTTTATAGTGTTTAGTGCAATACTATAAAACACAAATAACACCATGGAACCCATAGTGTCATTAGTGATGCATTACTACGCTGTGTTCCTGGATTAGATTGCTTTAATGTCTATTCTCCCCAAATTCAGATTGATTTGTAGATTATAGGTGATGGAATTTTTTTTCCCCTGAATCTGTCAATCCTGTTCAAAGTTTTACATGGAAATGCAAAGGATCAAGAATACCAAAGACACTACTGAAGAATATGAGGTAAAGAAGAACAAGATGCTGGGAGCTTTATTATAAATTCTAGTTATTTAGGCTTTGCTATTGGACCAAAGATAAGCAAACAGATAAATGACAGAATGGAGAGGGTAGAAGCTGACCAATGCATGTTTGAACATTTGATTAAGAATTCAGCATTGCAAAGAAGTGGAGAAAAGGCTTGTCTTTTCAATATCAATGCTAGGACCATTTGATGTCCACCTAGAAAAATTATATTAACCCCCTCCTTCCTATCACATACAAAAACAGTTCCAGATCTACTTACTGATCTAGTTGTGAGAGGAAAAACAGCAATCTTTTGTTAATTAGTGTAGAGAATATCACTAACTTGAGTTCCATAAAGAAATATTAATGAATTGAGTTATCAAAATTAATAACTCTTTGATGAGTTATTAATTTTCATCAAAGAGTAATTCAATAATTCATTTTATTAATATCTCTTTATTCTAACTTTAGAAAAGAGTGAAAAGTAAGTGGTCAAGTGGAAGCTTGTAATGCATTAAGCTAGATTAAGAACTGCAATCAATAAAATAGAAAGCCCAAAAGAAAAATAAACAAAAAATTTGAAGAGGTACTTTATAAAAAAGCATATTCATATAGTCAAAAAGACATGAAAAGTTGTTTAATACATTTGAATTTAAGAAAATAAAAAATAAAACTGAAAAAACAATGCCACTACACATTATACAAAAATTTCATCTAGAATGTTTACAATTAAAAAGGCCTTGGGTACCAAGTAGTGATGAAAATGTAAAGCAATTGAAATCCTTATACATTAGAGGCATTTGGGAGTATAAATTGGTACAACTACTTTAGGAAACCATTTACTGTTAACTCTAAAATTGAATGTATGCATAATCTGACACAGGAGTTCCACCTCTAGCTGTATTTCCAAGAGAAATACAGGCACAAGTGACAAAGAAATAGTACAAGTAAGTTTATTACAGAATTTTTCTATAATCATACCAAACTGACAAAAACTCAAATGCCCATCAAGAGTAGAATGGATAAATAAATTGCCATATATAAAGACAATGGAAAACTCAACAATGAAAATTGAACCAACTACAGCTGCATACAAGAACATGGATGATACTCCCAGATATTATATTAATTGAAAGAATGTAGACACAAATATAGATATTGTATCTTTCTATTAAAGTAAACTTCAATAAAACAGTCATAATTTAATGATAGCTTTATGAGATGAATATAGAGACTACTAGTATGTCTAAAACCTTCACAGGACCAATCAGGACTTCGTTAAATAATCTGTTATGATTTAATGCAATTTAAATGCAATTAACAAAGTTGTTATAAAAATAAACTTTTCTCTCAGTATTATCTCATGTAGATAGACTACAGTGAGAATTATTTCACTTGTTTTTAGTGAGTGAAAGTGGAAAGGAATTTCATATGTACTGGTCATGCTTTGCCAAATATATGTTATTGGAGTTTTTTTTACTGCTGTCAATTTTTATACATTAGCACATCGTCATTGCTATTTGCTTCATTTAATCAAAGGCAGTGATTATACTTTATTTCCTTCACCTGGTGGGAAATCAATCTAAACCATGAGTACAGAATTTAACTTGATTTTTTTAAAATGCAGAACAATCACATTAATATGCACAGAGGTATGACATTTATTTTGCAATCTCCAGGAAAATGTAGGTCACTTTTTGAATTATCAGTTACAAATATGGTACTCGGAGAAATAAAGCTAAATGTAGACTTAAAGTGTTTTTATTCCTTCAAGTTAAAAATTATATATGGTTTTAAGTCAGAAAGATCAAACTATATTTGTCTTGGCTCATTAAAACTCAAAAAGGCCCTTTATAGCTTCTTTAGTGCAATAAAAGGTACATTTCTAAAGATAGAATTAGTATTTCACTAAATCAACATGTGTTTATGTTAATACCAGCTACCAGCATTAAGTGAAAAGGAAGTCAATTTCTTCCCTTCAGCAGTAATATTCTAAATAGCTTTCAATAGTTAAGAATATCTACTAGTTTATTATTTGCATTAAATTTTGTGTAGTTATATAAAGGCACAATGTTTCAAACATTAGAACAATATAGTTAAACTATAAACACGGTATACCCTAGCATTAAAAAACCTAATAAGCAATGAAAACACATTTAATATTCCTAAACAGAGAATTTTTAACAACAGTGTTTGCATAATTAAACAGTATATGCAATTGCTAATAATATTAAGGTGCAAAAATAAACATTTTAGGTAAAGACAATATAAAATACAAATAATATTAAACTTAATTCATTACAGGTTCTTCTCCCTCGCACGCTGCCCATATGAACATTTTGCCTTGAAGACTTTATTAAACTATTTATTTTGTTTCAGTTGTTTGAGATTGTCCATTCAACATCTATTTCTATCAAATTATTTTTACAAAGCTACTTTCCATCACATAAATTAAAGCACATTGTTAATTGAGATACAAAACTTTAAAATGTTTTTTCTTTGAAAAAAATAACTTTCAAGCATGTATCTTGGGCATATGGAAATATAGGGTGCTTCCTTATCTCTTGGACGAAAACGTATGATTAACATATTGTTCATAGTTCTGAAGCTATTTCATGCTGCATTTTGCATGCCGCAAAATAGTTGAGAATATATTTTAGCCATATTATATGAAAATTGTGACCTAGTTGTTCAGTGCTGTAAGATTTATGATTGATGTACCCCCAGGATGAAAAGAGACACATTTAAAATAGTTTATTTTAGGTTATTTTTATTTTTATTTTTTATTTTTTGTCTACTTTTGGGCAGTACCTTAGTAGGCAGTGTTAGCATGTAATCAGTCATTAGCACATATCCATTTTTATTTTTTAGAAGAATTGAAGCTTTTAGTATTAGTTTGCTGCGAAAGTAATAGCCATAGAAAGTAATGGCAAATTACTTTCAATTTGCCATTATTTTCAATGGCAAAAACCGCTATTACTTTTGCACCAACCAATAGAAATGTATTGAAAGATGCCCTGAATAATCGAGGACAAGACAAGGCTGAAATAGAAGGCATTTTATTCTTTCTCCTTTTTTTTTTTTTCTTACAGAGAGAGGGTCTTCCTCTATTGCCTAAGGCTGGTCTTGAACTCCTGGGCTATAGTGATCCTCTTGCCTTCGCCTCCCAAATTGCTGGGATTACAGATGTGAGTCACATGCCCCGCCTATTCTTTCCTCATTGGAATAAATCTGTGTTTGTATTTTGACTACTAGTTTCAAAATGGGTAGAATATATTTTCTCTGAATGAAGAAGAGATGGCATCCTTGCTTTAGAACAACTCCAAATTTCCCTATATTAGAAGATGACTCAAGCTTCCACTAATTCTCTTTTCATAGGAGTGCATGATATTTAAATTATCAAGTTACATAAAGTTGCTATGGATTTTGTATGAGGAAAAATTTGGTAAGATGGGGATGTGATTGGTTTTTGAGAAAAAATAGAAGTGATGTTTTTGAAATGACATTTGGGAAATATCAGGTCTAACTTGTTGATAATTTTAATTATACCTCTCTCCTTCTTTATTCTCTACATGATTATGTGTGTATGGCTATGTCTCCATTTAACTCCTGTAATTTCTGCTTATTAAACTCTGTCACTATGTAATTTTATATAAAATAATTTATAAATACATCTGTCGAATTTTGAATTGAGGTGTGTAAATTATTAAATGTGTTTATTTCTAATTTATGATAGTAAAATGTGTTGTCTTTTTCTGGCACTAAAAGTCACTTGATGTCAGCATAAGGCCTTCTTGAGTTTACTCCCAGGAGACTTGATACCATGTGTAGTTTCCTTTTCAGCTGTGAAGAGCCGGAACTCTGGTTTTTACTTTTCTTTCAATCACACTCCAGTGATCCAATGGCATTTCCTTCTGCAGAGTCACATTTTTCAGCCAGCCTTGTCAAATACTTTTCATAAGAAATGTTTGGTTCCCTGAGAGTAATTGAAAATTTCAAGGCACATGTTTTCAGATATTGAAGGAGTCATCCCCTGCATCTACAACAGGCAGTAGTTATAATTCATAACATCAGGGTGTTTGAAGGCTGATTTTTTACAGCTGACCTTTTTTCAGTTACTTAGTTTTCTTTCAGGCATACATGAAATATAATAAACACATTTATTTCAGAGTCTTGGCTTTTATAAAAAGACTTAAAATAATGCTTGGAAAATATAACTCAGTATAATAGACTCTTTTTATCTCCTGTATTATTCACAGTGGAAAATACTCTGT
This sequence comes from Homo sapiens, assembly GCF_000001405.40. Taxonomy (NCBI): domain Eukaryota; kingdom Metazoa; phylum Chordata; class Mammalia; order Primates; family Hominidae; genus Homo; species Homo sapiens. The sequence continues at coordinate 42,299,481 of NC_000014.9, read as the reverse complement.
TATAAAATGTATGTAAGAAAATCAAGACAATTAATTTTCCTGTTAATAACTATTTTTAGTATCTAAAGCACAAATTTCAGGAATTTCATGAAAACTCAAAGATTTACAAACTTCTATTCAATAAAAATCGAGGTCTTTTAATGTATATTTCTTGCTATAGGTTGGCAAGCTCTGTCACTCATTCAGAAGCCTAAGTACTTAAACACAGGTATAAGCCCTTTTAGTGTTTGCTCCCATTTGTAATATAAATTTTCTTATTTTAAATATCAAATATTTTTATTTTTATATGATACATATCTGGTACATCATAAAAAATAAATAAGGCAGAGCTTAACTTTGTGAGCCTCTGAAACTGACCACTCTGCTATATTTTAATAGCTAAATAATATCCTTCTTGTCATCTCAATCACAAATATATATGTGTGTTTACACACACACACACACACACACACAAACACTTAGCACATAATCTAGTGGATACTTAGAATTATCATATTCTAATATTTTGGAAACCAATGTGAACATTTCATTTTTGTGCATGTTCAGGGCTTCTTGAACAAAAGTTGTTGATAAGCAGGCTAAAGTATGACTAAAGAGTAACCTTAAGTTAGAAAGCTCAGGAGAATTTGTTTATACTGAACAGAAAATTTTCTTTCTCTTTCTCCTAAGGGACAGTAGGAGTAGCTTTACTACTCCCCCTGGTAACTTCAGTATTGAAGCTTCTGGGTTCTGCTACTGTTGTGAAAACCCTTCTCTTGCACATTTAGATGATATGTGCCTTTGTAATTCACCACATGGAGTAAAATGTTCATGAGTAACGGACGCTAATTGCTAAGTGTAAATAATTGGTCTGATATTTGATTGGGATTTTGATTGGGACTGCATTGAATCTACAGATTAAGATTGAAAAAACAAACATATTGATAATATTGAGTCTTTTGATCCATTAACATGAAATATTTATTAATTTCTTTAGTTCTTCTCTGATTCCTTTCATCAAAATTTATAGTTTTCCTTACATGAATCTTGTAATATTTTCTTAGATTTATACTAAAGTATTACATTTTTTTAATGTGCTTATTAGTTCCAGGAATCCTGTTATTTTTGATTCTTAGGGATTTTTTTACACTATCATGTCATCTGTGAACCAAAGCAGTTTTATTTTTTCCTTCCCAATCTGCACGACTTTCATTTCTTTTTAAAAAATTTCAACTTTTGGCCAGGCATGGTGGCTCATGCCTGTAATCCCAGCACTTTGGGAAGCCGAGGCAGGCAGATCACAAGGTCAGGAGATTGAGACCATCCTGGCTAACACAGTGAAACCCCAGCTCTACTAAAAATACAAACAAATTAGGCAGGCATGGTGGCAGGCACCTCTAGTCCCAGCTACTTGGGAGGCTGAGGCAGAAGAATGGTGTGAACCTGGAAGGCAGAGTGTTGCAGGAAGTCAGGGACCCTGAACGGAGGGACCAGCTGAAGCCATGGCAGAAGAACATAAATTGTGCAGATTTCATGGACATTTATTAGTTCCCCAAATTAATACTTTTATAATTTCTTACGCCTGTCTTTACCGCAATCTCTGAACATAAATTGTGAAGATTTCATGGACACTTATCCCCAATCAATACTCTTGTGATTTCCTATGCCTGTCTTTACTTTAATCTCTTAATCCCATCATCTTCCTAAGCTGAGGATGAATGTCACCTCAGGACCCTGTGATGATTGCGTTAACTGCACAAATTGTTTAAACAATATGAAATCTGGGCACCTTGAAAAAAGAACAGGATAACAGCAATGTTCAGGGAACAAGGGAGATAACCTTAAAGTCTGGCTGCCCGTGGGCCGGGTGGAACAGAGCCATATTTCTCTTCTTTCAAAAGCGAATAGGAGAAATATCGCAGAATTCTTTTTCTCAGCAAGGAAAATCCCTGAGAAAGAGAATGCATTCCTAAGGGGAGGCCTCTGAAATGGCCGCTTTGGGGACGTCTGTCTTTTATAGTAGATAAGGAATGAAATAAGCCCCAGTTTCCCATAGCACTCCCAGGCTTATTAGGACGAGGAAATTCCCACCTCATAAATTTTGGTCAGACTGGCTGTCTGCTCTCAAACCCTGTCTCCTCTCCTGATAAGATGTTATCAATGACAATGCGTGCCCAAAACTTCATTAGCAATTTTAGTTTTGCCCTGGTCCTGTGATCTCGCCCTGCCTCCATTTGCCTTGTGATATTTTATTACCTTGTGAAGCATGTGATCTCTGTGACCCATACCCTATTTGTACACTCCCTCCCCTTTTGAAAATCACTAATAAAAACTTGCTGGTTTTGAGGCTTGCGGGGCATCATGGAACCTGCTGACACATGTGATGTCTTCCCTGGACACCCAGCTTTAAAATTTTTCTCTTTTGTACTCTTTCTGTTTATTTCTCAGACCAGCTGACACTTAGGGAAAATAGAAGAAAACCTACGTGCATTATCCGGGGTGGGTTCCCCCAATAGCAGAGCTTGCAGTGAGCTGAGATAGCACCACTGCACTCCAGCCTGGGCTACAGAGCGAGAATCCACCTCAAAAAAAAAAATTTAAAAAAAGGCTGGGCACGGTGGCTCATGCCTGTAATCCCAGCACTTTGGGAGGCAGAGGCAGGCAGATCACAAGATCGAGAGTTCGAGACTAGCCTAGCCAATATGGTGAAACCCCATCTCTACTAAAAATAAAAAATTAGCTGGGTGTGGTGGTGGACACCTGTAGTCCCAGCTACTCGGGAGGCTGAGGCAGGAGAATCGCTTGAACCCAGGAGGTGGAGGATGCAGTGAGCCGAGATTGGGCCACTGCATTCCAGCCTGGGAGACAGAGTGAGACTCTGTCTCAAAAAAAAAAATTTTTTTTCAACTTTTATTTTAGGTACTGGGGCTACATGTGTAGATGTGTTACATGGGAATATTATGTGATGCCTGGGTATAAAGTATGGATCCCTTCACCCAGGTAGTCAACGTGGTATCCAATAAGTAGTTTTTAAACTCACCTCCTCCCTCCATCCTCTATAGTAGTCCACAGGCTCTATTGTTCCCATATTTATGTCCACATGTGCTAAATGCTTAACTCCCACTTACAAGTGAGAACACTCAGCCTTTGCTTTTCTGTTCCTGTGTTAATTTGTTTAGGATTATATATCCTCCAGCTCCACCCATATTGCTGCAAAGGGCATGATTTCATTATTTTTCATGCCATGTAGTATTCCACGGTGTATATATACCACATATTTAAAATTCAATCTGCCATTCATAAGCACCTGGATTGATTCCATATTTTTGCTTTTGTGAATAGTGCAGTAATGGACATACAAGCGCATGCATCTTTTGGGTGGAATTTTTTTTTGTTTGTTTATTTTCAGTACATACCCAGTAATGGGATTACCAGGTCTAATAGTAGCTCTGGTTTAAATTCCTTAAGAAAACTCCAGATTGTTCAGACTGCTTTCCACAGTGGCTGGACTAATTTACATTCCTACGAACAATGTATAAGTGCTCCTTTTCTCCACAGCCTCACCAACATCTGTTGTTGTTGTTTGGAGATGGGGTCTTGCCTTTTCGCCCAGGGTGGAATGCAGTGGTGTAAATTTGGCTCACTGCAATGACCGCCTCCTGGGTTGAAGCAATTCTCCTGCCTTAGCCGCCCAAGTAGCTGGGATTACAGGCAACCACCACCATACCTGGCTAATTTTTATATTTTTAGTAAAGTCAGTGTTTCACCATGTTGTCTAGGCTAGTCTTGAATTCCTGACCTCAAGTGATCCACCCGCCTCAGCCTCCCAAAGTGCTGGGATTACAGGCATGAGCCACCATGCCTGGCCTGTTTTCATAATAGCCATTCTGGCTAATGTGAGATGGTACCTTATTGTGATTTTGATTTGCTTTTCTCTGATTATTAGTGATGCTGAACATTTTTGAGAAATGTCTGTTCATGTCCTTTGCCCATTTTTAAATAAGGTTTTTATATTTATTTTTATTGATTTATTGATTTTTTTTGCTTGTTGATTTGTTTAAGTTTCTTAGATTCAGGATATTAGGTCTTTGTCAGATGCATAGTTTGTAAATATTTTCTTCCATTTTGCAGGTTGTATGTTTGCTCTGTTGGTAGTTTCTTTTGCTGTGCAAAAAGCACTGTAGTTTAGTTAGATACCACTTGTCTATTTTTGGTTTTGTTGCAGTTGCATTTGGCAACTTAGCCAAAAGCAATGACCAAGTTGCCAAGGGAGAATCCTGGGATGAAAGGCTGGGTCAACATGTACAAATCAATATTTGTGTTTGACCACATGAACAGAATCAAAAGCAAAAACTATATAATTATCTCCATAGACACAGAGAAAGCTTCCAATATGATCAAACATCCCTTCATGCTAAAAACCCTCAACAGGCTAGGCATTGAAGGACCATACATCAAAATAATAAGAACCACCTATGACAAACCCATAGCCAACATCATACTGAATGGGCAAAAGCTCAAAACATTATTTTGATAACTGGAACAAGACAAGTTTGCTCATTCTCACCATTCCTACTCAACATAGTACTAGAAGTCCTAACCAGAATAATCAGGCAAGAGAGTATGAACAGTATTGAACAATCAGACAAGAAAGTATCACAATTACATATGATGTTCAATGTAGATTTTTTGTAGGTTTTTTTAATCAAATTCATAAAGTTCTCCTTTCTTACTAATTTACACAGTTTATATCGTGAATGGGTATTGAGTTGTCATTTGCTTTCTATCTATTGATATGATCATATGATTTTTCTTTTCTAATCTGTTGATGTGATTGATTATAATAATTGATTTCAAATGTTGAACCAACCTTGCATACATGAGATAATTATCACTTGATCATGGTATGTAATTTTTATATACATTTTTGTATTTTATTTGCTAATATTTTGTTGAATTTTTTTTTATCTGTTCTGGAGAGATATTGGTCTCTAGTTTATGTTTCTTATATTATCTTTATTTGGTTTTGGTGTTAAGGTAATGCAGCCCTCATAAAATGAGTTAGAAAATACTACCTCTGTTTGTATCTTCTGAAAGAGATAGTAGAAATTTGGTATAATTTCTTCATTAAATGTTTGATAGAATTCACCAGTAATCCTAACTGGTTCCAGTTTCTTCTCTTTTGTCAAGTTATTAAATATTGATTCAATTAGTTTAATACATATAGACCTATTCAGATTCTTCATTTCTTCCTGTGCACATTTGGTGGATTGTAGGTTTCAAGGAATTGGCTGATTGTGTCCAGATTATAAAATTTGGGGGAACAAAGTTGTTTATGCTATTCCTTCATTATGCTTTTAATGTCCATGGGATCTGTAGAGATGTTCCCTATTTAACTTGTGATATTGGTCATTTTTGTCCTCTCTCTTTTTCTTAGTTTACTTGGCTACAAGCTTTTTAATTTTATTGATCTTTTCAAAGAAACAGCTTTCAAGGTTTTTTTATTTTTTCTATTCATTATCTGTTTTGAATTTTATTGATTTCTTCTCTATTTCTTTTATTCTACTTTGTTTGCATTTAACTTGCTCTTTCGAGTTTTCTAAGGTAGAAACTTAGATTCTTTATTTCAGGTGATTTTTCATTTCTGATATATGTACTCAATGCTATGCCTTTCCCTCTAAGTACTGCCACAAATTTAGATAACTTTTGTTTTTGTTTTCATTTACTTCAAAATATTTTATAATTTCTCTTGAGATTTCTTCTTCAACCAATGTGTTAATCTCTTCATTTGTTGGACTCTTTTAGCTATCATTTTGTTGGTAATTTAAGTTTTAATTCTATTATAATCTGAGAGCAGACATTGTATAGTTTTTATTTAAATTTGCTAAGTTGTATTTTATGGTTCAGAATGTGGTCTATATTGATGAATGGTCCATGTGACCTTAAAAAGAATGTATATTATGCTGTTGTTGGATAAAATCATTGGATGTTGATTATATCCAGTTGATTTATGGTGTTGAGTTCAGTTATGTTTTTGCTAATTTTTGCCTGGTGGATCTGTCAATTGCTCAGAGAGGGCTGTTAAATTCTCGAAGTATGGTAGTGTGGATTCATCTTTTTTTTTTTAAGTGTCATCAATTTTTGCATCATATAGTTTGATAATCTGTTTTTAGTTCTTAATACACATTAAGAACTGTTTATCTTCTTGGAAAATTGGCCCTTTTATTGTTATGTAATGTTCTCTATCCCTGATAATTTCTTTTGCTTTGAAGTCTGCTCTATCTGAAAGATACTACTTTTAATTTTTTCTTTGATTAGTATTAACCTGGTATACGTTTTCCTCCATTGAACTGATTTAGTCAACATATAATAAGTCTTGCTTTATGATACATTTTGAAAATGTCTGACTTTCAATTGATCAATCCAGACTATTCAGCTCAAAGCAATGATTTTTTTAGCTGGATTAATATCTATCATATTTGTTATTATTTTGTATTTGTTAGTCTTATTCTTTTTTGTTGTTGTTGGAGTTTCTCTCCTGTTGCCCAGGCTGGAGTGCAAAGGCGCTGTCTCGGCTTACTGCAATTTCTGCCTCCCGGGTTCAAGCAATTCTTCTGCCTCAGCCTCCTAAGTAGCTGGGATTACAGGTGCCTGCCACCATGCCTGGCTAATTTTTGTATTTTTAGTAGAGACGAGGTTTCACCATGTTGGCCAGGCTGGTCTCGAACTCCTGACCTCAGGTGATCTGCTCACCTTGGCCTCCCAAAGTACTGGGATTACAGATGTGAGCCACCATTCCTGGCCTAATCTTATTCTTTATTTCTATTTTTGTCTTCCACTTTTTCCCCCTTTGTGGTTTAAGCAAGCATTTTGTGTGGTTTCATTTTCTGCCCATTCTTAGGATATCAGTTAGACTTCTGCTTTTTGTTTGTCTATTTTTGTGTGTTGCTGTTGAGTTTGCAAAGTACATTTACAACTAATCCAAATTTACTTTCATATAACAATATGTAGCTTTACAGGTAATGTGAATACTTTATAAAAACAAAACAATCCTAATTATTCCATCCTGTCCTTTTTTATGGCTGCATTCATTTCACTTATGTATCAGTACACCTGTGCGCATATATATATATATATATATATATATATATATATATATACACACACATCTATATAATATATACAGACATACATAATCAAGCGCAGTATTACTATTGTTATATTTTTAACAAATTTTTATTTGTTAGATCAATTAAGAATAAAAAATAAAATTTTTTATTTTATTTTATTTTTTTTTTATTTTTTTATTTTTTTTATTTTTTTTTTTTTTTGAGACGGAGTCCCGCTCTTTAGCCCAGGCCGGATTGCAGTGGCACAATCTTGGCTCACTGCAAGCTCCGCCTCCCAGGTTCACGCCATTCTCCTGCCTCAGCCTCCCGAGTAGCTGGGACTACAGGCGCCCGCCACTGCGCCCGGCTAATTTTTTTTGTATTTTTAGTAGAGACGGGGTTTCACCGTGTTAGCCAGGATGGTCTCGATCTCCTGACCTTGTGATCCGCCCGCCTCGGCCTCCCAAAGTGCTGGGATTACAGGCGTGAGCCACCGCGCCCAGCCAAAATTTTTTATTTTGCTGTTACTCATTCCTTTTTTAATACTCTTCTTGTCTTTATGAAATCTAAGTAACTGACCTATATCATTTTTCTTCTCTCTAAGGAACTTCTTGAAACATTTTATTCGGGAAAATCTGCTGGCAACAAATTCCCTAAAATTTTGTTTGTCTGAGAAAGTCTTTATTTTTTATTAACTTTTAAGTGGAAATTTTGTAAAGAAGAGAAATTGAGGCTTTTTAAAATTTCAACACTTTAAGTATTTCATTCTACTCTCTTCTTGCTTATACAATCTCTAAGGATAAGTCAAATTTAGTTATTATTTTTGGTCCTTTCTAGGTATGATATTGTTTTCCCCTGACTTCTTCAAGGTTTTTCTTGTAGATTTAATTTTCTGTATTTTGAATATACACCTAGGTATAGCGTTTTTGCTTTTTGGGCTTGGCGTTTATCTTGCTTGATGTTATCTGAGCTTTCTGGAACTGTGGTTTGTTGTCTAACACAAAACAGGAGGAAATTATCAGTCCTTATGGATTCAAACAGTCTTCTCTTCCATTCACTCTCTTTTTTTGTTAGTATTCTCATTATGCATATGCTACACCTTTTGTAGTTGTCCAGAGTTCTTTGATATTCTTTTTTTTTTCAAATGTTATCTCTGATTTTTTGGTTTTAGAGGTTTCTATTGGTATATTCTCAAACCCAGAGACTTTTTCCTTAGCCATTTGCAGTTTACTGATCAGCCTTTTGAGAGCATTCTTTATTTCTGTTACTGTTTATTATTATTATTATTATTATTATTATTATTATTATTATTATTATCATTATTATTTCTTGCATTTCTTTTTGGTTACTTCTCTTGCTGGGCTTACTGGTGAAGGGCTTTCTCTGCAGAAGCCAATCTGTAAATACTAGAAGAAGTAATTTCATGTTCAAATGTGCAGATATTAAGATAAAACTACAAGGATCATGAAGAATCCAGAAAACATGACGCCACTGAAGGAATGAAGTAAAGCTCCAATAAATATACTGAAAGAATGGAGATCTATGCACTTCCTAAAAAAGAATTCAAAATAATCATCTTACAGAAGCTCAGTGTAACTGCACGAAAACACAAATAGAAAAAAAATCAAATCAAACAAATCATGCATGGACAAAATCAAAAGCTCAGCAAATATATTTAAATCATAAAAAGAACCACACAGGAATTCTGGAGCTGAAGAATACAATCACTAAATTAAAAAATTCAGTAGATGGCTTCAGAAGAAGACTTGCTCAAGCAGAAGTAAGTATCTGTGCACTTAAAGAAAGACTACTTAAAGTAATCTAGTCAAAAATAAGAAAAAAATGAGAAAAAAATGTGAAGAGGTTTTTGGGACACCATCAAGTGAACTGACATTTGCATCATGGGAATCTCTGAATGAGAAGATGCCATGAAAAGAGAGAAAGTTCACTGAAGAATGACTGATAAATTCCCAAATCTGGGAAAAGAAATGGACATTCAAATTCATTAAATCTGAGGGACCTCAAATAGATTGAGCATATAAGTGTATACATCATGGCACATTACATTTTGCTTGTCAAAAGTCAAAGAGATAATTTTGAAATAGACACATCACACATCATACTTAAGAGATTATAAGCAGATTTTTCAGCAGAAACCTTGCCTGCCAGACAAAAAATTGGTTTGATCTATTCAAAGTACTGAAAGGAAAAATCTACCAATCAAGAATACCATACCTGACAAAATTGTCCTTTCGAAATGAAACAGAGATAAAGACTTTTCCAGACAAGCAAAACTGAGTATATTCATCACCAATAATCATCAACTTGTTTATCATCTGCTTTATAAAATATAAAGGAAATTATTCAGGTTGAAGCAGAGGGTTGCTAAACAGAACCTGAAAACATATGCAGTGTAAATCTCATTGGAAAAGAGAGATACGTAGTCAAACACTAAATAATGTAATACTATAATGATGCCCTATAAATCACTTTTAACCTTACTATAAAATTTAAAAAACAAAAAGTATTATGAATAACTATAACTATAAAAATGTGTTAAAAGATATGTAATAGAGAAATAAGTAAATTCTGACATCAGTAATAAAGGACCTTAAAGAGATATATGCACTGCCATATTTATAACAATATTCACAATAACCGAGATAAGAAAGCAACCTAAATGTCCATTAACAGATGAATAAATAATAAGAATATGGACCACTTATATAAAGGAATATTATTAAGCCTTAAAAAAAATAAACAATCCCTATCAGTTGTAACAACATAGATGAACCTGAAGGACATTATACTAAGTAAAATCATGCAGACACAGAAGGACAAAAACTTCATGATACCACTTGTATGTGGAATCTAAAATAGTCAAACTCATAGAACAGAGAGTAGAATGGTGGTCACAAGGTGGTGGAGATAGAACAGGGAGTTATTAGTTAAAGGGGATAGTTTCAATTATGCAATAATAAGTCCTGTAGATCTACACTTCAGTATAGTGCCTATAGTTAATAATGCTATGTAAGGATTCCCAGTCTGTCCCTTGAGGTATCACACTATTAGTGTGTCTCTTTGAGACCTTCTGGACTCCATCACAGAAAAAGGAAAGTCTCGGCAGGGAGCTGTGGCTCACAGCTGTAATCCTGGCACTTTGGGAGGCCAAAGGGGGCTGATCACGAGGTCAGGAGATCGAGACCATCCTGGCCAACATGGCGAAGACCCTTCACTTCTAAAAAATACAAGAAAATTAGCCAGGCATGGTGGCACACGCCTGTAGTCCCAGCTACTCAGGAGGCTGAGGCAGGGGAATCACTTGGACCCGGGAAGCAGATGTTGCAGTGAGCCAAGATCGTGCCACTGCACTCCAGCCTGGGTGAGAGAGCCAGACTCCATCGCAAAAAGAAAAAAAGAAGAAACAGAAGGAAAAAAAGTCTCCTTTTTCTCTAAAAAGTGAGGGCACATGAAGCTGATACATACCCAGTCCCTAGCTGAAAACTAAGCAGATTCTAATCTAGTCAAGGTTGTCTGAGCCAGTGTTACAGAACAGATGGATGAGGGAAATAAATAACTGTTGTCTTAAGCCATGGAAATTTTACTCTACACTTAAAATATGTTAAAAATATAAATATTTTTAAAGTGTTCTTATCACAAATTGATAATAATAGTATAAAGAGGGCTAGAGGTATCTTTTGGAGATGATATATACATTTCTGACATAGATTCTGGGGATAATTTTATGGGTGCATACTTATATCCAGACTCATCAAGTTGTGTACAACAAATATGTACCACTTTCTGTATTTTAATCATACCTCAATCAAGTGGCTTAAAAAACATACTATCAACCCCATATGTTGAGTTTATACTTCATATTTATTAGTTATGAAATATATCAATTGATAATAAGATTATCCTTACTTCATCTTTTTTCTTAGATACAATATGCTATGAGATAAAATCTGTGAGTCTGTTTTCATTCAATTCTTTATCCACTTAATTCTAAATTTTATTCTTTGTTTGGTTTTTGAGATTGCCTTAGTATTTTTTTTTTTTTTTTTTTTTTTTTGAGACAGAGTCGATCTGTTGCCCACTGGAGTGCAATGGAGAGATCTCGGCTCACTGCAACCTCCGCCTCCAGGGTTCAAGCAATTCTTCTGCCTCGCCCTCCTGAGTAGCTGGGACTACAGGCTCATGCCACCACACCTGGCTAATTTTTGTATTTTTAACAGACACAGGGTTTCACTGTGTTAGCCAGTATGGTCTCCATCTCCTGACCTCGTGATCTGCCTGCCTCAGCCTCCCAAAGTGCTGGGATTACAGGCGTGAGTCATGGCACCGAACCAAGATTGCCTTAGCATTCTAAACTAGAACCCTGTCTAGATCCTTATCTAGTCAAGGTTATCTGAATCAGTGTTAAAGAACAGATGAATAAGGGAAATAAATAACTGTTGCCTTAAGCCATGGAAATTTTAAAGTTGTTAATCAAGCAATATTACCATAGCACTAGTTGACTGAGACAAACATTAATGACTAGAAGTGAGGTGAAGCTGGCAGAATTTTTTTTTAAAAGAAGTAAAATATGTAGCAGTAACTAACTTTCACCTGTGATAACCCGGAAAGCAGAAAAATACACCTGAATAACTTGCTAAGTGGAGTGAGGAGATTTTGAGACAGAATGTTAAACATATGATTTGAATGTTGCTACCTGCATTTGACAAAAAACTACAAGAAATAAATGCGGTAAGAACAAAAAACTAAAATTTACAAGGGATAAAGAGTGTAAGAAACTGCATTGTAAAGTTAATTTGTTTTTCACCAGATCAGTGCTCTGATAGCTGTGAGGTGAGGTAATCTAGGACCCTATCATTAAGAGATGTTCTCAGGGTAAATGAGTAAACTAAGTTAAGTGTTGGCAATAAACCTCTTTGTTAATATTTTTTACAAAATGCAGGTGATATTCAGAAGAGCATTTTAGCAAAAAAAATTCATATGAAGATTAAGATATAGTCACACACAATCATTATGTACCCCAAATATCCATAAATAAATCTAGAGCAAAAGGCATCTTGACAAGAACTCTGCATATGGCTTTGACTTGAAGTTAACTGGATTTTCAGACATTAAAAAATAATAATGAAATATATTTATATTGGCATCACCTGAATGTGAAAAATAATTATACGCTATTGGTGATTAAAAGAGGCCTCTGTGACCCTACCTTGTTAAAAGAAGGCAGAAGGACTTTGCCAGTTGTCAAGCAAGGTATTTTCTTCTGTGAGCCAAGAGGATAGTGGGGAAAAAAAGAATGGATAAAGATAAGATCTATGGGAAAAGTTTGAATTGGGGAGCCCCTCACAGGCAGCAAAACCGGATCTATTCCTTACCTACGGTACATGAAATATTTTCCTAGCAGGATTTAAGAATTATTACTGACTAATGACTATTACATCTCTCCATTTCTTTCTTCTTTCCAATTAGGTTGCTCATTACAGTTATTCTAGCCTTGTTGCAAAATTGTCTTTGAGGGTGTGTAGGGGACAGAAAAGTTGTCTTTTTAGTCCCTAAGTTTCTCTATTGAGAAACCTCATCAATGCTACTGTAGGTCACAATATTCTGGACTTGAATCATTATACAATAATTGTATGAGACTTTGGCGAGGTGTTTGAAATGAGTTTGAGTGTATTTTGAGTGTAGTGGACGTGGGAATAATTACAATCAAGACGGTGGGCTGCATTACATGACATTGCTTTTCAAATTCTTTGTTTTCACTGAATCCATGACCTTGGTCCTTTGACTTCACAGTACCTCACACTAGAGTAAAGATGGAGTACACTTTCCCATTTATTGATAATAGGCTTGCTATGTGACTTTCTTTAGTCAACGTAATCTGAGTAGAAGTGACAGTTTGTAGTATTTTATCTTAGGCTTTAATAGGCATCCTAGGTTTCTTCTTGATCCTCTAGTAATTCTTTTTCTCTATCGTGAGGAAAAACTTCATTTTAGACAATGCTCTATTATTCTGGGCACCAGGAAGAAAACACGATGTAGAGTTGTCCTATTCAACCCTCAGACTGAATTGCTTTTTTCTCCACTAAGCCACAAATAAAAGAGCAAAAAGTAATGATTGTGGTATACTACTGAGTTTGGGGGTAGTATATAATCTAGTGTTGCTATAGGTTTTTAATTAAATACTACAAATCATGTACAAGAAACTGTAAAAAATCTGGGGGAAGTTACTTTCTTCCAGAGTACCAATCCTCTAGTAGGCTATAAAAGTGGGAGGAGACCACCTTCATTTAATTAGTAATGAGTTGCCTGATTATGGCTTTTAGTCCTTATAAGGCTCCATGTGCCTTTGGTTTGCTCTCACTCACCCAGGGGAGCAAACCTAGGGCCAGTAATATATCATAGGGCCCTCTCCAACTTTCTGGGAGTCTGAAGTTTTGTCTCTAAATTAACATAATGTTATACTCAGTAAGGTCTCTGGGAGCCATTTTCATCAAAGGCAAAGCTGATTTCCCAAAGTATTACCTTTCAGTTTTATAGGTTTCCAATTGGTTTATATTTTTCTCAAAGTTTTTATGAAAAATTGTACCTTTGGAGTTGTTTCCAAGGTGGCTGAATAGAAACAGGTCTTGTCTACAGCTCCCAGCTAGATCGATGCAGAAGAGGGGTGATTTCTGCATTTCCAACTGAGGTACCTGGTTCATCTCATTGGGACTGGTTAGACAGTGGGTGCAGCCCATGGATGGGGAGGCGAAGCAGGTTGGGGCATCGCCTCACCTGGGAAGTGCAACAGGTCAGGGGATTTCCCTTTCCTTGCCAAGGGAAGATGAGAGTGACTGTACCTGGAGGAACAGTACACTCTGCCCAAAACTACACTTTTCCCACGGCCTTCACAACCAGCAGGCCAGGAGATTCCCTCCCTTGCCTGGCTCAGCAGGTCCCATGCCCACCGAGCCTTGCTTGCTGCTAGAGCAGCAGTCTGAGATTTACCTGGGATGCTGGAGCTTGGTGGGCGGAGGGACATCCGCCATTGCTGAGACTTGAGTAGGCAGTTCTATGCTCACAGTGTAAACAAAGTGGCAGGGAAGCTTGAATGTGGTGGAGCCCACCACAGCTCAGCAAGGTCTACTACCTCTCTAGATTCCACCTCTAGGTGCAGGGCATATCTGAACAACAGGCAGCAAACAGCTTCTGCCGACTTAAACATTCCGGCCTGACAGCTCAGAAGAAAGTAGTTTTTCTCCCAGCATGGCATTCAAGCTCCAATAACGGACAGACTGCCTCTCAAGTGGGTCCCTGACCCCCCTGTAGCCTGACTGGGAAACCCCTCCCAGTAGGGGCTAACAAGCACCTCATATAGGTGGGTGACCCTCTGGAATGAAGTTTCCAGAGGAAGGATCAGGCAGCAATGTTTGCTCTTCTGCAGCCTCGACTAGTGATACCCAGACAAACAGGGGCTGGAGTGGACCTCCAGCAAACTCCAACAGAACTGCAGCTGAGGGGCCTGTCTGTTAGAAGGAAAATTAGCAAACAGAAAGAAATAGCATCCATTAACAAAAAGGACATGCACACCAAAACCCCATCTGTAGGTCACCAACATCAAAGACCAAAGTTAGATAAAACCACAAAGATAGGGAGAAACCAGAGCAGAAAGGCTGAAAATTCCAAAAACCAGAATGCATCCTCTCCTCCAAAGGAATGCAACTCCTCCCCAGCAAGGGAACTAAACTGGATGGAGAATGAGTTTGAAGAGATAACAGAAGTAGGCTTCAGAAGGTCAGTAATAACAAACTTCTCCTAGCTAAAGGAGCATGTTCTAACCCATCGCAAGGAAGCTAAAAACCTTGAAAAAAGGATAGACGATGGCTAACTAGGATACCCAGTGTAGAGAAGAGCTTAAATGACCTGATGAAGCTGAAAACCACAGTATGAAAACTTTGTGAAGCACACATAAGCTTCAATAGCCAATTCGATCAAATGGAAGAAAAGATATCAGTGATTGAAGATCAAATTAATGAAATAAAGTGAGAAGACAAGATTAGGAAAAAAGAGTGAAAAGAAACGAATGAACAAAGCCTCAGAGAAATTTGGGACTACATGAAAAGACCAAATCTATGTTTAATTGGTGTACCTGAAAGTGATGGAGAGAATGGAACCAGTTAGAAAACACTCTTCACGATATTATCCAGGAGAACTTCCCCAACCTTGAAAGGCAGGCCAACATTCAAATTCAGGAAATACAGAGAACATCACAAAGATACTCCTCGAGAAGAGCAACCCCAAGACACATAATTGTCAGATTCACCAAGGTTGAAATGAAGGAAAAAATGTTAAGGACAGCCAGAGAGAAAGGTTCAGGTACCCACAAAGGGAAGCCCATCAGACTAACAGCACATCTCTCTGCAGAAACCCTACAAGCCAGAAGAGAGTGGGGGACAATATTCAACATTCTTAAAGAAAAGAATTTTCAATGCAGAATCTCATATCCAGCCAAACTGAACTTCATAAGTGAAGGAGAAATAAAATCCTTTACAGACAAGCAAATGCTGAGAGATTTTGTCACCACCAGGCCTGCCTTACAAGAGCTCTTGAAGGAAGTGCTAAACATGGCAAGGAACAACCGGTACCAGCCACTGCAAAAACATGCCAAATTGTAAAGACCATTGACGCTACAAAGAAACTGCATCAATTAATAGGCAAAACAACCAGCTAGCATCATAATGACAGGATCAGATTGACACATAACAATATTACGTTTAAATGTAAATGGGCTAAATGTCCCAATTAAAAGACACAGACTGGCAAACTGGATAAAGAGTCAAGGCCCATTGGTGTGCTGTATTCAGGAGACCCATCTCACATGCAAAAACGCACATAAGCTCAAAATAAAGAGATGGAGGAAGATTTACCAAGCAAATGGAAAGCAAAAAAAGCAGGTGTTGTAAAACTGGTCCCTGGTAGAACAGACTTTAAACCAACAAAGATCAAAAGAGATAAAGAAGGTCAATACATAATGGTAAAGTGGTCAATTCAACGAGAAGAGCTAACTGTCCTAAATATATATGCACCCAATACAGGAGCACCTGATTCATAAAGCAAGTTCTTAGAGACCTACAAAGAGACTTAGACTCCCACACAATAATAGTGGGAGACTTTAACAACCCACTGTCAATTTTAGACAGATCAACAAGACAGAAAATCAACAAGGATATCCAGGACTTGAACTCAGCTCTGGACCAAGTGGATCTAATAGACATCTACAGAACTATCCACCCCAAATCAACAGAATATACATTCTTCTCAGAACCACATCACACTTATTCTAAAACTGACCACATAATTGGAAGTAAAATACTCCTCAGCAAATGTAAAAGAACAGAAATCACAACAATCTGTCTCTCAGACCACAGTGCAACCAAATTAGAACTCAGGATTAAGAAACTCACTCAAAACCACACAACTACATGGAAACTGAACAACCTGCTCCTGAATGACTACTGGGTACATAACGAAATCAAGGCAGAAATAAAGATGTTCTTTGAAACCAACGAGAACAAAGACACAACATACCAGAATCTCTGGGACACATTTAAAGCAGTGTGTAGAGGGAAATTTATAGCACTAAATGTCCACAAGAGAAAGCAGGAAACATCTAAAATAGACACCCTAACATCACAATTAAAAGAACTAGAGAAGCAAGAGCAAACAAATTCAAAAGCTAGGAGAAGACAAGCAATAACTAAGGTCAGAGCAGAACTGTAGGAGATAGAGACACAAAAAGCTCTTCAAAAAATCAATGAATCCAGGAGCTGTTTTTTTGAAAAGATGAACAAAACAGATTGAACACTAGCCAGATTAATAAAGAAGAAAAGAGAGAAGAATCAAATAGACTCAACAAAAAATAATAAATGGGATATCACCACCAATCCCACAGAAATACAAACTACCATCCAAAAATACTGTAAACACCTCTACACAAATAAACTAGAAAATCTAGAAGAAATGCATAAATTCCTAGACACATACACCCTCCCAAGACTAAACCAGAGGTACAAAGAGGAGCTGATACCATTCCTTCTGAAACTATTCCAATCAATAGAAGGAGAGGGAATCCTCCCTAACTCATTTTATGAGGCCAGCATCATCCTGATACCAAAGCCTGGCAGAGAAACAACAAAAAAAGAGAATTTTAGGCCAATATCCTTGAGAAGCATCGATGTGAAAATCCTCAATAAAATACTGGCAAATAGAATCCAGCAGCACATGAAAAAGCTTATCGACCACATGATTATCAAGTCGAATTCATCCCTGGGATGCAAGGCTGGTTCAACATACGCAAATGAATAAACATAATCCATCACATAAACAGAACCAACGACAAAAAACACATGATTATCTCAATAGATGCATAAAAGGCCTTCAACAAAATTCAACAGTCTTTCATGCTAAAAACTCTCAATAAACTATGTATTGATGGAATGTGTGTCAAAGTAATGAGAGCTATTTATGACAAACCCACAGCCAATATCATACTGAATGGGCAAAACTGGAAGCATTCCCTTTGAAAAGTGGCACAAGACAAGGATGTCCTCTCTCACCACTCCTATTCAATATAGGATTGGAAGTTCTGGCCAGGGCAATCAGGCAAGAGAAAGAAATAAAGGGTATTCAATTAGGAAAAGAGGAAGTCAAACTGTCTCTGTTTGCAGATGAGATGATTGTATATGCACAATCACATCATACCCCATTGTCTCAGCCCAAAATCTCCTTAAGCTGATAAGAAATGTAAGCAAATTCTCAGGATACAAAATCAATGTGCAAAAATCACAAGCATTCTTATACATCAACAACAGCCAAACAGAGAGCCAAATCATGAGCAAACTCCCATTCACAATTACTACAAAAAAATAAAATACCTAGGAATCCAACTTACAAGGGATGTGAAGGACCTCTTCAAGCAGAACTACAAACCACTGCTCAACGAAATAAAAGAGGATACAAACAAATGGAAGAACATTCCATTCTCATAAATAAAAAGAATCAATATGGTGAAAATGGCCGTATTCCCCAAGGTAATTTATAGATTCAATGCTATCCCCATCAAGCTACCACTGACCTTCCTCAAAGAATTGGAAAAAACTACTTTAAATTTCATATGAAATCAAAAAAGAGCCCCATAGCCAAGACAATCCTAAGGAAAAAGAACAAAGCTGGAGGCATCGCGCTACCTGACTTCAAACTATACTACAAGTCTACAAGACAGCATGAGACCGGTACCAAAACAGATATATAGATCAATGTATCAGAACAGAGGCCACAGAAATAACACCACACATCTACAACCATCTCATCTTTGACAAACCTGATGAAAACAAGCAAGGGGGAAAGGATTCCCTATTTAATAAACGGTGCTGTGAAAACTGGCTAGCCATATGTAGAAAGCTGAAACTGGATCCCTTCCTTACACCTTACACAAAAATTAACTCAAGATGAATTAAAGACTTAAATGTAAGACATAAAACCATAAAAACCCTAGAAGAAAACCTAGGTAATACCATTCAGGACATAGGCATGGGAAATGACTTCATGACTAAAACACCAAAAGCAATGGCAACAAAAGCCAAAATTGACAAATGGGATCTAATTAAACTAAAGAGCTTCTGCACAGCAAAAGAAACTATCATCAGAGTGAACAGGCAACCTACAGAATGGGAGAAAAATTTTGCAGTCTATCCATCTGACAAAGGGTTAATATCCAGAATCTACAAAGGACTTAAACAAATTTACAAGAGAAAAACAAAAAAACCCATCAAAAATTGGGCAAAGGATATGAACAGACACTTCTCAAAAGAAGACATTTATGCAGCCAACAGACATGTGAAAAAATGCTCATCATCACTGGTCATCAGAGAAATGCAAATCAAAACCACAATCAGATACCATCTCATGCCAGTTAGAATGGCAATCATTAAAAAGGAAACAACAGATGCCGGAGAGGATGTGGAGAAATAGGAACGCTTTTACACTGTTGGTGAGAGTGTAAATTAGTTCAACCATTGTGGAAGACAGTGTGGCACTTCCTCAAGGATCTAGAACTAGAAATCCCATTTGACCCAGCGATCCCATTACTGGGTATATACTCAAAGGATTATAAATCATGCTACTATAAAGACACACGCACACGTTATGTTTACTGCGGCACTATTCACAATAGCAAAGACTTGGAACCAACCCCAATTCCCACCAATAATAGACCAGATAAAGAAAATGTGGCACATATACAGCATGGACTACTATGCAGCCATAAAAAAGGATGAGTTCATGTCCTTTGCAGGGACATGGATGGAGCTGGAAACCATCATTCTCAGGAAAATGTCACAAGGACAGAAAACCAAACACTGCATGTTTTCACTCATAAGTGGGAGTTGAACAATGGGAACACATGGACACAGGGAGGGGAGCATCACATACCAGGGCGTGATGGGGGGTGGGGGGCTGAGGGAGGGATAGTGTTAGGAAAAATACCTAATGTAAATGACAAGTTGATGGGTGCAGCAAACCAACATGGCACATGTATATCTATGTAAGATACCTGCAGGTTGTGCACATGTACCCTAGAACTTAAAGTATAATAAAAAAAGAAAAATTGTACCTTTTACTAGAAACATACAAAGTAATCATTTATTATCATATCTAATTTAATGGTTTGTGAATATATTGCTTATATTAAAGTTAGTGCTTTAGGAAATTTGGTTACAACATATTTAAATGTTTAAGAGTATTTATAGGCCGGGCACGGTGGCTCACGCCTGTAATCCCAGCACTTGGGAGGCCGAGGCAGGCAGATCACGAGGTCAGGAGATTGAGACCGTCCTGGCTAACACAGTGAAACCCTGTCTCTACTAAAAATACAAAAAAAATTAGCCAGGCGTGGTGGTGGGCGCCTGTAGTCCCAGCTACTCGGGAGGCTGAGGCAGGAGAATGGCGTGAACCCGGGAGGCGGAGCTTGCAGTAAGCCGAGATCACGCCACTGCACTCTAGCCTGGGCCACAGAGCGAGACTCTGTCTCCAAAAAAGAAAAGAGTATTTATAAAGTTTGTTCAGCTTTCTTCAGCTCCTGTTTCCAAGAGTTGGCTTGTCACTTTCACATAACCTAAGTATACAATAAAAAAGTGAGCTCCAGGCTGGGGACGGTGGCTCACGCCTGTAATCCCAGCACTTTGGGAGGGCAAGGCAGGTGGATCACGAGGTCAGGAGTTTGAGACCAGCCTGGCCAACGTGGTGAAACCCCATCTCTACTTAAAATTCAAAAATTAGCTGGGTGTGGTGGCAGGCACCTGTAATCCCAGTAACTCAGGAGGCTGAGGCAAGAGAATCATTTGAACCTGGGAGGCAGAGGTTGCAGTGAGGCAAGATTGCGCCACTGCACTCCAGCCTGGGCAATAGGACTCTGTCTCAAAAAAAAAAAAAAATGTGATTTCCATTCTTACCAGATGGTAAGTGTTGCCACTAATTTTAAAATGTATCTGTACTAATATATCTTTTTAAATCAGAATATACTACCATGCCAAAAAGTGAGTATAATAAAGTTTATATTCAGATTTCCTTTATGACATCAATAGTTTAGAAATGTTTGCATGTTATTATCTTCATTTTTTAAAGAAAGTGAAAATATATAAAGAGAGTGTTGTATAGCAGTGGAAATTTTTTGTATTCCTTTTCTCAAATATGTGGCAAGAAAAAAGGTACATCATTTAATAATTTAAATTTTTCCTTCAGAACAATATAGATTATTTATCTTATGATGAATACTGATGGGTGTCTTTATAGGTTTTAGTTCTACATGCTGTTGCTTAAAAGGCAGGACTTTCATGTATTGCATTCTTAAGCATTATGTGCATAATAGGATTTTCTTACAGAAATCTCTGTACCAACACCACGAAGTATTATATTATTATAGTGTTCAATTTACATTTAATTTAATGAGAAACTGCTTTTCCCATTTAACTTCGGTTTCAAATCTAATTTAGCATTTCTTGAATAGGATATATGCAGAATCCGTTTTTAGTAGAAATGGTAAAATAATTTTATTTTGCCATTCAGCATATTTGATTTCTTTAATTTTTACTCAAAAGACCTAAGAATACATCCTTAAAACCATAGCTTGATATATCACTTGATATCTAATGTTATGCTTTACTCTAAACCATTATTAAAAAATGTGTTTTGAGGCTAATATATATTTAGCTAAAATTGAAAGTGGAAGTGGAACTCATATGCAATGGCTGAAATGTCATCATGTTTCTCTCTCGGTTACTTCAATTATATGCACAGAGAGGACACCCAATTAATTTTATAGTAATTGTGTTTATTCGTTCATTTATTAAAACAACTATTGAGTGCCATCATGTGTAAGGTTAGTTGCAGCTTTGAGAACACTGGATACAAAGAAAAACTGTGTCTTTATGGAGCTGACAATCTAGAACTCCTAACTGAAGAAAGGTATACAAAATATTTTAATACTTTTTTTCTTCCCCTTTGGCCAATAATAATCTTATTAATAATCAGTACACATTTAGATAATTCTGTTTAGCTGATGAAAGCCTAGAGAATACAGAGAAAGATCTCTGAACTCCCAAAATCAAGCAGCTTAATATGTGTGCATTTTATCCTCCCAACCTATACATAATATTTTAGCACTCTGCATTCTTTATATTACGGTTCTACTAACATCTTTCCTTGCTCATCTCTAAGCAAAAATATAAGAATGTGATTTTGTTCTCATTAAAGCGTTATTTTTGGGAAATTACATACATTTAAAAACTGCCTCCAAATTTACACAAGATATTAGGACTTTTGATCGTTGTTACGTGTCTGCTCAAAAGTTGTAGTTTGCTGGGAGAGATATCAGTGTCAGAATAGGAAGGATTGTACTGTTTTTCCCTCCCATGGACACACTGATTTAACAAAAATGAAAGTACAAATACATTTCGTGAAAAATCCAGAAACTAGTTAGGTTATGAAACAAGTTGTATCAAAGCTGGTAGAAAAATTCACGACACCTCCTTTCCATAATTCATACCCTTGAAACAGCATCGTACAATTGAGAGAAATCGCATAGATCCTAGCTTCAGCCTGTATTGAAAAAGGCTTGAATTACACATTTAATGTTCAAACTTTTCTGGAGTCTTGTCAAAGGACTGGCTTCTATGTCCCTGATCTTGCAGCACTGATGACACCCAGCATACTCTAGATGCCTGGGGATCACTGAGAATAAAGATGGGAGTTTGAAATAGATGTATGTAGTTATCATAGCTCCTCCTTTGACTCAACACAGAGACAGAAGAAATAAAACTCAGTTCTCCGTTTCTCTCTAGGGAGGGAATGAGTTGGACCACATATCCAACATTTCCGCTATCCTATCACTGTCCAAGGGACTTATTTTTATCTTGCTTGTCTCATATCAATAATGACAGCCAGTATACTATAAACTTCTGGTAGCCACTAAGAACTAATAAGCAGTGTTTTAGATTAACAGGAAAGTTTGAGCAGCTCGGAGAATCTCTGAATGGGCTAATTGATGATGATATTCTCTATGAGACCAGTATGTAAAGATAGGGAGAGGTGGCTGTTTGTTTTGCATGTGCAGTTACCTACACAAAGAGTGAAGAAAAATGAAGAAAGAGAGACATATTTCCAAAACATAGGAACAAAATAAATCTCAAGAAATATAATCAAATGAAATAGACATATTATTTACCTGACAGTGAATTCACATTAATTGTCTGTTAAATCTAGTTTAGCCTAAACCCACCTCCTTACATATTTGAGTTCAGCTTAAAGACTTTTCTGTACATTGTGAACTATAACAAGTGGATGTGTAAACCATAGCTCACACCTGTGCCACTCTCTGAGTTTTGGCCAATCAAATGCTGCCAACTCTTCAAATTATGTTCAAATGTGGCAAATGCCAAGCTGTAACCAATCCAGTTGTTGCTGTACCTCACTTGTGTTTTCTGTATGTCACTTTCCTTTTGCTGTCCATAAATCTTCTCCACCACATGACTATGCTGGAGTCTTTCTGAATCTGCTGTGATTCTGGGAGCTGCCCAATTTGCAAATTGTTTATTGCTCAATTAAAGTCCTTTAAATTTAATTCAGCTAAAGTTTTTCTTTTTTTTTTATTATACTTTAAGTTTTATGGTACATGTGCACAACGTGCAGGTTTGTTACATATGTATATATGTGCCATGTAGGTGTGCTGCACCCATTAACTCGTCATTTAACATTAGGTATATCTCCTAATGCTCTCCCTCCCTCCTCCACCCACCCCACAACAGGCTCCAGTGTGTGATGTTCCCCTTCCTGTGTCCATGTGTTCTCATTGTTCAATTCCCACCTATGAGTGAGAACATGCAGTGTTTGGTTTTTTGTCCTTGTGATAGTTGGAAGTCAAATTGTCCCTGTTTGCAGATGACATGATTGTATATCTAGAAAACCCCATTGTCTCAGTCCAAAATCTCCTTAAGTTGATAAGCAACTTCAGCAAAGTCTCAGGATACAAAATCAATGTGCAAAAATCACAAGCATTCTTATACACCAATAACAGACAAACAGAGAGCCAAATCATGAGTGAACTCCCATTCACAATTGCTTCAAAGAGAATAAAATACCTAGGAATGCAACTTACAAGGGACGTGAAGGACCTCTTCAAGGAGAACTACAAACCACTGCTCAATGAAATAAAAGAGGATACAAACAAATGGAAGTACATTCCATGCTCATGGGTAGGAAGAATCAATATTGTGAAAATGGCCATACTGCCCAAGGTAATTTATAGATTCAATGCCATCCCCATCAAGCTACCAATGACTTTCTTCACAGAATTGGAAAAAACTACTTTAAAGTTCATATGGAACCAAAAGAGAGCCCGCATTGCCAAGTCAATCCTAAGCCAAAAGAACAAAGCTAGAGGCATCATGCTACCTGACTTCAAACTATACTACAAGGCTACAGTAACCAAAACAGCATGGTACTGGTACCAAAACAGATATATAGTCCAATGGAACAGAACAGAGACCTCAGAAATAATGCCACATATCTACAACTATCTGATCTTTGACAAACCTGACAAGAACAAGAAATGGGGAAAGGATTCCCTATTTAATAAATGGTGCTGGGAAAACTGGCTAGCCATATGTAGAAAGCTGAAACTGGATCCCTTCCTTACACCTTATATGAAATTTTTCTTTTAACAGATGGTGTCATAAATGGGATCCAGGGTAGAGCTTTAACGACCCCCCAGCAGTGATGAGTAAACAAGCAAGGTACCAGCAATGACACACTTGTGTCCATTGATCTCTAAGAGCAGCTGGGGATTGTGGGTAAGTTCTCTCTGAGATTTGGGAGATTCATAAATTTGTGTTTTGAGCTCACCAAGTTTCTTTGAGCATATTTCTGAAGCAAACTGAGTTTTAAAGTTGTGACAGAAGTTGGACTGTGTCCAGGATTGAATTTGATCTGGTAATTCACTGGCTTAGATCCAGTTAGAGGCCTCTTACATCTAACTGGGTTAGAAAGAAACTGGTAGTAAGTTGTAATATTGCAGGGGTTGTAAAATTTGGCTATTAAAAATTCACAAGGATCTTTGTGTTCTACCTTTTTGTTTCATTTTTTTTCTGCATGCTTAGGCAGGAAAAAAATCATTGACTAAGTTAATTAAGGGAACCTGAGAACCAAGCATTGGCTTTAGGTAAAAATGTGATTCTTAATTATTGAATAACTTATTTCTTTCTGGCTTACACGTGCATAAGTGTTAGGCCTGGGAAGCAACAAAGTGTTGCAGAAATGGCAAGACCATACTAAAGATAACTTAGAGTGAAACATTCCAAATGAACAACACACTGGAGTTCATTTAAAACAATGAGGGCTCCCAAATTAGCCTCATCTAGAGATGCCTATTGATATGCAGAAGCTTCTAAAAAGATTTCAGTATTTTCATTTAAAGCACACATATTTTGCTCTGGCCAGATTGGAAAATATTATAATTCAGGTCTTTCACGCAGCTGGTTGGGTGGCAACTTGCAAAATTGAAAGGATTTTGCCTATGGTTCTCTGATTTTCCTTTGTGATGCAGCTTGGCCCCTGGAGCTATGGTGTGGCAAGCAGGGTTGCTCAGGGAAGGGGAACCCAGAAAGCTGGCATCATAGCAAAAGGGTAAGAATTTCTTACCAGTCATACTTCTGGCCTCTCTCTCTCTGTGCAAACCAGTTGAATAAATGGTAAAAATTACTATTTATATTCTCTGTAAAGTTTTGATGAACAGAAAAAAGGGCTTAAGAGGCTAATCTTGAGCTGTAGCCAATCTGATAGTGTACTTTTCGTGTGTGGTTTTTTTTTTTTTTTTTTTTTTTGTATGGTTCTGTAATAAAGAGGAATACCTTAGAATAGAACACAAGCTTAGGACCCCATAAGCCCTGCTGTTTAAGTCAGCCCAACAAATTGGTCAGTTACAAACTTTGCTGAAGGTCTATGAAGAAAAATAAATAAAGTAAAATAAAATAAAAATAAAATAAACTGGATGACGTCCTCATCTTGTTTTATGTCCTTGGACATTTGACATGTTAACCATGTGGCAGTACTTTCTTTTGGTCTCCACCATTTTACAGTGGTGGCCCAGGTTCAATCCTGGCTTAGGGAATAAGTACTTTCTGGTTGAGATCTGTGTGACCTTTACCATTTGCTGATTCTCTCCCACTCCATGAACAACTTCTAGCTTCCCTTCTTAAATCTTCCTTTCTCTGACTTACCTTTTAAGATTCTAGATTTTGCAAAAACTGTTTATCATCTCTTTGAAAATACCTTATACACTCATGGTTAAGTCATAACCTTAGTTCAAGTTTGTTGGTTTCACTTGTGAAGTTATTTTGATAAAGTTTAAAAGCCAGAAATATTAGCCACTTGATGTTGCTAAAGTCAGATAATAACAGATTTAAAAAGATATTTTAGAGAGTGCTATGATTAAAAGTCAGCTTAATTAAAAGCAGATATTCAAGCTCTAATAGCCAGAAACTCCTTGAGAAAAACAGAGGAGGCACCAAAGACCCCATTTTGAGAAAAAATTCTTGTTTTCCTTTTGAAACTTCAGGAATAAGAGGTGGATAGATCCATTTCAAAATCTAAAACTAAATATACCTTCAGGGATGGAAAATGGCAGTTATGGGGCAGTACTCAGCTCTTTGCACAGTTGGATCAGAGAAGCATGCTCTTAGCCATCTGGAAGGTATGGCAAAATCCCCACCATCCCCACTGAGAAATAAGACTAATTTGGGGGATAGGTACACAATAGGCTAATTGGTTTGGGGTTGCCATGCAATAAAAGGGCATGGTAAAATCATTGCGCTGTCTTCTCCCATAGCATTAACCTATTTTTTGGGATCTGAGATCTGATATAAAAATGAGACCCTTCGTTTTGGAGATCTGTTTTTGCCTTAGAGGTGTGCCTGTTTATTAGTCCCTAGAAACTACATGTTCTCCTATTCCTGTCTCTCCAAGGACTCCACCCTAAAGCCAGTAATCCAATTAAGAAACTTAAAAACTGGCTGTAAACTAGTTCAACCATTGTGGAAGTCAGTGTGGCGATTCCTCAGGGATCTAGAACTAGAAATACCATTTGACCCAGCCATCCCATTACTGGGTATATACCCAAAGGATTATAAAACATGCTGCTATAAAGACACATGCACACGTATGTTTATTGCAGCCCTATTCACAATAGCAAAGACTCAGAACCAACCCAAATGTCCAACAATGATAGACTGGATTAAGAAAATGTGGCACATATACACCATGGAATACTATGCAGCGATAAAAAATGATGAGTTCATGTCCTTTGCAGGGACATGGATGAAGCTGGAAATCATCATTATCAGCAAACTGACACAGGAACAGAAAATCAAACACCACATGTTCTCACTCATAAGTGGGAGTTGAACAATGAGAAAACATGGACACAGAGGGATACATCACACACCAGGGCCTGTCAGGGGGTAGGGGACTAGGGGAGGGATAGCATTAGGAAAAATACCTAATGTAAATAACGGGTCAAAATGCCACCAGTCTCTTTGCTACAACATAACAAGAGTCACTTTGCTCCAGTTCCCAACAAGTTCCTCATCTCCATCTGAGACTACTCAGTCTGGATCTCATTGCTCATATCACTATCCACACTTTTGTCAAAGCCGTTCTCTAATAAGGGAATCAAAGTCAAAGTCAAAGTCAAAGTCTCTAGAAAGTTACAAATTTTCCCACATTTTCCTGTCTTATTCTGCGCCCTCCCAACTGTTCCAACCTCTGCCTGTTACCCAGTTCCATTTTCAGGTATCTTTTCAGCAACATCCCACTCCCAGTACCAATTTACTATATTAGTCTGTTTTTGCACTGCTGATAAATACATACTCAAGACCCCACAATTTCCAAAATAAAAAGCTTATTGGATTTACAATTTGATGTGCCTGGGGAGGCCTCCCAATCATAGCGGAAGGTGAAAGGCAAGGAGGAGTAAGTCACATCTTGCATGGATAATGGCAGGCAAAGAGAGAGCTTGTGCAGGGAACTCTCATTTTTAAAACCATCAGATCTTGTGAGACATATTCACTATCATGAAAACAGCACAGGAAAAACCCAGCCCCATAATTCAATCACCTCCCACTGGGTTCCTACCACAACACACGGGAATTGTGGGAGTTACAATTCGAAATGAGATTTGGGTGGGAACATAGCAAAACCATATCAGAAGATATACAAATGGCCAACAAACGTGAAAAAAGACTCAACATCACTAATGATGAGGGAAATGCAAATCAAAAGCACAATGAAATATCACCTTACTCCTGCAAGAATGGCCATAATCAAAACATCAAAAAATGATAGATGTTGGCATGGATGCCCTGAAAAGGGAACACTTCTACACTGCTGGTGGGAATGTAAGCTAGTACAATCATGAGAAATAGGCTGGGTGCAGTGGCTCATGTCTGTAATCCAAGCACTTTGGGAGGCCAAGGCGGGCAGATCATGAGGTCAGGAGTTCGAGACCAGACTGGCCAACATGGTGTAAACCTGTCTCTACTAAATTTACAACAATTAGCTGTACGTGGTGGCAGGTGCCTTTAATTTCAGCTACCCGGGAGGCTGAGGCAGGATAATTGTTTGAACCTGGTAGGTGGAGGGTCCGGTGAGCCGAGATTTCACCATTGCACTCCAGCTTGGGCAACAGAGCAAGACTCCATCTCAAAAACAAACAAACAAACAACAAAAAAAAAACAGCGTGAATATTTTTTAAAGAACTAAAAGTAGAACTACCATTTTTAGCAATCCCATTACTGGGTATCTACCCAGAGAAAAAGAAGTCATTGTATGAAAAAGATACTTGCACATGCGTGTTTATAGCAGGACAATTTGGATAAAGAAACCTGGATGGAACTGGAGACTATTATTCTAAGTGAAGTAACCTAGGAATGGAAATCCAAATATTGTATGTTCTCACTCTTAAGTAGGAGCTAAGCTATGAGGACGCAAAGGCATAAGAATAATACAACAGACCTTAGAGACTCGGGGGAAAGGGTGGGATGGCAGTGAGGAATAAAAGACTACAAACTGGTTTCAGTGTACCTTGTTCAGGTGAGGAGTGCACCAAAATTTCACAAATCACCACTGAAGAACTTACTCATGTAATCAAATACCACCTGTTCTCCAAAAACCTATGAAAATTTAAAAAATAAAATAAAAAAGAAGCCATGGGCATATAAACTTTTGCCTAGTTTAGAGGGTTGAAGAATTGTTTTAAACTAGATAAGATAAAGCTGAAAGTTTAAACAAGCTGTGAATTTTTTGTAAAAACTTAATCTTGTAAAAGAAATTCTTTGTGTGACCATAATGTCTAAATTTCAAAGGGTATTATTCTGTTTTTCCATAAATTGAACATCGGAATAAAAGTACAATAGGGTTTTGTTAAAGCACTGATCTGCTCTTTAATAAAATTTGTAAAGGGTATAAAAGGTTTATGAGAATCTCACCTTATGGTCAAACTGATTAAAGTTGAATCAATTTTTCTATAAGGTTTTATTAAAAATTGGAGTTTACATTAATAATAGACTAATGCAAGGGTGAAATTTGGCTTTCTCTCTTGAACAAGATTATCATGTAACATTAAAAGATAAGGAAAGATTTTTGTTTGCCTTTTGATTAAAATACAGGGAAAAATGGGGGAAAGACAAGAGGCAAATTGTTTACAATGCTAAGTCCTCCCTCTATCAATGAGTAAAGGTTTTTGCCTTTTTACAATTTTTGAGTTGGCATTTTGGCTAAATGAATGACTTATGCAAAGTAGAACCTGGAATCCTACTTCATAATATCAAGTGTTATAAACCTTTACCATATTTGATAAAATTCCCAAAATTAAATTTCAGCTTCAAAATTATCTTTTCTGGCCTTTAACTTTGAGATGCTACAGAGGGCCCAGGAAGCATCCAAAAGAGAGGTAAACAGGATTATCTGACTTATGAAGTTACATGAGAAGCATTGTCAAAATAAAAAAAAGTTTAACCTTCTTTAGGCTATATTTTAGTGTATGTCATCAATATGTTATAAAATTGTATGGGATTTCTAAAATTCTAATATGTTGAAGTATATGCTCTCAATCATGATGGTTATTAAGTTACTGTAAACCAGAGAAATAATTAAATTTTCCTGTCAATTGTGTTCTTAACTATGACTATTTAAAGTCATTTCCACAGTTAACTTCTTAAAGCTAATACAGTTTCTGAAAACTTCACAAACATGCAAAATCCCCGAATATGGTGTCATTTAGTTGGTTCATGAAAGTATGGAAAGGACCCTGAAAAGCTCTTTTGAATACAGGTTTCTGGTAACTTGAGAATCATATTATTTGGGCTGAGTAAGACTTCCTGGAACTTTAATAAAAAAGATTTACTGGATCATAAAACTGCTAACTCAAGTAGAACAAAAATTAATTGAATACCAAGAAAATACTTTGCCAGATTTCCATGCTGAATCAGCCAATACAGAAATTGTTTAGATATACAATCTGAATGAAGTCCTTGGTCTAAGTCAAATTACCTATCATAACCCATGAGCTAACAGTGCTATTCCCCTAAATTGGAAAAACAACTGGTATTCAAGAGGATGTAAGTCCAGTGTTAAGCATGGATTCATGGAGAACCAGGACGGCCACCTTGTCCTTCCTGAGTCTTTAAAGCTTTTGTTAAAAGTTCCGCATTCCACAACTCATCCTGGAACAGACAAAATGATCTAAATTAAATATATTGGTGTGGTAACATATAGTGCTAAAATAATCTATGACCAATGTTCAGTTGTCACTAAACATTGCCAAAAGCTGTATTTTGACAAATGACAAACCTGTAATCCTGGGAAAACAATTAAAAACTTCAGTTACATTTGGCTACCTGATGGGCCATTTAAACATTTATAGAGGGACTTCATTCAATTGTCATTTTCAGTGCGTTATTTTTTCAGTTGTATAAAAGCTTTCCCATGCAAGAGGGCTGATGTTATAACACTAAATTATTATGCCAAAATGTATGTTCACCAGGTAAAGAAAGCTTTTTATGATTTACTGAAGATAATCAATGCCTTCACAATCTGGAACCCAAAGATTGGATCTTCTAAGAACATCAGAGAAAGAATCTAGAACCTAAAGATTGGATCTTCTGAGAACACCAGAGAAAGACTGACCTTGCTCTCCACACTGCAATAAAACTTTGTGATCTTGAACCTTAGGTTCATAATCTCACAAATGAGAAGGCTCCCTCCACACTCTTGGAACTGTACACCCACTGAAACCCTTAAGGTAAAGCTAACCAGGGAAATTTCTCCCCAGAAGAAAATGGCATTCTTGATGTAAACAGCTTTTCTCAAGATCACAGATCAAGACTTCTCTACTATCATTAAACTCTTATCTTTGAGTATTTTCCCTCGTTTATGCCTCTATGAACAATAGAAATGAAAAAGTGGTCTGTTGTGTGCACTAATGGAGTATACATTTTATCATAAATAATTTTGCAGCCAGCCTTAAATATGGAGAACTTTAAACTTTGATAGATACAGATGAAAGCCTAATGTAGGTAAGAAAATTAATGGTACATATGTTGCCTCATAATCAGTCAGAAACACAACATTAGTTCACTCCTCTTAACCCACATCATGCGTTAAAGAGAACATTGATACACAGCCTTCACTTTTCTAGAAGGGCATCATTTGCTAGGTCCTTTTTCCATAGTTTGGAGTAAAAGAAGCAATGATTGGAAATGTATCCCTCAGGATAGGCTCTATAGCAGAACTTACTGCAAAGGCTATAGTTAAACAACAGACTTAAAATTCTCTTGTGAATGTTTTGCTAAATAATATAATTGCTCTAGATTACTTACTGGCTAAACAGAAGTATCTGTGTGGCTGCTGGCACTTATGTCCAACAGAGAAATCATCAGATATTATAGAGATTCAGTTGTAGGGGATTAACAAAAAGACCACTTCTTTAAGCTAGTCAACTCTTTATCTAGTTTATTCTTTGATGTATTTATTTGAGATGGTTTGGTTTATGGAGACCCTGGGTAAGGAGCATGCTCTAACCTCTTGGTATTATCCTTCTGAAAGTCATAATAATAGTCTCCCTGGTGTGCTGATTCTTTTTTTATTATTATTATACTTTAAGTTTTAGGGTACATGTGCACAACGTTCAGGTTAGTTACACATGTATACATGTGCCATGTTGGTGTGCTGCACCCATCAACTCGTCATTTAACATTAGGTGTATCTCCTAAATGTTTGGATGCAGACATCTGTAGAATGTTAAATGGTCTTTCTTTAACTGGAATGACAAGAGCTGAAAGAAATGTGTGACATGAGGACACCATAACCTATTAATGATGTGCTGAGACTGGAAACCCAAAATGATGGTAACTGAGAGTGGTGCTAAGACCCTAAATTTTGGTCACACTCTCATCTAAGTGAGAACATGACCAAAAAGGGGAAATTTTTAAAACAAAATTATGAGAGGCCATTGTTTAGACTGAGCTCATGCACTAAGCTCTGACAGACCAAACCACACTAAAATGGAGTTGCTTGTGCTAAATGTGACATAATCAAACTAAGACTTTAAGGAAATACATAGATCCTAGAACAGACTAGGTTTTGTTTTTCTTCTGTAATCAGGACATTTCAGCATAAAGAGATACCCTCTAGTCAGTCCTTGTGACTGACTAGCAAAACCCACTGTTTTACTGTTTCCCAGGGGGTTTCAAGATAAGGTAAGTACATTTAAGATTGTAATAATGACATCAATGTTTTAAGTTTTGGTCAATCTTTCAAAATTGAGAAAATGGCCAACAGTGGGGAATAATTAAATCTAGTTTAGCCTAAAGTTGCCTCCTTAAATAATTAAGTTCAGCCTAAAGGTTTTACTGTACATCATGAACTATAACAAGTAGAGGTGTAAACCAACCCTTGTCCACGCCTGTGCCAGTCATTGAGTTTTGGCCAATAAAATGTAGCCAACTCTTCAAAACATGTTCAAATAAGGCAAATGCTGAGCTGAAAACAATCCAGTTGTTTCTATACCTCGCTTGTGTTTCCTGTATGTCACGTTCCCTTTGCTGTCCATAAATCTTCCACCACATGGCTGTGCCGGAGTCTCTCTGAATTTGCTGTGATTCTGGGGGCTGCCCGATTCACAAATTGTTCACTGCTCAATTAAACTTATTTAAATTTAATTCAGCTGAATTTTTTTCTTTTAACACATCATAAAGATGCTCAATCAGATGAGGTCAAGAGAACAATGTGAGAACAGTTAAAATTTCAATATGGAGCTTACATCTATTGAAAAGTACAAAATGGAAATCTTGACCTGAAAAATATAACAGATGGACTAAAAAGATTACACAGGAGTTCAACAGCAGATTAGATCAAGCAGAAAATGTATTAGTGGACTTGAATACAAATCATTAGAAATTATCCAGTTAAAGGAGAAAACAAGAAAAAAATTAAAAAGTGTGAAGAAAACTTATCAGACACCATGAAGTAGACCAACATATTCACTATGAAAGTCCCAGAAGGAGAAGAGAAAAAGGGGTAGAAAGATTATTCAAGAAATAATGTCTGACAACTTCCCAACACTGAGGAAAAAAATTGGATATCAAAATACAGGAAACTCAATGGATCCCAAGTAAGATGAACTCCCTAAAATTCATACTAAGCCACATTTTAACCAAGTTATCAGAAGTCAAAGTAAAAGACAATTTGAAAACAGCTAGAGAAAAGCAGCTTGGCACTTAGAAAGGAAAATTCATAATACTATTAGTGGATTTCTCAGCAGAATTTGCAGGTCAGAGGGAGTGAGATGAGATATTCAATGTCCTGAAATTAAAAGCAAGCAAGCAAGCAAACAAACATCTTTCAACTAAGAATACTACACCAAAAAAAAAAAAAAAAAAGCAACTCTCCAAAAGTCAAGGAGAGGTACATACTTTTGGAGACAAACAAAAGCTGTGGGAGTTCAATTTAAACTGATGCTAAGCATCAATACAAAAACATATAAAGGTATAAAGTTCACTAGTAAAGAGAAACATATAGATAAGTGCAGAGTGCTATAAAACATGATGGTAGGGGTTTAAATAACTTTTAATTTTAAAACTATAACTATTTAAAGTATGTAAACAGACATAAAATTTGAAAAGTTCTAAATCGTCACATAGAAAATTAGTGTTTTGTCACTTCAAAAGTAATAAAATAATAAAAGTACACATTAATGATATGTGACTGAGGTTATTATCAGCTTAAAATAGACTATTAAAAAAGTTTGATGCAAACATAGTAACTACTAAAAATTCCTAGAGTTTAAAAAAGACAAAGAAAAAAGAATAAAACTCTATCACCATAAAAAAAATCAAAAAATAAGAAAGGAAGACAGCAAGTGAGAAAGAGAGGACCACAATAACTACAAGACAGAAAATAATTATCAAAATTGCAATAATGAGATTCCACCTATCAAAAAATTCTCTGATGTAAATGAATAAAACTCAGCACTCAAAATATTTAGTGCAGCTCAAATCGTAGAAAATAAAATCAAACAATAGGCTTTCTAGAAGAGATTCACTTTAGCTTTAATGACACAGATAGGGAGAAAGTTAAGGGATGGAGTTAGATATTCCATGAAAATAATAAGCAAAAGAGAGCAGGAATAGATATACTTATATTACACAAATTAGGAATTAACTCAAAAATTATAACAAAAGACAAAGAATGTCATTCTTTGATAAAAAATGATGAAAAATATGATGAAAGTTTCAGTTCAACAGGAACATAAAACAATTATAAGTATATATGCACTCAACATCAGAGCACCAAAGCATATAAAGCCATCACCTGCAAAACTTGAGGGAGAGTTAGACAGCAATATAATAATAGTAGGAGACTTCAACATTCCACTTTCATTAATGGATAGAATATTCCGTCATTTAACATCCGTGAGAAAACAGTGGATTTAAACAACACTATAGACCAAGTGAACTTAAAAGATTTCTACAAACATCCCATCCAACAACATATTCTTCTGAAGTGCACATAAACCTTTCTCAAATTGTAGGTCATAAAACAAGTCTTAACATATTAAAAAAATTAAAACAAGTCAAAGTATTATTATTGATCACAAGGTGGTAAAACTAGAAATCAATGGCAGAAGCAAAGTGGGAAAATTTACAAATATGTGGAAAACAAACAACAACCACTATATCAAAGAAGAAATTCATAAGGTAATTAGAAATTACACTGAGATAGACAAAAATAAAAACACACTACATGCTGTACTTAAGATAAAGCAAAGCAGTACTGAGAGACAAGTTTACTATGACAACACAGCCATTAAAAAAAGAGGAAAGATAACAAGTAAATAACTTAACTTCATATCTCAAGCAGATAGAAAAGAACAAGATAAGCCCAAAGTTAGCAAAAGGAAGGACATAACAGATTTGAGCAGAAATAAATAAAACAGAAAATAGAAAACAAATATAAAAAATGGAACTAAGAATTGGCTTTTTGAAAAGATAAAGCCAGCAAACTTTTAGCTGGAGTGATGAAGAAAATAGAGAGAAGACTTCAATAAATAAAATCAGAAATGAAAGAGGAAATGATACAAGTGTGATGACACAGAAAGGAAAGGGATCATGAGACTACTATAAGTAATTATGGATAACTTAGAAGATATGGATAAATCCCTAGCATCATAGGACCTACCAAGACTGAATCATAAAAAAGTAGAAAATCAGAAATGATCTATAACTAATAAGGGGATTTAATCAACCATCCAAAACCTCCCAACCAAGAAAACTGTAGAACTAAATGGCTTCATTTTTTTCTTCCAACAAATTAAAGAAGAAAGAAGACTTCCAAACTCATTTTATGAGGCCAGCAACTATCCTGATATTCAAGTAAGAAAAAGACAATAGAGGAAAAAAAATTGCAGGGCAGTATTTCTGATGAACTCAGATGCAAAATTTATCAAAAAAACACTAGAAAACCTAATTGAATAGCACATCAAAATAATCACACCTCATGATCAAATGGCATTTATCCATGAATGCAAGGATAGTTCATCATACAAAAATGAAATAATATGATTTATCATATTGACAGGATTATGAATAAAATGGTCATGAGTTTTTAAATGACCATATTTATGAAAGGGCAAACATGATCATTTCAATAGGTACAGAAAAGGCATTTGACAAAACTTAACACTTTTTCATAATAAAAACTGTCAGCAAACTAGGTATAAAAGGACATTAACTCAACAAAATAAAGGCCATAAATGAAAAGCCCACAACTAACATTATACTAATTGGTGAAAAACTGAAAGGTTTTTCTCTATTATCCAAAATAAGGCAAAGATGCCCATTATCATCACTTATATTAAAAAATGGTACTCAAAGTCCTAGCCAGAGCAATTAGGCAAGAAAGAAAAATAAAAGACATCCAAATAAGAAAGAAAGGAATAAAATTGTCTCTGTGTAAATATTACTTATCTAGAAAACCCAAAATAAGTCCCTACACACACACAGTTGTTGGAAGTAAAAAAAAAAAAAAAAAAACAAATTCAGTAAAGTTGCAGGATGCAAAAGCAACAAACAAAATCACTTGTGTTACTACACATTATTAATGAACTACCAAAAAATAAAATTTAAAAAAATCTCATTTATACAATGAAAAATTAGAAGTAAGTTAACCAAGGAGGTGAAAGACTTTTACACTAAAACTAGAAAACATTGATAAAAAAATGTAAAAAGACATAATAAAAGCAAACACATACCATGTTCATAGTTTGAAGAATTAATATTGTTAAAATGAACAGTGCTAGAGTCATTACCCTTCTTGATTTAAAATCATATTACAAAGCTGTCATAATCAAAACAGTATGGCACTGGCATAAAAACAGACATGTAGAGCAAGGGAACAGAATGGCCAGCTCAGAAATTAACCTGTGCAAATACAGTAAGCTCATTGATTACACAATGAGGAAAGGATGGTCTGTTGTATAAATGGCATTGGGAAAACTATACATTCATATAAATATAGGGAATTGGATCATCATATTATACCACATAAAAATCAACTCCAATGGTTAAAGACTTAAATATAAGGCCTGAAACCATAAAACTCATAGAAGGAGACTTAGTGGAAAAAGCTTTTGACATTTGTCTCTGCAATGCTTTTTGAATCTGACTAAAAGCATAGGCAACAAAAGCTGAAAAACTGATGAGTGGGACCACGTGAAACTGAAAAAACTTTTGCAAAGCAAAAGAAAAAAAGCAATTAGGGAAAAAAGGCACTCTATGAAAAAGAAAATATTTGCAAACCATTATCTGATAAGGCATTAATATATAAGTAATGCCTGCAATGCAATATCACTTATATAAGTAATGCCTGCAATGCAATATCACTTAAAGAAAACTTCACTTAAAAATAACTTTATTCGACTATGGGGGATAGGGCTTATTTAAATATTTCTCCAAACATAATATACTAATGATCAACAGGCATACATAAAGGTACTCAACATACCTAATCATCAGGAAAATGCAAATCCACAATTTGATACCAAAACATACCTTGTTGGATGGCTATTGTAGAAAACAAAACAGAAAGGTAACAAGTGTTGTTGAGAATAAAGATAAAAGAGGATCCTAGTGCACTACTTGTGGGAATGTAAGTTGGTACTGTCATTACGAAAATTAGTGTACAGGTTTCCTTTAAAAATTAAAAATAGCAATCCCACCTCTGGATCTATTTTCAAGGGAGTTGAAATTAGGATCTCAGAGAGATATCTACATTCCGATGTAGAATTCAGCATTATTCCCAATAATCAAATTATGTAAAGTACCTAAATGTCCACCAGTGGTTGAATGAATAAAGAAATTGTGGCATATTTATACAATGGAACTTTATTGAGCCTTAAAAATTAAAAAAAAAATAACAACATTTATGACAACATGGATAGAGATGAAGGGCATCATGTTAAGGGAAATAAACCAGACACAGAAAAACAACTATTGTATGATCTCACTTTTATGTAGACTCTAAAATGTTTAACTAGTAGATGGAAATTATAGAATGCTAGTTGCCAGGGATTAGTGGGAGATGGAATAGAGAAGTGACTATTAAAAGATACAAAGTTTCAGCTGTGCAAGATGAATAAATTCTGATATCCACTATATAGCATGGTACCTACAGCTAATAATACTGTAGTGTATACTTGAAATTGCTGGCCAGGCACAGTGGCTCACACCTGTAATCCCAGTACTTTGGGAGGCCAAGGCTGGTGGATCACGAGGTCAGGAGATCAAGACCACTCTGGCTAACATGGTGAAACCCCCTCTCTACTAAAAATAATACAAAAAATTAGCCAGGCTTGGTGGCGGGCGCCTGTAGTCCCAGCTACTTGGGAGGCTGAGGCATGAGAATGGCGTGAACCCGGGAGGTGGAGCTTGCAGTGAGCCAAGATCGCACCACTGCACTCCAGCCTGGGCGACAGAGCGAGATTCCATCTCAAAAAAAAAAAGAAAGAAATTGCTTAGAGGATAGATCATATGCTCAGTGATTCTATCAAAAAAAAAATAAAGGGAGAATAAAACAAAACAACAATAATAAAGGAGGCAGGAGGAAACTTTGGGAGGTGATAGACATGTATATGACCATGATGGTGGTGATGATTTCACGGTTCTATTTAGCCCCAAATTCATCAAGAAATATACATTAAATATGTAGAGCTTTTCACTTGTCAATCATACCTGAAAAAATCTCAATATTTCTAACATTGTAATAACCATGCTTATTCCATGCTAAGAACACAATATTTAATTATTTCAATCCCCCTGTGAACTAGGGGTTCTGTCTATTTTACAGATTAAGACAGTTAGGCACAATGCCCAAACTGGTGAAGGTGGCAGTTTGAACTCAGGTAGTCTGACCTTTGAGACGGATTTAAACTATTTCATACATTACTACACACACTGTAACTAAGTTATGCCCTTAACTGTAGGCTAAAATTCCAAAAAAAAGAGAAAAAAATGAAAAGGGAAACCATTATAAAAGGAGAGTGAGGTAACGTTTTCAGCAGGATTCTACATTTGTTTATTTATCCATTCATTGATTGTTTTTAGTCTGATTTAAGGAAGAAGATTTCCTGATTAAATAGGCTGGGAATAGTAAGAATAAAGAAAGTAGACAAAAGTTTACCTCTCTATAATCTATCTTGCATTCTCCTAAAGGAACCTTAAGGAAAGGGAATTTATTCCCTTGTTTAAAGCATGTTTTTATTACCTCTCTTCCCTTCTCCTGAAATTGAGGATGAAGAAAGCAGTTTTTGTATTTTGTGTCTTGACCACAGGCTTTTTTCATCACCCTTAGAAAAGAAGGGTGTAATGACAGGTTCAATAAAACAGAAACCAGAAGACTGGGTCAAATACTGTCATGAGAATAAAATTTAATCTCTTCACTCCTTTTTCTCATACAGAAAATGGATATGTTTGTACTTACTTTTCAAAACTATTATCAAGATTAAATAAAATAATATAACATATTTAAAGCATTCTGCACAGAATTGTTGCTCAACATTGTTAAGAATAGAGTTTTATTTGCTTTATCCTCTCCCTACTACAGAATCTCTTAAATTTTGCCTTGTGTTCTAGACCCAGAGCTGCCACGTACTAGTTTTGTGGCATACAGCAAATTTTAAAATCTCAATCACCTCTGAATTTCTTTTATCTATGAAATTTGGAACAAAAATATTGGCCTTACTTGCCTTGAGTATTATTTCTTTTTTTCTTTTTTTTTCTTTCAGATCAAAAGAAACTGCCTCTGTGCAGTTGAAGACTAAATCAATTTTTCAGCCATAAATGAGCATGCTAACAAAGATCTTGGAATTTGTATTTATGGTAAAATGCTTTACATGCATTCTCATTGAGGCATATGAGATTCTTAAATTTAATTTTTGTTCTTGTTCCTGCCTCAAATCCACCAATGACTTTTCATTGACGTTAGAATGAACATTAAACTCTGTAACAAAACCATGTGGTCCCTGTTGATGTATTCAGCCTTATCTGAAACCCTACTCTTTCTCTACAACAGTGATCTTCTTTCAGTGTTTTATGTATACTATTAATTTCCTTCCAATTTCAAATTCTTTGCCTATGCTAAGAATTTCTTTCCTTTTCCTCTTCATTTACCTGGTCTGCAAATCTCACCCTGAAAGTCACTTCCTCTAGAAAGAATTCTCTGTCCTCCCCCACAGTCCTCTCTCCACCTAGATAAATTGCCATGTCATCCACACTCGATTCTTATTCATTACCTTGTCTTTCATAGCATTTGTTTCTATTAAAATTAAATCCTTATTTATATAATTATGTGTTAATGTCTATTCTCTTGAAAGGTTATAAGTCTTTTTCACTGCTGTATTTTAGTCCCAGGTACAGACATGGAACATATGATTTGCTCAATTTGTATGTACTGAATGAATAAAGAAGGAAATTTTTACAAATGATAAAGGTAAGTACTGGAGAAATTAGGTAAAGCACCAAAGCTCAAACAGATCACCTGTGGCAAAGCCAGCTTCTGCATCTGAGTTTATCTGATGCTAAGGTTTCTACTAAACATTTTATTTCTTGCTTGTGAGAATAATTGATTTCTTGGACAAGTTCAATGTTGCTATAATTGAGACAAGTATAAAATAGAGAACCTCACAGTCCGACAAAAGTGAAGCTATACCTGCATGATTGCACCGTTGAGAATTCACTATGACCTAGACAAAGGGTAGGTATAACCACTGCTACATGTAACTTATCTCTGTGCAGAACTGTTATGAAATCATTTCAAATCAAAAGTTGGGTACATATCTATATAGAGAAAACAGATATCTTATTAATTGAGTGAAAGGTGCACTCTTGACAAAATTAAGGGAGAACAAATAATAAGTTAAAATATTAATTTCCTAATTTTTCAAAGAGAAATAAACAAGGTTAAACATATTGAGGGAGAAAAGCAGTTTTCTATAAATACATATTTATGGATAAATGTTTTATGTAATTTGGTAAGAAATCATGCCTAGAAATATACAATTTCAGGATAATGTTTGTTTTTTTAATATATATTTTTTATTATACTTTAAGTTCTAGGGTACATGTGCACAATGTGCAGGTTTGTTACATATGTATACATGTGCCATGTTGGTGTGCTGCACACATTAACTCATCATTTACATTACGTATATCTCCTAATGCTACCCCTCCCCCCTCCCCCACCCCACAACCAGCCCTGGTGTGTGGTGTGTGATGTTCCCCTTCCTGAGTCCAGTGTTCTCATTGTTCAATTCCCACCTATGAGTGAGAACATACCTTTTGTATTTTGCATATATCATAAATAAAAATAATTAAAAGGCATGAGACTAGTGAACTCAATATGATAATAGGACAGACAAACTTATTAGGAGTGCCAAATTGCAGCTTAAAATGTTTCTGTTAAAAAAGTAGTTGAATGTTTGCCATTTCATTTCATTAGTCACTGGTTTCAAATGTCCTTCTGTATTGTCAACTGGAATAAACTACATGTCTTTTTTTATTATTGTTATGATACTTTAAGTTTTAGGGTACATGTGCACAATGTGCAGGTTTGTTACATATGTATACATGTGCCACGCTGGTGTGCTACACCCATTAACTCCTCATTTAGCATTAGGTATATCTCCTAATGCTATCCCTCCCCCCTCCCCCCACCCCACAACAGTTCCCGGTGTGTGATGTTCCCCTTCCTGTGTCCATGTGTTCTCATTGTTCAATTCCCACCTATGAGTGAGAACATGTGGTGTTTGGTTTTTTGTCCTTGCGATAGTTTGCTGAGAATGATGGTTTCCAGTTTCATCCATGTCCCTACAAAGGACATGAACTCATCATTTTTTATGGCTGCGCAGTATTCCACGGTGTATATGTGCCACATTTTCTTAATCCAGTCTATCGTTGTTGGACATTTAGGTTGGTTCCAAGTATTTGCTATTGTGAATAGTGCCGCTATAAACATACGTGTGAATGTGTCTTTATGGCAGCGTGATTTATAATCCTTTGGGTATATACCCAGTAATGGGATGGCTGGGTCAAATGGTATTTCTAGTTCTAGATCCCTAAGGAATCGCCAGACTGACTTCCACAATGGTTGAACTAGTTTACAGTCCCACCAACAGTGTAAAAGTGTTCCTATTTCTCCACATCCTCTCCAGCACCTGTTGTTTCTTGACTTTTTAATGATCGCCATTCTAATTGGTGTGAGATGGTATCTCACTGTGGTTTTTATTTGCATTTCTCTGATGGCCAATGATGATGAGCATTTTTTCATGTGTTTATGTGTTTTTTGGCTGCACAAATGTCTTCTTTTGAGAAGTGTCTGTTCATATCCTTCACCCACTTTTTGATGGGTTTGTTTGTTTTTTTCTCGTAAATTTGTTGGAGTTCATTGTAGCTTCTGGATATTAGCCCTTTGTCAGATGAGTAGGTTGCAAAAATTTTCTCCCATTCTGTAGGTTGCCTGTTCACTCTGATGGTAGTTTCTTTTGCTGTGCAGAAGCTCTTTAGTTTAATTAGATCCCATTTGTCAATTTTGGCTTTTGTTGCCATTGCTTTTGGTGTTTTAGACATGAAGTCCTTGCCCATGCCTATGTCCTGAATGGTATTGCCTAGGTTTTCTTCTAGGGTTTTTATGGTTTTAGGTCTAACATTTAAGTCTTTAATGCATCTTGAATTAATTTTTGTATAAGTTGTAAGAAAGAGATCCAGTTTCAGCTTTCTACATATGGCTAGCCAGTTTTCCCAGCACCATTTATTAAATAGGGAATCATTTCCCCATTGCTTGTTTATGTCAGGTTCGTCAAAGATCAGATAGTTGTAGATATGCGGCATTATTTCTGAGAGCTCTGTTCTGTTCCATTGGTCTATATCTCTGTTTTGGTACCAGTACCATGCTGTTTTGGTTACTGTAGCCTTGTAGTATAGTTTGAAGTCAGGTAGCATGATGTCTCCAGCTTTGTTCTTTTGGCTTAGGATTGACTTGGCAATGCGGGCTCTTTTTTGGTTCCACATGAACTTTAAAGTAGTTTTTTCCAATTCTTGGTAGCTTGATGGGGATGGCATTGAATCTATAAATTACCTTGGGCAGTATGGCCATTTTCACAATATTGATTCTTCCTACCCATGA
Organism: Homo sapiens; assembly: GCF_000001405.40. Classification (NCBI taxonomy): domain Eukaryota; kingdom Metazoa; phylum Chordata; class Mammalia; order Primates; family Hominidae; genus Homo; species Homo sapiens. The sequence continues at coordinate 42,256,558 of NC_000014.9, read as the reverse complement.
GCATGGAATGTTCTTCCATTTGTTTATATCCTCTTTTATTTCGTTGAGCAGTGGTTTGTAGTTCTCCTTGAAGAGGTCCTTCACGTCCCTTGTAAGTTGGATTCCTAGGTATTTTATTCTCTTTGAAGCAATTGTGAATGGGAGTTCACTCATGATTTGGCTCTCTGTTTGTCTGTTATTGGTGTATAAAAATGCTTGTGATTTTTGTACATTGATTTTGTATCCTGAGACTTTGCTGAAGTTGCTTATCAGCTTAAGGAGATTTTGGGCTGAGACGATGGGGTTGTCTAGATATACAATCACGTCATCTGCAAACAGGGACAATTTGACTTCCTCTTTTCCTAACTGAATACTCTTTATGTCCTTCTCCGGCCTGATTGCCCTGGCCAGAACTTCCAACACTATGTTGAATAGAAGTGGTGAGAGAGGGCATCCCTGTCTTATGCCCATTTTCAAAGGGAATGCTTTCAGTTTTGCCCATTCAGTATGATATTGGCTGTGGGTTTGTCATAGATAGCTCTTATTATTTTGAGATACATCCCATCAATACCTAAAATTGATAGACTGCTAGCAAGACTAATAAAGAAGAAAAGAGAGAAGAATCAAATAGACGCAATAAAAAATGATAAAGGGGATATCACCACCGATCCCACAGAAATACAAACTACCATCAGAGAATACTATAAACACCTCTACGCAAATAAACTAGAAAATCTAGAAGAAATGGATAAATTCCTTGACACATACATCCTCCCAAGACTAAACCAGGAAGAAGTTGAATCTCTGAATAGACCAATAACAGGCTCTGAAATTGAGGCAATAATTAATAGCTTACCAACCAAAAAAAGTCCAGGACCAGATGGATTCACAGCCGAATTCTACCAGAGGTACAAAGAGGAGCTGGTACCATTCCTTCTGAAAGTATTCCAATCAATAGAAAAAGAGGGAATCCTCCCTAACTCATTTTATGAGGCCAGCATCATTCTGATACCAAAGCCTGGCAGAGACACAACCAAAAAAGAGATTTTTAGACCAATACCCTTGATGAACATCGATGCAAAAATCCTCAAATAATACTGGCAATCCGAATCCACAGCACATCAAAAAGCTTATCCACCATGATCAAGTGGGCTTCATCCCTGGGATGCAAGGCTGGTTCAACATATGCAAATCAATAAATGTAATCCAGCATATAAACAGAACCAAAGACAAAAACCACATGATTATCTCAATAGACGCAGAAAAGGCCTTTGACAAAATTCAACAACCTTCATGCTAAAAACTCGGAATAAACTGCATGTCTTAATTCAATCTATAAAATGGGGCTAAAGTTAGCTATTTAGAATTCTTGGATCCATATAACTCAATACACATTTAGTTCAGTATTATGCAAACAGGTAAGAAATAGGGAGATTCTGATAGGCAAAGAAAAATGGAGTTTTTCATTCCTGCATTCTTCATTTGGATTTTCCAGTGTATTTGAAATTATGAAGATTATTTTCTTTCCTAAACAATAAATGCCTACAGAAATGCTAAGACAAGAATATAAGAAAACTCAAATGAATCTCTCTGCAGATTAACATCATATAAAAAGACAAAAACATACATCTGTAAATGGCTCCTATTAAGTGATTCACACACGTAAAAAAAAAAAATTGGTTTCTATTTTCAGAAGGAAAAATAACTAGTAGTTTTGTCTAGTGCTTTTGCTTTAAAGTGATCACTTTTTAAGACCCAAAGCTCTAGCATCCAATTGCTTATAAACTTAAGGTATAAATCTTTGATATTTGTATCAGACTAAAATACGAAATAGAATGATGTTTGTGGAGGATTGACTGAGTTCATTATAATTTACATTAAATTTGATGTGATTGGTTTTCAGTAGTAGAATGATTAGATTTTATCTGATATGCTAGCACTTCATTTTTGGGCTTTGACTTTTTATAAAATTTGAAGAAGCAGCACATTTGAATTTTAAATAATCACAATTTACATATCATAGTTACTAAAAATCTACAACCTACATATTTAATGTTTCAAAATGTGTACTGGCAATAAGAGCATTCATATAACTGAAACACATTGATCTGACTTTAATCCCTACTCTCTTTAAAATATACAATTCTATTCCATAGAGACAGAGCAGGAAGAAATACTTTCTCTATCATTATTGGTATGGAATATAACTTTCAAAGTGGCATTGATCATTCAATATACATTTATTGCAGAAGAAGTTTTTAAAAGAAACGATCATATATCAGCATACAGAGAATTTGACTAAATTCTTAGCTGTACTGTAGATTTGTTTATAGACATTCTAGTTCCATTTATGAGTAAAATTCCCCATTTTGGCTAGTTGCACCACCACGCATTTTACTACATTGGGCGTAAATGTGGATTCTATTTCTAATTTTACATTTTCTATACTTTACGCAATCAATTACTCACCAAATCCATCATTGCCACGCATTTAGTGCAAGCATTTTTCGTGGTGGGTTTTTTGTTAGTTTTTGCGTGTTTCTTGGGGAGGGGGGGTTGTTTGTATGTGAGGTTGTAGTGAGATACGTGAAAGGGTTCTGTATAATTGAACATAGATTCTTTGGCAGGCTAAATAATATTCCCAAAATATATTTAAGTCCTTATCCCTGGAACCTGTGTGTGTTACTTCATGGCAAAATGGATTTTTCAAACAAGTTAATTTAAAAATCTTGAAAGGGGGAAATTATGCTGGACTTGCTGGGTATACTGCAAATATAATCACAAATATCCTTATAAGAGAAATGCAGAGGGAGAATTAACAAAGAACAGAAGAATGTCATATGAGCAGACATGGGAGTGATGCACTTTGAGGAAAAATGAAGGGAACAACAAGCAAGAAAATACAGATTCTTCCTCCTCCTCCCCCTCCTCCTCCTCCTCCTCCTTGTTCTGGGATACTTGTGCAGAACATGCATGTTTGTTACATAGGTATACACGTGCCATGGTGGTTTGCTGCACCCATCAACCCATCATTTACATTAGGTATTTCTCCTAATGCCATCCCTCCCCTAGCCCCCCACCCCCCACCCCCCAACAGGCCCCAATGTGTGATGTTCCCCTCCCTGTGTCCATGTGTTTTCATTGTTCAACTCCTACTTATGAGTGAGAACATGTGGTGTTTGGTTTTCTATTCCTGTGTTAGTTTGCTGAGAATCATGATTTCCAGCTTCATCCATGTCCCTGGAAAAGACATGAACTCATCTTTTTTATGGCTGCATAGTATTCCATGGTGTATATGTGCCACATTTTCTTAATCCAGTCTATCATTAATGGGCACTTGGGTTGGTTCCAAGTCTTTGCTATTGTGAACAGTGCTGCAATAAACATATGTGTGCATGTGTCTTCATAGTAGAATGATTTATAATCCTTTGGGTATATACCCAGTAATGGGATTGCTGGGTCAAATGGTATTTCTGGTTCTAGATTCTTGAGGAATTGCCACACTGTCTTCCACAATGATTGAACTAATTTACACTCCCACCCACAGTGTAAAAGCATTCCTATTTCTCCACATCCTCTCCTGTTAAAAGAAACAAAACCTATATATTGAATACTTAATGGTCACAGTTGTGAATTTTGTATTCATTTATTCAGGCAATATATATGTAACTTTTAATAAATTCTTGATATGGGAAAATTATCCTTGAATATTTGGGTGTACTATAAAAATCATAAGAAATGTACGCCCTGGAAATTTAGTCACTAGAAGCTGAGAAAGGCAAGGAAATGGAGTCTCCTTTAAGAGATGCCAAGAAGGTGCCGACACCTTGACTTTGACTCATTGGAACTGATATTAATCTTCTGATCTCCAAAACTGTAAGATAATACATTTATGTTGCTTTAAACCTCCAAATTCGGTGATCAATTTACATATATGTATGTATACATGTGTGTATATATGTATATACACATATATATATATATATATTACAGCAACAATAGAAAAATAATGCAGGTTTCTTACCAAGCCTCTTATGGGCGGTCCACCCTACTGGTTAGTCACTATGATCATTCTAAAATGCAAATCTGAGCATGTAACAACCCCCATTTACCTAGCAGGGTTAACATACAAGGTTCATCAAGAGTTCATTCTGCTTCTCTAACCTTATCCCTATGGTTACTTGCATTCTACCATCAAAAAATACCAAATTTTGCAGGTGTTTTTAACCTTTGAGTACTTCTGAAAGTTTCATGGCAAACTATTACCTTTTTCATAACACTAATGACATATATCTTTTATGGTAAATACCACAGTCTTACAGTTATTTGCCTTCCATTGCCCTTTTCTTCTAAAACTGTAACTCATTGAGGAATCCCACAGACCTAGCTTTTTTCCTGACACATGGTAAGAGGCACATACAAGTTTCCTGAATAAATAAATACTAAATCCATAGTTCTGTCATTAAATATCCAATCTATAGGTTTTATTTCTGCATTTCTTTTAATGTGACAAGTATAGACTATGGCTACTTATAATGATAGTATAACTCTCACCACAATTCTACAGTAATTTTCCACTCATATTTTTATAGTTAAAAAAATTACAAATGCACCCTAAATGTCCCGGAAACTTACCAGTATGTGACTATAAATTAAACAGCAAAATAAACATTTAGCTTTTTAGACTTAAAAGAATTTAGTTCTTTTTCCATCACTTCAAATGTCTTAGAGACTCCACCACTGATGTTGAGGTTTCACAGTCTTCCTTGGGGCACTGGGTGGCTTTTTTCTCTGCTAAAGTTTAATTTCTCAATTTTCACAGTTTAATAAATGGTTGACAATCATCTTTGAAGTGTGAGGTGGCCTCATTCTCCTCAGAATATCCCGTAATAGAGGTGCTTACAGTTTGAGTGTCAGAGACATTTTCAGTGTTACTATAGCCTTTTTTTTCTACAGCACACCTTCAACACGGTGGGTCACTGGAGAATAGTTCAGCTACAACCACCACTCTTCCATCAGCTCTCAGACTCTACTGCACAATTAATTTCATCATTTTGTATTCATTCACTCATTTATTCAGTCCTTCATATAGCACTGTCTCCTTTTAAATGATTTTGAGTAACACTGATAAAGCAAAAACAGAGTTGTTTTAAAACTTTGAGCTTGCAAATATTAACATTTCACATAAAATTAAAATACATTAAAATACCTTTTAAAAAGTAGCTTTATCTTATGCGTTTTCTTAAACATGTTACATTTTCAATAATAGAGTATCTCTGTGATTCCACGGGAAATGGCATTTGTCAAAAAATTCTCTTATAAAAAGTGCCTTTCCTTGGTATGTTTTCTAAAAGCCTAAAATTTTCTTAACGCATTTCATTAATCCTCTTATGCTGTGATGTAGAAGGTGGTCACTATTCTCATTTTACAGATACAACAAGAGGCATAAGAAGTTAAGAGATGTGATACAGAGAACCAGTAGAAAACCCAGAAATAAAAATGAGGTCACTGCATATATTTTAAGTGTGAATATGGATTTTTCTCTTTGTTTTCTTCATATCATGAATAGACAAACTCCTAAGATATCTTTTAATGTATTTCATAAAATAGATGTGACTGTGCATATAGTAGACTTGTGCCATATACTAATTTTAAGGATTTATTTCTTTTACAATTTTATCAGTCTTAAATTTTTTAAAAAATATTGTCATAGCAGTTGATGATTTTAATCATGATATTTCTAGGGAATCTGCAAACACCTTAGCACAATTTTGGACATTTTTCTTTGAATACAAAGGAAAATCATTGATTGATATTAAAAGAATGGCAAATGCTTGATCTGTGCTATTTGAACTGGACTAGAATATATTAATAAATTGGAAATATCATTATGTAATTGAACACATGTGAAAAAAATTGTGTAAGTTAGACCTATATGGGTTAATCTGGATGCAAAAACAAACAAACAAGGAAACAAGTATCACCTACTGGACATACCAGTGGGACACAGTTTTAGAACTGGGACAAAGTTTCAGAATTGCCAGGTATTTCACTCCAGAGAAGCAAAACTAGACAACCATTATGTTGCAGCAGATATCAGGCAGGAAAGTATGAAAGAGAAAGCTGTACTAAAAGGGCCAGCAGTTTTGATATGGAGACAGAAAATGGGTGTTTAAAGAGTATGAGTGGTGAATCCTCTTTCATTTCCTGTGTAGTGGGGTCTGGCTTTTAAGGCCAGAATTCTAGTTACTGTAATGTTCATTCAATGACTGTATAAGTGGCAGGAACATAGTATCAAAGCAGTTCAGAAGGAATTAAGGAATTTTAAGACCTAGTGAATATTGAGACAGCTTATACATTTGAAGATAATAATACTTTTATACCTCTTCCTTGCTTTATATCTTGTTATGTATTATAATTATTTGCACAATATTTACCTCAACCCAGTATATTGAATGCTAAGGTGATTAATAAATATAAGTGTTCTAGTTTTTACCTAAAACCAGGATAAGACTCAAAGGTTTGGTCTCAAGAAACAAGTCCTTAGTCAGACTACTAAAGTGAGAATCATATTCAAAAGCAAATCAGAAGAAATCACTGGGCGTGAAGCTAAGGGATTCTTTAATTTCCTCTGAATAGGAGAAACATTAATCCCAGAACTCAGTTGACATTAAGTCTTTAAGGGGGAGGATCTGTTTTGTTCCCAGTGTTCAATAATAAAATGTGGAAGCTAGACAGGGTCATATTTTTTATAGTCTAAAAAAAACCAGACTTAGAATAAGATTCTTGGGTTGAAAAATCTATCATACTCTTGCTGTTTTGCCTTAGAAAAACATTATTTTCTTGAAAATATCAATTTATTCCTGTGTAAGTTGAGGATTATAATGACTCTATCTTTCATTAATTTGAACAGAGAGGAGTTAAAACTTAACCCTAGAGGTATTGCTGCCAAAAGGAAATTTAATGTTAAGAAATGAAATAAAACATCAAAATTGGCAATCTATTTTCAATTCTCATTCCAAACAAGAAATGAGTCCTCACTTCAAGGCCGGCGGGTGGGGGTGGGGTCGGGTGGTGGGGGCTGAAGCAACAATTATTGCTCTAGCACACAGAACTCTTATTGTAACATAGAATAAAATAGAATTGGCAGAAAAAAAGAAATATACTGTCATGAGGACAGGAAATATTAAGGTTAGAAGGAGAACAGCCAATCCACAATGTGAATAAGTAAATCTCACTACTAGAAATGTAAAGTTTCCTTAATTTTATTAGTATTTCCTTATCATGTGAAAATCACAGAAACCGTTTAGAGGATTTCAATTTTGCCTGTGTCTTAGATTTAGACCAATCCAATTTTTACTATATGTACCATGGCAATATTACATAAAATTAAAATATTCCAGAGTGTCTTAGTCTGTTTTGGGCTCCTATAATAGAATACCTGAGACTGAGTAATTTATAATGAACATAAATTTATTAGTGCATAGTTCTGGAGGCTGGAAAGTTTGATATCAATGTGCCAGCATCTAATAAAAGCCTTTTTGCAGCATAAGCATGCAGTAGAAGGCTAGGAGAGCAAGACAGAGAGAGAGTGACAGAGAGAGAAAAGGAGGTCAAACTTGCCTCTTTTCATAACAAATTAGCACTTGTGTAAGGGTGCTAATCCATTCATGAGGGCAGAGGCCTCATGTCTTAATCACCTCTTAAATATCTCAAACCTTTATATAGTTACTATAGCAATTAAATTTCAACATGAGCTTTGGAGGGTACAAACATTCAAACCACAGCACAGAGCATATTTAATGGAGCTAGATGCTATCTAAGATGTGTACGTTAAGATCATTTTAACCATATACAGATGTAAAGATTAAGAATTTGGTAATCAAGAGTAAGCAAAAAGTCAAACTGTCCCCAATAAAACTTTATGAAATCAACTAAGGAAAAAATAAAATTCAACTAGGCTTGTAGCACAATCAGCAGTAATCATTAAGCCAGCTTACCCATTGGCCCACACCTTATAGCCGGTCGCTGCTTACCATCTGAGAATAATGTGGGCCTTGTCACAAGATTCTTTGTTCTATAGATAAAAATCAAGAATTTCTCTTTTAAGTTCTGCATACCAACAAAAGTACGGATGCCATCTTTAGCACACAGGTATAAAGGGCACAGTAAGAAGCTGACTCATGGAAGGATGCAGTTTTTACATCCTAATGATGTCATCCCCTTACCCTGACCAATTGATTATCTCAATTTTCCAGCTCCTCACCCTCCATAATCTCCTTAAAGACCCCTGCCCAATACCCCTTGAGGAAATAGATTTGAGGTTTGAGAATTCCTCCCATTTTCTCATTCAGTGGCCTTGCAATTATTAAACTTTTACATGTCTCTGGGGAATTTTCTCTGTACAACGGGTACCCCCTTTTCTTCTGATTTGTTGGTCTCTTCAGAGGTCTTGTGGCCTCTTTTGAGGGCTTGTTGACTCTCCCAAAGTAGAAGGTAGGTCTTTGAGGTAATCTCTTCTCAATTGGAAGGAGAATAAGGGGCATTGCTTTGGAGAAATACTCTTGGTTTTTTAAATCTGAGACTTTATATTGGAAGTCCTTTAGTTTGTCTTTGTCTTGTTATGTGTATTTGGATCTGTGAAGGGGATCTCTAAAGGAGTTGCTAGGGAAAGCTCAACAGACCTAACTCAGGGTAATTGTCTGCTATTTCATCTTGTCTGGAGACCACCCATTGAGCTTCTGGTGAGAAGTTATCCCTCCCCATGCTGAGTGGATCAAAGATGGCAGGGGTAAATGGGAACAATTTGAGCACTGCCAGATCAATACTTAGGTGCTGAGCAGGGTGTCTAGTATTTTTTACTGGAACAGAAATATTAATTTGGTTCCCCCAAGTAGCCCACTGGGTTGCATCTTACAAAACTGGGAAGCTTTTGCTTGTGATTCCATGAAACAGAAAAGGATAATCTTTTTTTTTGTATCATGGCTTGGCCCCACAATTAAGACACAGTAAGCAGGTTCACCACTGTTTTTCAGTTCTTCTCGAAGCTGAAGAGAGGGGAACGCAGGAACCTGACAAGTTGGAAGAAGGGCAAGAATTTCTTACCAGCCAGGCTTCTGGCCTCTCTCTCTCTGTGCAAACTGGTTAAGAGATGGTAAAAATCATTGTGTATCTTCTCTGCAAGGTTTTGATGAATTAAAAAAAAAAAAGATTTTAGGGATCTCTTATTCCAAACAATTGGTGGGAAGATCAAATTAAAAGGTCACATAATAGTGTCATGCTAGCTTAAAAAGTCTTGAGTAAATTAAAGAGCAAATGTCTGACCTACAACAGTTACACTCAAACTATTCACTTTGGAGTCCATGCAAGAGTAACATTGGAGGCTCATCTGTTTTATAGTCTGGTAGTTAAAATGTCTGCCACAACTTGAGTTTACTTCCTGATGTTTAAAATGATTTCTAAAAAGAGCTCTATAATAAAAGTCAGTTTAATTCAAAAGCAGATATCTAAGATGTATACATGTACATATGTATGTATTTGAAGGCCTTTCTGCTTTTTCCCTTTAGATGCTGTTTTAAATTTTTTAATGAAATAAAACTTGTTTAAAAAATGTGTTTGATACCTCCCTTCACTTTCTTTCTTAAAAATTATTCTATTTACTTTTTCTATACCCTGAAGTCCACAATTTAAGAAATAAGCTAAGTTAAACAGCCAAAATACAACATTTGAAAAGAAATCTTGAGCTGTAAAGGCATCTCCCTCTCTGTACCTAAACCTCCATAAATCTGTGGGATATGGAAGACATTAGCTTAAAGTTTTCATATCAAGTCTTGTCTGTTTTTAGATCTAATTTCTGTGCATTTGATACATGTTTTACCATGTTTACCTGAGTCATGCCTTTAGAAGATTTAGAGTTGCCTAGTTAGCAATTGTTCAGGGCATGGGACAGGTAATCAAGATATTAAAAGTCTAAAGTGGGGAAGAAAAACTAATTGAAAACTAGCAAATGAAAAATCTGGCCCGGCGCAGTGGCTCATGCCTGTAATCCCAGCACTTTGGGAGGCTGAGGAGGGCTGATCACCTGAGATCAGGAGATTGAGACCAGCCTGGCCAACATGGCAAAATCCCGTGTCTACTAAAAATACACACACAAAAAATATTAGCTGGGTGTGGTGGAGGGCGCCTGTAATTGGGAGGCTGAAGTACTCGAGCAAGAATCACTTGAACCCAGGAGGCAGAGTTTGCAGTGAGCTGAGATCCTGCCACTGCCCTCCAGCCTGGGGTGACAGAGCGGGACTCCATCTCAAAACAAAACCAAACCAAACAAAACAAAAACAAAAATTAAAAAAACAAAACAAACAAAAAAACCCAAAAAAAAACAAAAAACAAGAAAGGAAAGAAAAATCTTGTAAGTCTGAAAGAGTTGCTTCTATGTGTTATGTCTATGTGTTTATGCGTATCATATATATGTAATATTTTACTACCAAAACATTTGAAAGAGATCTAACTGCCTTTAAAAATATTTAAGTCCAATATTTTATCAAAAAAATAAAAACCTTAACTCAAATGCCTTTTAAAATTTATCTTTGGTAAATAAAGTTTTAACGTTGCTGGTAAAATAAAATAAAAATGCCTTCAGGATTTAATTTAGATATTAGGTCTGAACTGATCAAGCAGGTCAGATACTGTCTGCTAGATGTTTTATCACAAGCTGCTTCTATGATTTTTTAATAATAATTTGATTTGTCTGTGACCTTACATCATGGAGCCATTAGATTCTAGGCTCTAAACAAATGGCCATGGTAAGGCCTGGGGACATTTGGCTTTCTCTCTGGCCCAGCTGTGTCTATTGGCTATGCTGGGAAGGCTCTGGCATTATTTCTACTGTTCTGTCCTTTGTTCTAGGTTCCACATCTGATACATAATTAAAATTGCTTATCTCCTATGCTTTTTGCCAAGAGTTACTAAGAGCTAACATTGTAATATATGTAATTAAAACTACTGGATATAAGAGAAACATGTCTATATGCAAAATGTGTAAGGAAAGAAAAATATGTTATAAAAAGACATGGGAATGTGGTTTTTGTTAAAGGTAAAGTAATTTTACCTAGTGTAGAGGTTTTGAGAATTGTTTTAAATTAAAGGAAGAAATTGAATAAAATGGAATGGATATAAAATGTCAGAAAAGAAAATAAATGCTTGTGGTAAGGTAAAATGATGGGGCAAAACTGAAAGTTTAAGCATGTTTTAGAAGTTTTGTGGAAGATTCATCTTGTGAAAGAAATTTTGAGTGTGCTCAAGTTGGCTAAAAGTTAAAGGGGATTATTTAGTTTTTCTATAAATTAAATATTAATATTAGGTTGGTGCAAAAGTAATGGCAAAAACTCCATATGGATGCAGGGTCAGAGTCTGGGCCCCTGTGTTGGAATAAAAAGGATTTCTTGGAGCTTTAATCTATTCTTTAATAGAAAGTTATAAAAGATTATAAAAGGTTTATGAAAATATTGCCTTGTCATTAAACTAAGATTGGATGGATTTGTTTATAAGGCTTCATTAAAATTAGCTCTAGCATTAATAATATGCTAATACAGACATAGAATTTGGTTTTCTTTTTGAACTAGATTTCCCTGTAGCATTAATAAGTTATAATAAATGATTTTTTTCTACTTTTGGAGTAAATTGCCAAAAAAAAAAAAGGAAGAAGATGAAAGAGGGGAGACAGAGAGAGAGACAGATTCAGTTGGCCAGATGCTGTCTTTATTAGCTCTTATAATCCTTTGAGAGACTGAGTCTCCTCTCTATCAAAAAGCAAAGGTTTTCATTTCTGGAAATTTTTGAGTTGTCACTTTGGCTAAAGGAATACTGACTTTACAGTGACCTGTGATCCTATTTTGTGATACCAAGTGTTTTAAAGCTTTGATGTTTGACAAATTTTCCAAAATCAAAATTTCAAGTAATCAGTTCTGGTTTTATGACCTTAAACTAACCTTTTCGATAGTAGGATCCCTGAAGTCCAAGAGGACATATTCAGTTTATTTGGTATCTTAAAATCATATGAGAGGCATTGTCAAATATGCAATGGTGTTTAACTTTCTTTGGGTTACATTTACATAAATATGTTATTAATATATGTTCTAAAATTGTGATTTTCCTTTAATTCTGTTATATTTCAGTATATGATATCAGCAATAATCATTATTATGATAAAACGTTGTGTATTACAGAAATAACCACATTTCCTTGCAAATTGTGTATTCAGTCATGATTACTGGAAGACTTTTGTCATCTACAATTATTGTTTTACTTTAATTCTCCCAAAAAAAGCAGTTTATAATCAGCTAGTCAAAATTTGCTTCTTTAAAATAATCATGGAAAAAACTGACAAATACTCTTAAATACAGGTTTCTGATAACTATGAAGATTATACCATTGGACTAGAAAAAAAAGCCAAAACTTCTGGACTCTCATTAAAGAGCTGATGTGTTCATGATGATTGCTGACTTGATATCAAGCAAAACAAGAGTTAATTGTATGGACTGAACTAAAACAGGACAGAAATAATTTTTATGACTTTTTGTTTAAAACATTGCTGATTCATTGTTTTATTTTCTAGAGTCAAGGAAACTTTCTTTTGAGCTATTTACAGGTTTTAACAATTAAGAAACTTTTGAGCAAAACTTGATATATGTCTTTCTCTCCTACCTTATTTCTTCAGAACTTGGAAACTATTTGAGAGTATTCTTAATTTATGACAAAATGATTATTGCATAAGTTCAGTAAGAATCTGTTCCTTTTGTAACGATAAAATTAGAGCCATTGTTTGTTTGTTTATTTGATTTTTTTTTTTTGCCAAGCTTCTGGCTGGAATGGCATATTATCAGATATGATCAGACTGCTTTGAGGAATGGAGGTTGACTTTATAGAGTCCATAGAAGCCCCTTGGAATGACCAGCCTGGCATGTTGTCTATGTGATTCCTTTCCAAAGATTCTGATCTGTGCTAAGTAAAGAGTGTCACTTTCTGACAGCCCCAGGAACTAATTAATACAGGTATCCGCAGGCAATGATAAATCCTTGGCTTGGCTAACATGGTGAGGATTTTAATTAGTCTAACTCGAGATTCCTCATGAAAAAGTTTCAGCAAAGCTAACTTAAAAGAGCCTATATAGCCAACCACTATTCTTGCTGTACTTTATGCAAATAATCAGGCCAAATAGAGTAAGACTAAAATATTTTGCAAATAAATTGGTCCTATTATGATTTGTCATTGGCAGAAATGGGGGACTGAAGAGAAAAAATTATATTTCAAAATAAACTATAGTACACCTGTTATTAGATTATAGCCTTGTCCATTATTTTTGAGATTTTATTTTTTTGTCTACCCTTTACTTAGCCCGATCCTGAATTCTTTCCTGGCTACAAATCTCTGAACTAACATTTTCAGATTTGTTCTCCCATTTTCCTGACTTGATATCACTGGAGATAGAGACTGTACTTTCTTAATACACTGCAAACTGAATCTAGGCAATAAACTTCAGGAGAAATAACAGCAACTTTTAAACAACCTTCATGCCTGTCTGCTGATGTATGAACTTTTCAGAAAGTCACTTAAACACCTGGTTCAAACTACAGTCCAGAAAAATCTGTCAGATTGCCACCACAATCTGAAGGTGCCACAAATGTTTTAGAAAAAAATAGTTTATAGACGGACTGTTCCAGAACTAACCTCTTTTTTCTGTTTCTATAGAAATACCTCTCATTAAAGATCTGTTTTTCTGCATCTTATAGAGAGGCCTGGCTCATCTGCAGTGTTATCTTCTGGAATGGGACATACATGTTTAACTGAACTTACGTGCCTGCAGAACTTAGAAACTAGCTAAAGAAGACACAGAATGATATATTTAAATTTGCTCCTTTTAGTTTATCTCAATTTGTCTTTTCACTATTTTTTCACCCTAGCTAACAACCTCTAACCAAAATATCTCCCTACAATGCCAACAATATCTACAGCTGAAATATCACATAAGTGGATTCTGGGAAGTCTGTAAAAAGAAAGATCTATGGCTCACTTTATTTTGTCTGTGCTTCCCATGAATGAGTCCATCAATAAATGCATGCATACAGGCATCACCTCTGCACTCTCTGGATATATGTTTATGATACAGGATAAGTCCTTATTCTGCTAGGATGGCTCCACAAGTGTCTTTAGCCTGCATATCAAGGGCTCCCGCTTACTCCCTTCTCAGTCCATCCTCATGATGAACGTTTCTGCCTATTTCTCCATAGACTAAAAAGAAGACTCTCTGGTAGATATCAAGATACCTGGGGGAAGAACATTCTGGGCATTATAGTTTCTGGTCTTCATGAACAGGGATATGATCTAAAACTTACAGACAACCATAGGAATAATTGCAGAAGAAGTTTGAGAGTATTAAGGTTCAGCACAAAGGTTTAAATTCCCTTGCCCAAATAATCCTTGACAACCAGGCTGCACTTGATTTTTGTCTTGGCCAGACAGGGAGGAGTCTGTGCAGTGATCAGTACCACCTGTTGTACTTATAGCAACGCTTCAGGTGAAGTAGGAACCTGGCTAAAAAGATCTTTTAGCATGCCAAGGGACTACATGTCTCTACCACAGACCCTATGTCTGAATGGTTTTCGCAGTTTTGCTCATGGATATCTCAAAGTTTTCTGTCCATTTTACAAGGGCTCTTAAAGTTCACACTTGCAATTTTGTTAATGTGGCTTATGACTTGCCTTATAGTTCACTGGTCAATTAAATGTTACACAAAATTGATGGACAGAGATACTAACGTGTTCATGCTGCACTCTGACTGGGCACTCATGAATACTTTCAGGTTGCTGAAGGACAGTTTCATTCCTCTTATTCTGACTGACCTCCTAACTATATCCCTTGGCAGCAGGAAAAAGTGAGTGACGTTCATCTGATTCCCACCATATTAGCTCTCTCACCTCAGGAATGAAGAATGGACCGAGCACAGGGGAGACTGAAACTGTCACCAAGCAAACTTTATAAAATCGATTAAGGGAAAAAATACAATTCAATTAGGCTTACAACATGATCAGCAGTAATTGCAAAGCTACCTTGCTCTTTGGTCCATTTCTTTGCAGCTGGTCATTGCTTAATACTCTAGGATAACATTGTCCTTGTCACAAAACTATTTGTTCTAAGAATAAAATGTAAGAGTGTCTCTATTAAGTTCCGCATGCTGACAAAACTACCAATGCCAGCAGGTGAGAAGGGCCCAGTGAGAAGCTGACTCATGAAAAAATGCTGTTTCCACATCATGAATATTTTATCCACTTCCCCCAAACAATTGGTGACCCTAATTTTTCAGCCTCTCACCCTTTACAAATCTACTTAAACGCCCTTGTCCAGAACCCCTCATGTAAACAGATTTGAGGCTTCAGAATTCCTCCAAAATTTCTTCATTCTGTGGTCTCCCAATTATTAAACTTCTTATGCTATAAACTCCACTGCCAGTGTATTAGTTTGTTGCTGTACAGGGGGCTTATGAACCTGGAAGTCCTGTAATGAAAGTGGGCATCCAAACACAGATTTTATGGATAATAAATAAGGAGTTTCAGAAGAATAGAGAATAATTTATTAATCCCACTGATGAAAACACTACCAGAAATTCCTCTGTGAGGAACCAGATATGGAGAACAGAACTTATATCATATCATTTGCACAACATTTAGTATGCATGTGGATGTGAAATTCTTATTTCAGGGTATGGTTCTAAAGGTCTGCAACAACTATTCTTGATCTGATCACTTCCTAAAATTAAAATTGAATTATACTTTAAGGTTTAACTACAATTCTTTGATAGAGTGCATATTTCATACATGTTTTTGAAAACTGAAATAAATTAAATACACAAAATCTCTTCCCATAGCTTACACTAAGAATAATACAATAATTTAAAGATAATAAACTTAATGTAGAGGTAATATTGACTTCCCTTTTTGTTATTAATAATAGCAATTTTTGCATTTAATAACAGCAAGATTTCAGGTCTGATTTTTTTATCAGTAGACTATGGGAAACTACTGGCTGTTTGTATTTATATGTGTTCAAGTGTTCATTTTAGAGGGTGGAAAAAGAGAATGAGGCTTGCCCACTACTTTGTATTGTATGAATCCAGGTAACTGGATTAAGCTATCTCACAAAATAGAATCCTATTTAATCAATAAATTTGTAGGCTGAGTGCGATGGCTCACGCCTGTAATCCCTACACTTTGGGAGGCCAAGATTGGTGGATCACCTGAGATCAGGAGTTTGAGACCAGCCTGGCCAATATGGTGAAAACCCATCTCTAATAAAAATACAAAAATTAGCCGGGCATGGTGGCAGGTGTCTGTAACCCCAGCTACTTGGGAGGCTGAGGCACGAGAATTGCTTGAACCAGGGAGGTGGAGGTTCCAGTGAGCCAAGATTGTGCTACTGCACTCCAGCCTGGGCGACAGAGCAAGACTCCCTCTATAAATAAATAAATAAATAAATAAATAAATAAATAAATAAATAAAGTTGTGGATTAATATATATTGCTATTTGTATTATTATGAAAATACATTTGCAATATACTGCTAAAGGTAAAAAAACTTAATTACAAGAGTAAAGTATAATTTGCCTCTGTTAAGCATATATTTATATGTGTTTGCGTATGCATATATATTCCATATACTTAGTGTACTAAATGCATACATTAAGGCAATAATTGTATTGTAAACATATTAAAAGTGAATCAAGTATAATTTTTGCATATTTGACTTTCAAAATTATCAAAACACATTTTTTGTATGAACAAATTTTATAATAAGTTATACGAGGCTGCCAAAGAAACATACAATCAAAATTTATATATGCATTTTTTTGTTTGTTTTTGTTTTTGAGATAGAGTCTTACTCTGTTGTCCAGACTGGAGTGCACTGGCATGATCACGACTCACTGCAGCCTCAGCCTCCTGGGCTCAGGTGATTCTCCCACCTCAGGCTCCTGAGTAGCTGGGACTATAGGCATGCAACACCACACCTAGCTATGTTTTTGCATTTTTTGTGGAGATGGGGTTTCACCATGTGGCCAGGGTTGTCTTGAACTCCTGAGTTCAACTGATCCTCACACGTTGGTCTCTCAAAACCCAAGGATTACAGGCATGAGCCACTGCAGCCAGCTGATATATGCATATTTTCATACCAACATCTTATTCCTAAATAACTTGAAAGCTCTATTAGAACAAATTATTAAAGATTATTCAATGGTTAGCTTACCCATGTCTCTGCTACATGATAGCATTAAGCTTCCAAAAATTGATTTTTTTTCTGTGTACTTAACATTGCATACATTTGAGAATAAGCAATAACATAACTTGTTTGTTCAAGTAAGTCAAATATTACAAGCATTTAATATATATTATTATAAATGGTGCTTTTAAGTTACAAGTTAGAGTAAGTTTTTGTTCAATTGTATATCTGATATATGTGTTTAAATGTCCAGAATTATTAATAAAAACTTAAAGCATATTTAATACACTGTCATATATCATTTGAAAACATAAAATAAAAAGTCTGAATGAATACATTCATGAAAACATGAACTAAAAATGTTCAATGTAAATATATACATTATATATACATAAATTGAATATATATATGCACATATTGAATATAGACATACATTGAATATATCATTATATGTATATATGTGCATATACATCTACATAGCTATATATGTATGTGATTTCTGTGCACAAATGAATTTGAAAAAAGTAAACATAGATGCCATTATTACAAAATCATGTTGAAAATTCAAAAGACATTTTGTAAAGACACCAAACCTATGACTCACTGGCATCCCTGAAAGAGAACATGCACCTTGGGAAATATAT
This sequence comes from Homo sapiens, assembly GCF_000001405.40. Lineage (NCBI taxonomy): Eukaryota > Metazoa > Chordata > Mammalia > Primates > Hominidae > Homo > Homo sapiens. The sequence goes on along the minus strand of NC_000014.9, from coordinate 42,238,671 downwards.
TTAAGGATATTCTCCACAAAAAAATCTCCAACCTCTCTAGAGATGTTGACATTCAAATTTAGGAAATTCAGAGAACTCCTGCAAGGAACTATACAAGGTGACCATCCCCAACATAATGTCATCAGATTAACCAGAGGCAATAAAAAAGAAAAAAATATTAAAATCAGCTAGTGAAGGAGCAGGTCACTTAAAAAGGGAACCCCATAAGCTAATAGTGACCTTTCAGCAGAACACCTACAAGTCAGAGAGATTGGGGGCCTATTTACAGTATCATTAAAAGAAGAAATTCTAACAGTAATTTTATATCCAGCCAAACTAAGCTTCATAAGTGAAGGATATCTAAAACCTTTCTCAGAAAAGCAAATGCTAAGAGAATTCATTACCACCAGACCTGCTCTACCAAAGATTCTGAAGGGAGAGCTCAGTGTAGAAATGAAAGACTATTACTGGCCACCACTGAAACACACTTAAGTCCATACACCATTGACACTATAAAGCAACTACACAATGAAGTCTACATAACAAACAGCTGACAACACAATGGTAGGGTCAAATCTGCACATATCAATATTACCCTTGAATGTAAATGAGCTAATCTCCCCACTTAAAAGACACAAATTGGCAAGCTGGATAAAGAAGCTAGACCCAACTATATGCTGTCTTCAACACATCCATCTGACACACAATTATAGCTAGAAGCTGAAAGTAAGTAAAGAGATGAAGAAAGATTTACCAAGCAAATGGAAAACAAAGAAAGAGCAGTTTCTTTCACACAAAACAGACTTTAAACCAACAATGACCAAAAAAAGCAAAGAAGGATAAAGGGTTCAAATAAACAAGAAGACTTAACTATCTAAATATATGCATGCAACATTGGGACACCTAGATTCACAAAGTTCTTAGAGAATTGTGAAGATAACCACACTACACTAGGGAGAGATGTCAGCAATCCACTGAAAGTATTAGACAGATCATTGAGGCAGAAAACTGACATCTAACAGACATTTACAGAACACTCAATCCAGTAAGAGTAGAATATACATTTTTCTCAACTTCAGATGGCACATACTCTAAAACTGACCACAGACAAGGCCATAAAGCAACTCTAAACAAATTCAAACAAAAACAAAATCATACCAATCACACTCTTGGACTATAGTGCAATAAAAACAGAAATGAATACCCAGAAGCTCTCTCAAAAATCATACAACTACATGGAAATTGAACAACATGCTCCTGAATGGTCTTCTGGTAAACAATGAAATTAAGGCAAAAATCAAGAAATTATTTGAAACTAAAGAAAACTAAAATACAACATACCAGAATCTCCAGTATACAATTAAAGCAGTGTTAAGGGAAATGTTTATAGGGTCAAATGCCCACATCAAAAAGGTAGAAAGATCTCAAATTAACAATCTAACATTACATGTTAGAGGAACTAGAAACACAAGTACATGCCATCCTCAAAGGTGGCAGGAAAAAAAGAAATAACCAAAGTCCAAGCTGAAATGAACAAAATGGAGATGTAGAAAACTGAACAAAATGGAGATGTAGAAAACCATACAGAAGATCAACAAAACCAAATGTTCATTTTATGAAAGAATAAATAAGATTGATGGACCATTAGCTAAACTAATGAAAAAAGAGAGAAGATCCTAATAAACAATCAGAAAGAACAAATTGGACCTTACCGCTGACCCCACAGAAATACAAAAAATACTATTACAAATACTTCCATACACACAATCTAGAAAACCTAGAAGAAATAGATAAATGTCTGGAAACATACAACCTCCCAAGATTGGACCAGGAAGAAATTAAAAGCCTAAACAAACCAGTAACAAGTTTCCAATGTGCATCAGTAATAAAAACCTATGAATGAGAAAAAAGCCACAGACAATATGGATTCACAGCTAAATTATACCAGACATATAAAGAAGAGCTGATGCCAATCACACTAAAATTATTCCAAAAAATTTAGGAGTAGAGGCTCCTCACTAACACATTCTATCAGGCCAGCATCATTCTGATATCGAAACCTGGCAGAGATAAAATGAGAAAAAGAAAACTTAGCCAATATCCCTGATGAATGTAACTGCAAAAATCCTCAACAAAACACTAGAAAACTGTATTCAGCAGCACATCAAAAAGTTAATTTGCCATGATCTAGTAGGATTTATTACTAGGATGCAAGATTGGTTCAACATACGCAGATCAATAAATGTGCTTCATGACATAAACAGAGTTAAAAACAAATACCATGTAATTATCTCAATAGACATAGAAAAGGCCTTTGATAAAACTCAACATTATTACTGAATCATTCACTATATTAAAGAAATATTACATTATTACATTGATCTTTCTCTTTTGATAGCCTTGCTAACCTTTCAAATTCAGTCTCTTCAGAATAATGGTCTAAACCCTCTGCTATGGGCTGAGTTGTGTTCCCCCTCAAATTTATTGAAGTTCTAACTCCCAGTATCTTACAATGTGACTGTATTTGAAGAAAGGGCCTTTAAATAAGTAATTAAGAATGCAGGGATGGGGTCACTTGATGAGACCAGATCGGTTGGGGAGACCCTAACCCAGCGGGGCTAGAGGAATTAAAGACACAGAAATATAGAGGTGTGGAGTGGGAAATCATGGGTCTCACAGCCTTCAGAGCTGAGAGCCTCGAACAGAGATTTACCCACATATTTATTTACAGCAAGCCAGTGATATGTATTGTTTCTATAGATTATAGATTAGAAGTATTCCTTATGGGAAACAAAGGGATGGGCTGAAATAAAGGGATGGGTCTGGCTAGGTAACTGCAGCAGGAGCATGTCCTTAAGGCGCAGATTGCTCATGCTATTGTTTGTGGTTTAAGAACGCCTTTAAGCGGTTTTCCGCCCTGGGTAGGCCAGGTGTTCCTTGCCCTCATTCTGGTAAACCCACAACCTTCCAGCGTGGGCATCATGGCCATCATGAACATGTCACAGTGCTGCAGAGATTTAGCTTATGGCCAGTTTCAGGGCCCGTTTATGGCCAGATTTTGGGGGGCCTGTTCCCAATAGTCACTAACTACACAGTGGGTCTAGAAGGCAGGGCTCAGAGGTACAGAGCATTGAGTGAGAGAGGATTCTTTTTGCAACTTAAAATCTAATGGAGTTATCCCTGCTAGTTTCAGACTTGTCTGGGACTAATGATCTCTTCGTTTTTTATAATTTCTCCCTTTTGGAATAAGAATGTCTATCCTATGTCTGTTGTACCACCATATTTTGGAAACAGATAACTTGTCATATTCCACAAGTTCACAGCTGTAGAGAATTTTGCCTCTAGAAATATCATACTTCTAGTCTTACCCATAGCTAACGTAAAAATTGTTTATTATTTATTCTGAGGTGGAGTCTCACTCTGTTGCCCAGGCTGGAGTGCAGTGGCACAATCTCAGCTCACTGCAACCTCCGCCTCCCAGGTTCAAGTGATTCTCCTGCCTCAGCCTCCCGAGTAGCTGGGACTACAGCCATCCATCACCACGCCCAGCTAATTTTTGTATTTATAGTAGAGACAGGGTTTCACCATGTTGGCCAGGATGGTCTCAATCTCCTGACCTCGTGATCTGCCCACCTTGGCCTCCCAAAGTGCTGGGATTACAAGCATGAGCCACTGCGTACAGCTAAAAATTGTACACTTAAATGAGATTTTGGACATAGGGTAAAGCTGGAATGGGTTGAGGCTTTGGGGACTATTGGGATTGGGTGAATATATTTTGTATGCAAGAAGGACATGAAGCTTGGGATGGGGGGCAGACAGAGGATGGAATGTAACAGGCTAAATTATTTTCTACCAAAATTTACATGTTGGGATCCTAGTCCCTAGTATCTTAGAATGTGACCGTATGTGGAGACAGGGTCTTTAAATAAGTAATTAAGTTAAAATAAGAAAATTAGAGCAGACCCTCCCTATTCCAATATGATACATGCTGTTATAAGAAAAGAAAGTGTGGGGGTGGGGAAGAGAATTAGGAAAAATAGCTAATGCATGCTGGGCTTAATAACTAGGTGAAGGGTTGATAGGTGCAGCAAACCATCATGGCATATGTTTACCTACATAACAAAACTGAACATCCTGTTCAGCACGTACCCTGGAACTTAAAATAAAAATAAAATTTTTAAAAAAATTATTATCCAAATGTTAAAAAAAAGAGAAAGTTAAGACATGGAAGATACACAGAGGAAAGCCATGTGAAGACAAAGAGAAGATGGCCATGCGAAGACACAGAGAGAAGATGATCATCTACAAGCCAGGGAGAGATCTCAGAATGATCAATCAACCCTGTTGATACCTTGACCTTGGACTTCTAGCTTCCAGAACTGGAGGAAATATGTTTCTACTATTTAATCCATCCACTTTATGGTACTTTGTTATGACAACCCAAGGACACTAATACAATTTTTTTTCTCCATCAGCTTTCTCTCTCTTTCCATTATATTTAAGAGCGACTTAATTAGGTTTCTGTCCTCATTATAAGACTAAGGCTGTTCTTTTAATGCTGTCAATAAATTCCCCATCGTGAAATTCAATGTTTATTTCTCTCATTACAAATTTTACAAATCTTAATCAGTATGTAAAACTTTTTTTAATTTAAAAGTTTAAAATTTTGTGGGTTCATACAAGGTATATGTAGTTATGGGGTACATGAGATGTTTTGATGCAGACATGCAATGCATAATGATCAAATCATGGAAGACAGAGTATCCACCCCTTCAAGCATTTAGACTTATGTTACAAACAATCCAGTTGTACTCTTCTAGCTATGTTTAAATGTAAAATTAAAATATTATTTACTGTGGTCACTCTGTCTTGCTACCAAATACTAGGCTTCATTCATTCATTCAAACTATAAAAATAGATAATTTTTTTCTAGATTGTGTGCATGGAAGTACCCATTAATCATCCCCACCTACCTCCAGTAGTCACTAATTGACACAGATGATCATTACCACCTCCTTGATAAACTTTTTGACCTAGCTTCTAGGACTTTACACTCTCTTACATCTCTTCTATTCTACTGGATGATTTTTTATTTTTTTTTTCAGTCAGAATTTTCTGATTCTTTCTCTTCACCTACATTTTTTAAGGTGAAAGTATATTAATCCTTGGTCCTCTTCTTTACATAAACATGCAAATAACTTCACATTTTATTTCTACCTCTAGGACAGAATCTACAAAAACAAAAAAACAAAAAACAAAAACCCTGCCTCTTATATTTTCACTTGTCTGTTTAATAGACATCTCAACATGTACAAAGCACTGAACTCCTCATATTACCCCCAAACCTGCTTACCCAGAGTGTTACACACTGAATTACAGGGTTTTTCATATATTTATTATATTAGTCTGTGTTCTTCAGAGAAACAGAATCAATAGGAAAAATAAAAATGTATATTGTTATTAATATAATATTTTTATATTACATAAAATAAAATACATATATGTGAGAGAAAGATATATTTATTATTAGGAACTGGTTTGGTTATGGAAGCTGAGATGTTCCAAGATCTGTACTCAGCAAGGTAGAAACCCAGGAGAGCCTATAGTAAAGTTCTGTTCCAAGATCAAAGGCCTGAGAACCAGGAGAGGCAATTGTATAGATTCTAGTCCAAGTCTTGGTCCAAAGACAGGTGAAGATTAATGTCCCAGATCAAAAAGAGTCAGCCAGAGAGAGTGAATTCTCCTCTATACCCTGTTGTGTTATTACGTTTTCCGTGGCTTGGATGAGTTCTAACTATAATGGGAAGGACAATCCACTTTTCTCCGTCTACTGATTTAAATGTTACTGTCATCCAGAAACACTATCCCAGAGTAATGTCTAACCAAATATCTGGGCACTTCATGGCCTGGTAAAACTGACACATAAATTTAACCCACATATTTACCATTTCATACCTTCCAGTTGCTCATGCGTAGTGTACTGTATAATCTTTAGATTTTCTGTTTATCTCACACCCAGCATACTACTAGAAAAAATTAGCCACTTATGTAGCTACAGTGAACACAGTCCACAAGACCGCCCTCACTATTGACACCAACTTTAAGTTCAGGAGGTACACAAAACCCCATATAGCCATATCTTCACACATCTGTTGCTACAACACTGGCTGAAATAAACCACTGTTTCATGCTTAGACTATTGCAATAGCATAAAAGTCTTCTTGCTTTTTCTGCTCTTGGAACTTCATTGCACTTTGTATCAACGCAACACTCACAGAGTCTTTGTGTATGTGTAAATTAAATATTTTTACTTTTCTGCTGGAAACCTTATCAAGGCTTTGTATTTTACTCAAAAGACATTTTTTTCTCAGTAGCTTACACAACCCTATATAAACTGGCAACCTGTTACCTCTCTGACATTCTTCTCCTACTAGTGTTGCCTTTATTGACTCTTCCCCAGTCACTGCCAGCCCCCTTGCTCTTCCTTGAACATGTCAGCTGAGCTGTCACTTAGGTACACTGCACCACTATCTCTCAGGCTAGGATGATCTACACCAGGATATTCTTCAAGGCTAAGTCCTTCATCTGTTTTATATCTTTGCTCAAGTGTCATCTTCTAAATAAGGTATAAACTAACCACTCCACATAAAATGGCAATATTTCCCCCTTGGAACCCCCTAATCTCCTTACTCTGCTGTACATTATTTTTCTATGGTATAATTATATTCATATGTTTATCATAAGATTTTATTGATTTAAGATTTTAAATTTGTATCTTATTTATGATAACATTTTGTATCGAATCATATATTTTTTAATTTATTATGTTTATTCTTTGCCCTAGAGATTTTTGTGTGCTTCAATCACACTTGTATCTCAAGGACTGAAAGCCATATTAGATGCATGAGGTCGAATTTCAATGATTATTTAATGCAACTAAATATTAAATTAATAAACAATCTCTTTCTTGGTAACATTGTAAACAAAACAAGGAATAATCATTTGTAACTTACGTAGTAGCTGTATGTCTAGAAAAATCAGTATGCATTAGAACCATGCAAAAATATTTTGTGTTCAAATCTAGACTCAGGTCACTGTAATCAGTATTTCTACCTAGAGGATTGTTGGAATCTTTAAAAGTCCTGTGAGCTAATTAAAATATATTTAATCTTTATCCACTAATCTTGTAAATCCCTACAATGTGCAATAGAAAGAAGGATAATCTTCATTAATATTTCATTAAAACTTACAAACAGGAAGCTGATGTATAAAATCAAAGGTCTATTTTCTACCACCATTTCTTTATGTGCTTTACCACAATATGTAAACCCCACATAATACCATTCTTAACAGTGAGCATTTGTCATGCCCATTACTATCTATTCAGGGTTGAAAGTGGAAGAGAAAAGGTGGAGATAAGGATATAAAGGCAAATAAGCAAACTCTAGTCTTTCTTGTGAATGGGCTTAAATCTAGCACATAAGATTAATCGTGTATAACACTATAATAAATGGCAAAATCCAATAAATATAGTTATACAGAGAACAAAGAAAAATATAACTGCCATGGCTATGGAATGTAGAGTAGGATTTATATGAGAGATGGGAAAAAGTGGAGATTGTGTAAAGAATTTTTGAAACTAAATCTTTAGATAAAATAACAACAATCTGCTTCCGTACCATTTACCTCCCCCATCAATAGACCCACGGTAATTTGATCTCATTTATCAATACATCATCATTGTTTCCTGAAATCAACTTCTAGAAACTCAAATGATGAAAACACCTAAATTGACATGTATTAACTGCTTAATACACTTGCTAGATATTTGACATTGAGTCTTATTCAATGGATGAATATAACTCTCAAAGAAAGACCTTAAAATAAAACTTTTCCTCTAGAAATATTTTTGATATGCTGCACTAGAATCATATTTTTCTTGTCTTCTGGGGATACTCCGTTTCCAATGAGGCTAACTGGATTTTAGAGAGCAGCAGGTTGCCCTCCATCTTGGGTGAAGTATGATGAGCATGTTATAGTGGGATACTATGTACCAGAAATAACTGAAAACCACACTGACAAGATGATCCTACAGAGGACAAAATATATTAATAATGATACTAAAACAACTGCAAATGCACTTTAAAATGAAACAGCATAACACTCTTGGACTAGCCGACAGGATAAAATAATAATTTAGTAAGCTATTTTTTACCTATTTTACCTCACCCCTAAAAACACATGAAGCTATGTTGAAAACTACATTACAAGTTATTGCCGCACTGACACTCAATAACTTGTAAAATGCCAGCAATGCACCTACTATAAACACATTGAAAAAGCATCGTAGTACATTATTGCCTCCAGGAGTGGAGACCATGTTTATGGAACTCGGAAGTTATGACCCCATCTGTTATGTATGTCCAACAGCTTATCCTCTTGTAAAAAAGGCTGCCATGCAACTCCACATATATCAAGTAGGGATAGTAGAACTTGGGATGGGGGATAAAATAACACTTGCTTCTTGGTTCATTTCTCTTACTTACTCACAAATGTGGTTAATATACCGCAGTTAAAATAATACCTCATGTGAAATATTAACCATTCTTCTTCCCCTTAAAAGGGCTCTCCTAAGCCATGTTCAAATGTAGTATTAAAAATTCACTACAATTTAAAGCAACAGCAAATGAATCACATGAAAAAAGAGGAAAAATTTCCTTTTATGAATTTAAAATTTTGTTCTAATTTCTGCTTCCTAGCTTTTCTATGATAGAAACAACTCTGCTGTACATGAATTACAACCTGTTCTTTAATTTAAGGTTTTACTATTCAAATCTATTCACAGACAGGCTAGCGTAGCTTGGGGTGTAATGAGAATACAGAATGTCGGGGAGAAGAGCCAAGATGGCTGACTAGAAGCAACTAGTGCACATCGCTCTCATGGAGAGGAGACTGAGGGGCAAGTAAATACTAGCTCAAGTGAACCATTCAAGAAGCAAGAGTGACCCACTGAGAGTAGAGTAGAGATGGCGGGGGCAGGATCGCTGCCCATGGGAGATTGACATAGAGCAAGGGGTGGTTCCCTACCATGGGGAAAGAGTGAGTGAACGAGAGCCCCTGGGACCCACACTTCTGCCATGGACCTTAGCAACCAGATCCCTCTGACACCCCTACTGCCATCACCCCACCATCCCACCCCACCCTCCAGACTGATGTGGAGAACAGCCTGGAGAGTCCAGGCAGAACCGTTGCTCAAGCCCATGTGGAGCCCCACGGGCCTTGGATCCCTGAGCACCCCAGCTCCAGCTGCCATAGCTCTACCAACAAGCGAGGCCAGTCTCTCTCACATGCCCCTAGGATAAGGGCCACATGCATGGTGCTGAGGAGCTGACAGGCTGGAGGCCCCACTTCCCCTGCTCCTTACAGGCAAGGCCCACTGGCTTGGGCCCCCAGAACAGCCACCCACCCCTGTCTAAGCACTCTGGTGGTCATGCCCTGTATTTCTCTGGGACAGACCTCCCACAGGTAACTCACAGGCTTCCTATGACTGCTGCTGCTGTGGTGTCCACCCCTGCTGCCCTCACCCAGGCTAGGTAACAAAGAGTCAGAGAACCGTCACGGGCCTCCAAAACCCTGCAGCTATAGTATGAAAAGGTGGGCAGACTGTTTTCCACATGGATCCCTTCCCCTGCTGTGCCTCACAGGGCAGGGCCTCCCAGCTGGGGTCTCCAGTGCGGTCGACCCACCCCCACCTGATCACTTCAATTGGTGACAGCTCTGCGTTTCTCTGGGGTGGAGCTCCCAGAGACAATCTACAGGCCCTCTGCCATTGTCACCTCTGTGGTATCCACCCTTGCTCACCCCAGGCTAGGCAGGGAACAAAGAGACTGATTGCTTTCATCCACCTGCAACACACTGAAACTGTCCTACAGAGAGAAGGCCAGTCTTCCTCTCCAGCCCTCACCTCGCCTGCTTTTAACCAGACAGGGTATCCTGGTTTGGGCTCACAGCGCAGCTGCCTTAACCGTGGCTTATCACTCTGACCAGCCACGGCTCTGCATTTCTCTGGAGAAGAGTTTCCAAGAAACAACCAAGAGGCCCTCTGTCATTGCCACTAGGAAGGGGCAAAGAACCAGACTGCTTTGCTCATACCTCCAGCACACTTCAGCCACCTTGACCAGATAGATTCAAAGTTGAATTCTACCAGAATCTAATCTAATAGCACATCAAAAAGCTTATCCAACACCATCAAGCAGGCTTTATTTCTGGAATGAGAGGCTAGTTCGACATGCGCACACCAACAAATGTGACTCACCATATAAACAGAATCAAAACCAAAAACTGTATGATCATCTAAATAGACATAGAAAAAGTCTTCTATAAAATCCAATATACCTTCATGGTTTTTTTTTAAAACAAACAAACAAAAAAACAACAAAAACAAAAACAAAAAACACAAAGAACCCCAACAACCCTCAATAGGCACTGAGGGAAAATACTTGAAAATAATAAGAACAATCTTAGACAAACCAATAGCTAATGTCACACTTCATGGGCAAAAGCTAAAACCATTGCCCTTGAGAACTAGAACAAAACAAGGATGCTCACTCTCACCATTCCTATTCAACATAGTACCAGAAGTCCCAGCCAGAGCAATCAATCAAGAGAAATAAATAAAAATCATACAAATAGGAAAATAAGAAGTCAAACCATCTCTCTTCACTGATGAGTCTGTACCTAGAAAACTCTATAAAGACTCCACCAAAAGGCTACTGGAACCAAAAAATGAATTCAGGAAAGTTTCAGGATACAAAATCAACATACAAAAATCAGTAGCATTTTTATACACCAACAATGTCGAGGCTGAAAGTTAAATAAAAAACACAATCTCATTACAATCACCACAAACAAATTTAACATTATTCCTTCAAATTACCAAAATCATTCTTCACAGAATTAGAAAAAGCTACTCTAAAATTCATAGGGGACCAAAAATGAGGTCAAATAGCCCAAGCAACTGTAAACAAGAAGAACAAAGCCAGAGGCATCAAACTACCCAATTTCAAACTATATGTTCAAACTAATATAGCTTTAATATAAGGCTGTATTAACCAAAACAGCATGGTACTGGTATAAAAACAGACACACAGACCAGCAAAACAGAATAAAAATCTCAAAAATAAAGCCACACATTTAAAACCATCTGATCAACTACAAGGCTGAGAAAAACAAGCAACGGGGAAAGGACTCTCTTTCCCAGGGGTGTTGGGATAATGGCCTAGCCATATGCAGAAGAATGAAACTGGACCCCTACCATTCACCATATGCAAAAATCCTACCTAGGAAATACCATTCTGGACATTAACCTTGGGAAAGAATTTTTGGCTAAGTCCCCAGAAACAATTGCAACAAAATCAAAAATTGACAATTGAAACCTAACTAAAGGGCTTCTGCACAGCAAAAGAAACTGAGAGTGAACAGACAACTTACAGAATAGGACAAAATACTCACCACATATGCATCTGACAAAGATCTAATAGGCAGAATCTGTAAGCAACTTAAGTGAACAAGCAAAAAACAAATAACCTCACTTAAAAAATGGGCAAAGGACATGAACAGACACTTCTTAAAAGAAGACCTACAAGTGGTCAACAAACATGAAAAAAATGCTCATCATCAATAATCAGCAGAGAAATGCAAATCAAAAGCACAATGAGATACTATCTCACACCAGTCAAAATGGCTATTATTAAAAAGTTAAAAAACAACAAATGCTGGTGAGGCTGCAGAGGAAAAGGAAAACTTACACATGGTTTGTGGGAGTATAAATTAGTTTAGCCACTGTGGAAAGCAGTTAGGAGGTTTCTCAAAAAAATTAAAACAGAGCCACCAATTTGACCCAAAGGAACATAGATCATTATACCCAAAAGGCACATGAACTCATATGCTTCTTACTGTGCTATTCACAATAGCAAAGACATGGAATCAACCTAGATGCCTAGTAATGGTCTGTTGGATAAAGAAAATGTGATATTTATACACAATGGAATACTATTCAGTCATAAAAAAGAATGAAATCGTATCCTTTGCAGCAACATGGATGGAGCTGAAGGCCATAATTTTAAGTGAACACAGGAACATAAAACTAAATATTGCATGTTCTCACTTATAAGTGGGAGCTAAAGATTGAGCACATATGAACATAAACCTGGAAACAACAGACACTATGGACCACCAGTGGCAGGAGGGATGATGTGGGGCATGGGCTGAAAAGCTACCTATTGAGTACTATTCTTACTACCTGGGTGCAGTATACCTATGTAACAAACCTACACCTGTGGCCCTTATATCTAAAATAAAAGTTGAAATTCAAAACTAATAGTACATAATAAGTTTAGGGCTCAATGAAGTGGATTAGTTAACTCTAAAATTTGGGGGGAAGTTTTAATGTGCTATAATTTATTCTCTTTTATCTTATCATGAGATTCCCATGAAGCTACCTGGAAACCTTGTAGGAATTTTGGGATTACTCTATTTTCTCCAAAAGGATTCTAGTCTTCTCAATTAACTTCAGCTCCATATTGACTCTCAGTGCCATAGTTTTAGCTGAGATCATGTGCCCAAAACCACACTGCCAGGTTAGTCTGCTTTATAGTAGTTTCCTGCCATAGCAATCTGCACCATGCTCATTTTTACTGTAGCAACCTACGGAATGCTAAACAAAGTTGCTACTAGAAAACAAAACAAAACCAAACAAAACAACAAGAAGAAAATTTATATGAAATGCATTTTGTTTTGCTCCTTCTGCCCATAATTTATCCTTTAAGAATTGAAACCTATGTGTGCTTGATTAAAAGAATGGATCTGAGATTAATGTCATACCTCGTGAACCCCCTTTCCATAATCATAGCTTATTGTCTCAAATGTGACCATCTGGCCCATGGAAAATTATTTAATTGCCAGTCAACAAACAATATAGTTACTTCATTTGGGATGTTGAACTGGATAGCACAAGCATACTGATTTAGTAAATTGTAAATAAGTTCTGATTAGTGACAAAATACCACAGTGAAGGTCTAAGAATTTCTTAGGCTGAACCCCTCACAGTTGCCCTGGATCATACATTTCCTGAGGCTTGCTGTGTGTGTTTCTTTACAATATATTTTTTTTCTTCTTTGAGCCATTTGTCACCAGTGTGCTAAAATCAAATGCATTATAATAAAAACAGTGAATTCTTGGCATAGCTTTACCTGTAAAATTAGACAGCTCTAGTTTATTATTTTTATAAGATACCCAGGTGATCCATATGCAGATTAAAGTTTGGGGACCACTGCTCTAAAGTCAGGTAAAATAAAAGAATTAACATGAAGTAGTTGCAATTAACCTAAAGTGGGGTAGTACAGTCTGACAAATTTTTATTTGTCAATTATCCCTTCATAAAGCTATGGAAAAAACGAACTTGTTATTTATGTCCTAATGTAGAAAGATGTTCATGATATATGAAGTGAATAAAAAGAAACTGTGCAAATTATACATACACGCATAGTATAAATCTATTGTTATAAAATATATATGCTACATATATTATATGACAGACATGTGACACACGTACACTTCCACAAATATACACAAAAAAGGATAAAAACAGAAACCATATTTAAAAAATCAGTGGTGCAATGAGATACATGAAATGAGAACTTTCACTTTATAAAATTTCTTAGCAATACTATTATAAGTAGTATCTACTTTGTGGAGTTCTAAGAAGTTTACATATTTTCTAAAAACGCTTTTTTTTCCCCCAAACACCACTACCTCTATTGTTATGTAGCCAATTTTACTATATGCCTCCCATCATTTTAGCAGACCTTTTCTGCTTTTCTGTTAGGAGCCATATTAAACGGCAAAAAAAAAGGCAGAAAGCGAAATGAATTACCTCTTGATAATAAGTCTGACAAATTTGGCAGGAAAAAATATTCTAACAGATAAACAAAGTTGTAGAACTATCTATATACATAAATAGCACATGAATATATAAAATAGATTTATTTTCCCTTAACTAAAATAAAAACCATGGACTTTTGTAAAGTATCAGTTTATCAGGAATTTGCCAATAGGAGACACTTTTCTTCATGGATCAGTCATATTTAGAAGAAAATCTATGTCCCCTTCCTTGGAATTGCACTGCTCTCCTTGTTGCTCTGGCACCCCCTGGTGGACTGAAATCACACAGATTAGGGAGAATGGAGGAGTAACCCACCAGGAATCTGTTGTCTGGAAGATAAATGTGTTGCATTTTTCAAGTAACTTCTCTGATTTGAGCACTTTGAGATGAAAGTACATTTTGGTTACATTGATTTAGTACTATGGCCTTCTGATAAAGGCACTGTTGGGCCCTCTGTGGTGCAAGCTTCTCTGTGCTTCCTCTGGGTTTTTAATATTTAGTAAAGCAGCTGTGCACAGTCAAGTTCAATATCCAGAGATGTAACAGATAAGGTCACAGAGAAAATATGAAATACCAGACTCTTAGGAGTAGACACATAGGTGTATGTGTTTGTGTGAATTTTTCCTTCCTATTTGAAATTTTGCCCTGTGTGTTTTTGGATAATCATACTGTCCCCAGAAAAGGCTCTTAAAGACAGAATTGTTGAATTGCTACTAGCAAAGGCTTTGGAGTTAGACAAATCTGGACTTGTGTTTATCCTCAAACAGTTTTTACATATATCTTGAAATTCCTATCTATGAGGTACACACCATTGAATCAACATATTTGAGCAAGTTACGATGATTAAAATGATGCATGTAGAACAGTGCTTAGTAAAAATTACATACTTAATAAATTAGTGATACACACAGGTTTTCTCTAAAATGCAAATAAAATACTTTTTGAGTTTTTTTCTTTAGTTTTAGTACTGGAAAACTGAAGATTTTTTTTTCTATTTTCTGGAAGTCAAACTGTACTTATAGTAAAACATATAGATAGATCTTTCTGAAAAATATATAATGATGATCTAGCAGGGTTTCAGTTTCCCTAAATTATTGATGTCCTGAAAAATACTATGTATTCTGAGAATAGAGATAATCTCCTTGATCATCTCTCCAAAGGGAACCCCCAAGAACTGCAGTTTTTCCTAATCTGTTTCTGGGCTGTGGGTGTTTGAAGTAATTTTTTCGTATCTCTTGAGGCATGTTTCATGTCTGTGTTTCTAGGTTGTCATTCAAGCAGGTCAGGGAAGAGAACAACAGCTCCTCTCCCAAGAGTCAGGCATGTGGTTTGGCATTGCACGGCTATAGTAATTGGAGTCACAAAAGTACTGAGTCAGCCCAACTGGCAGAGAGGGAGTTTCAGAGCACCGCTCTCTGAGAACTAAGAGGGATAGCCATCTGCTGTGATTATACTGACATCTGCAACCTATTCACTGAAGAAGAACACCTGAAAAGTCGATCCTAAGTGGGCCAGCTGCATCAGGTTTTCTCTGCAGACTTTTCTGAGAGGATTGGTGATTATTCAAGTGCAGTTTTTACTTCCTCTCAGAAGTCAAGGCTTTTTTTCTATTCAAGCACTTCTGTGTACACTGATACTTTGGGGATTTTCTCTAAAACTAAATTGGGGGTTTTTGAACTGAAACCAGCTCTCTGAACTGAAAGTACTGTTTTATAGAAAGATCTGAAAGCTTTCTTCTTTCTCAGTATTTAACCATTCAGAGGTGAGCATTATGTTCACAGAATTATATCTAAAAGTACTAGAAGAGCATCATTAAAGCAACTACAGATGGTACCTACTGCATGTGCCTGTCATTTTGTACACGGATGTGCCAAACCCCTCGGTACCTCAGGAGCTATTACACACACACACACACACACACACACACACACACACGCAATATGTGGAGGGCCAATTCTTTATACATATTTTCTGTCTACCTGTGGGTAAAGTGCTTGTAGAAGACACTCAATACTTCTCAATACTTATTTCTTTAGTTATATTACTTATGTATTTTACAAAAACGTATCTGTATAGCTTATTATAAGCAAGATATTCTTTGAATTGTTTTACTAATATTAACTCTCATATTTTCTAGAAGTCCTACTATAACAGTCATTTATTACTGCTATGACAAATTATTACACACTTGGTGGCTTAACACAGATTTACTGTCCTATACTTCCAGAGGCCAGGATTCCAAAATGGCTCTCACTGAGATAAAATCAAAGTGTCAGCATGGCTGTGTTTTTTCTGCAAGGAAGAAAGGAGCATCAATTTCCTTGCCTTTTCCAGCTTCCAGAAGCCACCCACATTTTTGGCTCAGGCTCAATTTCTCCATCTTCAAAGTCATCCATAGCCGGTCACGTATTTATCATGCTATATCACTCTGGTTATCTGCCTCCATTACATCTTCTGCTCTGACTCTCCTTCCTCTCTATTTCTCTTTTAAGGATTACCTCCCTTTCTAATGATGCTTAGTCACATCTGCAAAATCCCTTCTGCCATGTGAAGTAGCACACAGGTTCTGATGATTAGGACATGAGCATCTTTAGGGAGTCATTATTCTAGCTGCCACAACTGCTGTAATTATTCTTATTTTATACATGAGAAAATTGAGACTCAGAGAAATTAAGGAATTTATCCAAGATCACAGTTACTAGGAGCACAGTTTGGATTTAAACACTATCAGTTTAGCTTTGGCATCTGGTTTTTTTAACAACTGCACGGTTTAATGTTTGTGGATTGAAAGAGAAAGAAGGAAAAAGTGAAGGAAGAAAGGAGCCAGACACATGATATTTTCAATCTATTCATTCATATACAATAAAGCCAGCTAGCATTTAACAAATTAAACTCTTACTTTCAGTAGCATAGTGATTACATAAAGATACCATAATAACAACAAAACACAATAGAAATATCTTAAAGACAAAAGAAATGATGTCCCAAATTAATGAATATGGGCCACTGATATTCATGACGTTTGCTGCACCAACTGCCTGAGAAGGGCTGAAAGATACTAAGACACAAAGAAAGAATCACAGTAAAAGAGATGGTGGAGGATGTGCAAAAACAATGCAGAGAATTGTGATAACAAGAAGAATGTGAGGTGTCTCTGAAGGGGCGATACAGATGTGAAATTGAGAAGAAACCACAAAATTAGAAGAGTATTTTAATTAGCTATCCAAAAATGTATATAAAACAGGTATCTTTAACTTTATTGTAGGTTCAGAGGCACATGTGCAAATTAGTTATATAGGTAAATCGTGTGTCACAGGGGTTTGGTGTACAGGTCATACAGGTTTGTCATGCAGGTAATAAGCACGGAACCCAATAGGTAGTTTTATGATCTTCACCCTTTCCACCCAACTCCACCCTTGAGTTGACCACATGCTCTATCGTTCCTTTCTTTGTGTTCATGTGTACTCTATGTTTAGCTCCCAATTATAAGAACACTTGATATTTGGTTTTCTGATTTTGCATTCATTCACTCAGCATAATGGCCTCCAGCTCCATCCATGTTGCTGTAAAAGATATGATCTCATTCTTTTTTATGGCTGCATAGTATTTCATGGTGTATCTGTACTACATTTTCTTTATCCACTCTACCATTGATGGGGATTTAGGTTGATTCCATGTCTGCTATTGTGAATAGTGCTGCGATCAACATAAACATGCATGTGTCTTTATGGTAGAATAATGTATATTCCTTTTGGTATATACACAGTAATGGGATTACTGGATCAAATGGTGGCTCAGTTTTAAGTTCTTTGAGAAATCGCTGAACTGCTTTCCACAATGGCTGAGATCATTTATGTTCCCACCAGCAGTGTATAAGAAAGTGTTCCCTTTTCTTTGCAACCTGGCTTCACCAGCATCTGTTATTTTTTGACTCTAAAAAACCCATCATGACTATTCTGAGATGGTATCACATGTGGTTTTGATTTTTATTTCTCTAATGATTAGTGATGTTGAGCATTTTTGCATATGCTTGTAGAATTGATATCTTCCAGCAGTTTCCATGGCCAAAATAGACAAGACAACCAAATTCTTTAATGTTTAAGGCTTTTCAATGTTTATGTCAGGGCATGTTGGAACTCCAAGTTGAACTCTAGTATGAGATCCTTGTCTAATTTGTAGATAAAATACTGAACTGAAAGCAGAGAGCGAGTGCATAGCAGAATACGCTCAGTAACATTAATTAATAACTGAAATTAACCTCGCAAAAGTCAGGATACAAATTCAGTATCTCCAGTTAAATAAAAGTAAAGCCATGACAAATATACCCAAACAAGAAAGCATTCCAGGCACCATTAAGTGATGTTGTTTGTCACATTCTCCAATTCTTTCCCCTTTACAGAAAAACAAAATTGTGTAATTACTTTCCCAAAAACATTTCATTTAACAAATATCAGACACTCTTCCACCTGATAAGTATTGTGTAAGTATGCACAGATAAAGAAAGCCATGTTCGCAGCTCACACACATGTATTTAAGATGTGAGAGGAGTATTTTAAATAATACAAACATTTATGAATAGCATTGACTCATTATGTTTCTGAAGCAAAAAGCAGCAACTATCAATTATTTTACTGGTCAATAAAACAACCTATTAGCAAATACTAATATTTTGAGGTATTTTTATAGATGTTTTCCTTATGAATACATCCAAAGATAAGAAAAAATATTGACTCATATTTTAGAAACTTCGATTTTTTAAGTTTTATTTTAAACATTTTATTTTGAACAAAACGCCTGTGGGCATTTCTCCATATCATTAAATGTCCTCTTGTCGAAGGGCTACATGCTATTCCACTGTATATGCACACCATAACGCATTCAGCTAAGCCAATTTTGTTTGCAATTTAGTGAAAAATTTAGTATTGGAACTGAAAATTTCTCTAAAATCTTTGCTCCACAACCCCCATGCAGTGACACAGTTCCATGATGTTTATCACTTCTTTCTGCCAAACTGTGTAGCTTTTATAGTGGCATTTGCAGTATCCTGGAATTCCATTGCAATGGATAATTTCTTTTTATTAGCATACTATTTCTGAGTCCTGTATTTAGAGTTTCATTTTAACACATAAGGCCTAGAAAAATAAGCAATAATGATCACTTTACAAAAGGTTTCTAAAGCATTATTTTTTAATTATTTCTCCTCATTGTATTTGCTTGGTTTCACTAAGATTACCATCTCTACTACATATTCCAGCATCCTCCCATTCACTACCACCACTGCTTCCTTAAACTCAAACTAGTGAAAAATATCATAAGAAATGTGTTGTGTAATCAACAAAACAGGTAATTCCTATGGAAAAAAATTTGGAACACTAAATTGTAGAATTTAAGCAGTACTGAGATGAAATAACAATTTTTCAAAACCAATTAACACAATAAACAGTCCTAAGTATTCAAACGTAAGGTTGGTTTCAACAATTGAAACTTTTCAAAATGTACATACTTAAAAAAAAATTAAAATGTACATACTATGATTAAAATCAGTTTATTTGTACAGATCACATGTAATCACATAAAAGATTTAAAAATACATAGTTTTAAAATCTCTTAAGGAAAAATAAAAGTATTTCAGTTATCAAAGATGATATTTCAAATATCAAAGTATTTTATAGTAAGGTACCTCAAAGTAAAATTAAGGTACATTACAATACCAGGGAACTACAATTTTTAAAATACTGATTAAATTACTGATAAAATTGGCAGAGGATATTTCACAGTTAAAGAGTGACAATGAAGGGTATAGGCTATGATTTTTAGCTACTTCTGTTAGTTCTTTATATAAAGACAATTTAAGAGTAGATTCATAATGTAAATTTTATTTTTATGTAAATGAATAAAAGAGATGTTTCCCAGGAGTCTCTGACCACTAATAAACTTATACCTCACAAAAGGCCAAAGCAGAATTTGTGTTTTGCTGTCATCAGGGCATTTGTTTGTTTGTTTTGTTTATTCACTTTTTAAATTACTGAGATTTTTGAAAAAAAAAAAACAAAACAAAACTGCTTTTCCTCTGATAGGGATTGCCTACACCTTTAGTAAGCCATTTTCTGGTCTCAAGGATAGTCCCATTTCACTTAAGCCAGAGATCCATGCCCAAATAGCTCAGCCACTATGTTGTTGTTTTAAAACAATAGGTCTGGACTTCTTAGGTAGAGGACATTATTTACCTTTATTTTATTCACTGGAAGACATGCATCATTTATATATGGATGAGAATGAAAGAGCAGGTGTGTACCTGCTGCAGCAGTGGGTTACTATCAACTTTAAAATCAGGACCTGGGTGTACAAAATGCAGAGTACTAGAGCTCCTTATATGCCTTTTAAAGCTAAATTAAACACAATCCCTACTGTAGATAAATATTCAATAATATTTTTTAATATGATAAGCACAAGAAAATATATATTTTGAATGTTATGAGTTTCTTTTTTTCAAGTATCAGGCAGGCAAGGAATGAGAACGTGGTTTGGATAATGAAGTAATTCCAAGGGTCTACCTAATATTACCACCAAAAGAGCCACCATTCCCACTTTCACTAATATTCATGCTATTTTAAACAACTTCCAATTTTGGAGTGTCTCTAATGGGATAGAGAATGTGATAAGTGTTTAATACACGTTGTCTCTATTGTACTTTTCAGTGTCACTGAGAATTGCAAATATGTACAAAATGAAGGGGTATGGAGGTGGTTCACTCACACTTTTTTGTCCCCAGGGTCTCTGTCACTTCACTAGGCTACACTGTCCATCCATTTATACAAATCACATATAGTGTTTTTTTTTAATGCAATGTGTCTGCCCCTTATAAAAGTAAATCATCTAGGCTTAGGAAGCTGGCTTAATACCCATGTCAGGGCCTTAGCCCCCACCCTACACCTCCCTCTATGCATCAGTTACACATAGTGATCAAAGTCTGAACTTGAATACTACTCTGCAAAGCCTCCCCTGTAGCTTACATCCAACTTTATGCATGCTTTTATTACACAACTTTGCATCGTAATCACTTATATTCCTCTCATTAGGCTAGAGTGCAAGGTACCTAAAGATGTAATCCATGCTTTTCATCCTTGTGCTCCCAGTTCTTAATACATTGACCAGGAACAAATAGGCATTAAATAGATAATTGTTGAACAAATTACTGTGTCTCCTTAAGGAAGAAGATTTCCTGTGAAGAGACAGGGGCTGCCCCCTGGCAAGTCTGGTCTAGAAAGGACGGCTGACATTGCAGAGTTGTGAAATAGTTGCTTGGGGTTATCTCTTAATTCTGTGCAATTGTTTCAGCATTTCATGCTCAATCAATATTCTCTTATACATACATTACTTCATTCAATCTAGCCATATCACAGTTTACTTTCTCTGATAAAATTCTCTTTTAAAATACCACATTAATAATTTAGTGAGGATTATAGAGATGAGGATTTGATCCTTGGAGGTCAGTGTCTATGATGGTCAAAATTAGTTGATCAGAGTTCAGGAGAAGAAGGATGAAATTGAATTGTCTAAAGATTTTATTTTATTTATCTATCTATTTATTTATTTATTTATTTATTTTTGAGACGGAGTCTTGCTCTGTTGCCCAGGCTGGAGCACAGTGGCATCATCTTGGCTCACTGCAACCTCTGCCACCCAGGTTCAAGTGATTCTCCTGTCTTAGCCTCCTGGGTAGCTGGGACCACAGGCGCCCACCACCATGCTCGGCTAATTTTTGTATTTTTAGTAGAGAAGGTGTTTCACCACATTGGCCAGGCTGGTCGTGAACTCCTGACCTTGTGATCTGCCCACCTCAGCCTCCCAGAGTAGTGGGATTACAGACATGAGCTACCGCGCCCTGTCTAAAGATTTTATGGCTTATTCAAGCACAGTTCTGAACTTTGTGTGAGTGTGTTTGTGTGTGTGAGAAAGAGAAGAAAAGAGAGAGCGGTATACAGCAGAAGTAAAGCAGGATCAGACTTTGGAAGGTAATTTTAACACATATGGTTGTATGAATGAGGTAGAAGAATTTTCCATAATCTTAAAAATTGAAAAGTCTTATAATGGCAGTAGGACACCGAAAAGGTAAAGTCCCCAGTAAATGATAGTATGTAGAAAAGATCTGTAATCCAATGATAAAGTTAAGGTTAAGCAAAACTAAGTTATTAGCAGATATAAATGAAGGTAGAAGTGTTTTCAACTATATTTATCAGAATGAAACAGAGACCTCATCATTCCCCATATGATGAAATACATTGAGAATATTATATTTCACAAATGAGATATAATATTTGATAGCACAGGAAGGTGACTATTGTCAAGAATAATCTATTGTATATTTAAAAATAATTATAAGAGTGGAATTGGAATGTATTTAACAAAAAGAAATCATACATGCTTGAGGTGATGGGTACTCCAATTACCCTAATGTTATTATTATACATTATATGTATGTATCAAAAGATCACATGTACCCCATGAGTCTATACACCTGGTATGTACCCATAATAATAAAAAAAAATAAAATGTTAAAAATAACATTATATAGGCCGGATGCAGTGGCTCACACCTGTAATCCCAGCACTTTGGGAGGCCGAGGTGGGCGGATCACGAGGTCAGCAGATTGAGACCATCCTGGCTAACACAGTGAAACCCCGTCTCTACTAAAAATACAAAAAAAAAAAAATTAGCTGGGCGCTGTGGAGGGCGCCTGTAGTCCCAGCTTCTCAGGAGGTTGAGACAGGAGAATGGCATGAACCCGTGGGGTGGAGTTTGCAGTGAGCCGAGATCGTCCCACTGCACTC
The DNA here is from genome assembly GCF_000001405.40 of Homo sapiens. Lineage (NCBI taxonomy): Eukaryota > Metazoa > Chordata > Mammalia > Primates > Hominidae > Homo > Homo sapiens. The sequence goes on along the minus strand of NC_000014.9, from coordinate 42,215,919 downwards.
CAGCCTGGGCGACAGAGCAAGACTCTGTCTCAAAAAAATAAAAAAATAAAAAAAATAAATAACATTTCTGAGTTTTTTCCTATTTTTAATTCTATGACACCTATATACTAATAGTATATGTAGCTATTCTCAACTGAAAAGAATATAGCAGTAAATTTTAAATTTTATTAAGTAGTGTTCTCAGGATTTTAGAAGCTATCTAGCTAGACAACTTAAGTCAGTTAGGTTGTATAACATTTTGTCACCAAAGACTTCTACTCATAGCTCTACTTTTATCTGTTTTATTAAGCTTCTTTGTAAGCCTTTGAAGAAAATAAAGAACTCTTGCTAAAACAAAACAAACAAAATAGTATCTGAAAATTTATCCATCAATATACAAAGACAAAAACAGGAGGAAAAAAAGACAAACATTTGGGTGTTTAAAACAGAGACTAGGTTACTCAGATGATGGAAGAGCCTGAGGAAACAAACAGTTGTCAGGGAAACAACCCAAAAATAGCAACTGCAGTAGGCCACTACTTCCATGCCCAGGCAAGAGGAACAAAAAGAAAACATGAGCTAAAAAAGAACTTAGGACTTGGGGTCACTTGACCTTTCTATTTCAGAGCTCCACCTTCTTTTCTGTAAAGCACATTTTCCAGCTGACCTCTTAAAAAGGACTTTTTTTTTGGCTGTGTAAAAGGTTTTTGAAAAGACTAATAGATTCAACTAGGTTTCCCTACTTGCCCTGGAAATTATCACTGTGGCAAGGGGTAGGGCATCCTGACAACTAAGGCTTAGGTCATGTGCCATGTGGTTAGTCACAGGACCAGGAGTGTGTTATTTCAATGACAGGGATATGGAATCAGCTTTAACAAAACCACAAGGTCCAAGATTATCATGGGATAAGAATGGTGAGAGGAGGTAGGTGTTTTCCAAAAGAAAGAATGCTTCAGGACAAAACAACACAGTTATTACCATTAGAAATATTCATGCTCATTGCACAAAACTTAGATTACTGAAGAGGTATATTCTATTCATAGCATACTAACTGTAACTCCACCCACTCAAAAAGCATATTGGAAAACAAACGAGTGAGGTACTAAATTAGAAATTTTCTTGAGTCCCTCACATTTGTACATATTTCAAAATTAAAACATTGTAAACTTTTGTTATTTAAATATTACCATTAAACTTTATGATCCTTTTATATGACACATACCTGTCTATTGGGACCACAATTTAAATTTGATGTTTTAAAAAGGGGTAGTATCAACTCCACGTCTTTTTTCAGAAACATCACCATTATCCAATGCTTTAATTGCACAGCAATTAAAGTGTCCAGAACTTATTTTTGGGTGGGGAAGGTGGAAGAATGAGGAGCAGCAGACTCCCCAACTAACTACTGGCTTCAGCAAGCAGCAGTGGCCACTGTTGTATCAGAAAAAGAAAAGGAAAAGGAAAAGCTGAGAATAGGGAGAGTCATTCCTAGTGTCAGCAATTATTTTGAATGGGTCACCTTGATGGATTTGGTATGGAAGAAGGAAAAGAAGCTTCTCCGGGTGCCTCGGTCAAAGCTAGGTTTTCACTTAAGTGGGCAGTTATATATTTATGTAAGATATTTACAATTCAAGTGGCACATACTGTTAAATATCAGTATTATTTTTACATCTGAAAAATATGCACCATATCTAGTCTTACAAAATTATGATTTTTTTAATATTTCCAAGTTTATATTATTCAACAGCAATAGAATTTAAAAAACTGCAAAGAAGCTTCAAAAAGTGATTAGGAATCAACATCATATTACAGGGAAAATGAGCATAAAATTCACTAACAGCTTTTCATCACCTATATCATGCATAAATACTACAATAATAATACACATGACAGAGAGTATCTGCTTAGTTATCACAGTATTGTGATCCTGAGAAGTTTTTCATTCTAAATTTCATTTCAGAGGAATATAAAAATAATACAGCAGTAAAATTAAATAGCAATGGAAAATAATGAGAGAAGGAAAAGGCATTAGTTATGTGAGTAGGAAAGCGTTAAGAATGCTTTAAAGTGAAATTACACTTACAATACATGGAAGGTCAATGAGGCACATACAGAAAAGTTGTAGTAAAGGTGTAGGTTTTAATATCATATGAATCTGTTCCTTTTGTAGGTAGAAGGTATGAGATCTATGACTCAAAAAGAGATAAAAGATGAAGTTACTATGTATGAAAAGCATATTTTGATTGTATTTACAGTGATTTCAAAAACTAAAGATATTTTTCAAAAATGAAATTGAATTCACCATTATTACTTATAGTGTATATTATTTTTAAATAGTCATTTCTCCATTTCTCTAAACCACTGCCTATAGGCGGCTTTTAACTTACAATTGTCTACAATTGTTATAGAAACACATATATAACTTAATAGCCATCAGCTTCGGCTTCCATAGTATATTTTTCTGACTCTGTTCATAAGCATTAAGAAATTTAATTCTTCTGAACGCTTATTTTAATTGATACTATTTGATGCACTTTGAGTTTTTTTAGAGAAATTGAATTTCATTCACACTTAGGAAAGCAGGCAGCTAACATCAAACTCAAAAGACATTGGTAACTGATAATTTATTACATACATTTCCTGATGTCTCTCTTTAGAATATAAAATGTATACATCATAATATTACATATTGAACCATGTTTGATTTTGTTCTCTGGACCCTTGATAATCAACAGACTCTAGAAATAGAGGTCTATAGGACAAAGCTCCAAATATAAAGCTATACTCTTCCTGTTTTCCGCCAAATGTAGTTGTAGTTTTAACTTTGTCATATATTAAAATCAACATTTATCCACAGCAGGAATCATTGACATGCTACAATTTTAATTTTTGATGATATAAGTTAAAAGTATTTGCCAGTTCCTCTGTCACATAAATGTTTACTTTCCAAGACAGGCAGAAATCATCCAAGGCTCTTCCTTGAGAAAAAAAGATTGTTCGAGTTGGGAAATAACCACGTTCTTATTTCTTGTTTTTGCTTTATATTTATTTTTGCACTACTGCTTTTACCAGTGAGAGTTCTAAACTTGATAAAATGTTAGACTTCAAATTTTACCTTTCTGAATAAAACTTTCCCCAGATCTTCACGAGCTGTGGAAATATTTGACTTTGTTTATACACAGAACTGGGGAGAAAAGCACTAACAATCTAGTTCCATAAATTATTTCCAAGAAAATGATTGCTTTTTGAAAAAAATAAATTAAAAATATCTTATTTTGTTCTGTAATTTTCTGCCACTGTAAGAATACAAAATGCAAATACAGATACAAAATAAGAAAATATAAAAAACACAAAAAGTACTTTTGGTGCATATTTACTGTAGAGAAAATGTTAATAGAACACAGAAAAATTCTGTAATATTTACCAGAAAAGCCAAACCCAAGAAGGTTATTACTAAATCTGATTTATGTTCCTCTACTGTAGCACTTATTATGGGAAGTTCAATATTGGTGAAAAACTTTCTGATGGTACACAGTCAATTTTCAAGTAATCTACTAAAAGTATTTCTTAAATAAAAGAGTGTGAGCTACTGAAGACAGAAATATGCTAGAAATGATTTTTAAGATTTCTAGTATATGTAGTTTATTATGTTGAAATAAAAATAATGGGATTATGCATTGTCCACTGGAGTTAAGCAACTTAGATACTAGTTACCCTCCCATATAAGCCTATCTATTTTTAATCACTAGGTACTAGTTACCCTCCCATATAAGCCTACCTATTTTTAATCACTGGGTATGTGATTCTTAGTTATCTATAAAGGTTAAAGAATGACATATTACCTAACTGAACTCAGAAGAATAGGACAGATAATTTCTGCAATTAATGATTCTACAAGTAGCATTCCTTCTAAGAATTATGTAGTATAATGATATAAATAATTTACAATGAACACATTCATTGCACATAGAGATATTTTCCACATTAGGTGAGTATTTTTGAAATATATACATATATGTTTATATATATATATATATGTGTGTGTGTGTGTGTGCATGTATTTTTTTTTTTTTTTTTGAGCACTTATTCTGTTCCCAGGCATGAGTGTTGGAAATATGATTGTAAGCAAAATAAAAAATGCACTTGCTCTCATGGACATAAATAGATGAGGAAGAAAATACAGATGCAAAATATATACATAAGTAATTAAGTATTATCTAAAGAAATTAATTCTGTTAATTGAGTGGAGATTGACTCCTTAAGTGGCCTTTCAGAAAAGAACTGAATGACATGAGGGCAAACCATACTTAGCACTAGGAAGAATGAAACAATTACTAATACATGTTCCATTGCCCTAAAGTTCTCACTGTCTCTGAGAAAAGACAGACATATGTCCAGTCATACAAGATAGATACAATAAGTGCCATTAAAGGTAAAAAAAAAAAAAAAAAGGCCTCAGAAGGAGACACAGGGTGAAATGATTTTCATCTTGTAAAAAGGAGAAGTTCTATGGAGAACATGACATTAGTGCAGTATACTGGAAAATATGTGGATGAACTCAGTAAGTGGATTTTACCAAAACCCTAAAATGCCATGTGAATAGAAATATGAATAAAACAAAATAAAATGTAGGATTTCATCAATAGCAGCAAGTCTGTACTATTGAATATTGATTTTATATTTCGGAAATGGCCAATATTAAACTAGAGCCAATTCTAGTTTGATGGAACTTCTTTGGTCAAAATAAAATGTGACAAAAAACAAGCGTTTCATGTAGTTTGCATATTTACAAAAGTATATTCTCTAGTCATGCACTTTTCCTTGCTGCTGTTTCCACTACCCAGAAAGAGTGACTATGCTGGAAAAATATATCACAAGTGAAGAAAACAGAAGTATAATTAAGAGGATATTTTTGTCACAAGACGTTTACAGAAATAACATCACTTTCAGTAAAGGATAGGTACCTGTAATTGCTTTGATAGCAAACATTAGGGTTAAGTGAATAATGCTCAAAATCATGTTTACTCACCTCTAATTTAAAATAAATAGAATATTATTCAACCATGAAAAAGAATGAAATCCTGTCATTTGCAACAACATAGATGGACTGTAGGGCATTATATTAAGCGTAACAAGCCAGTCACAGGAGAACAAATTTCACATATTCTCACTTATATGTGGAAGCTAATTGTTTTTAAATATGATCTTATGAAAATAAAGAATTAAATGATGGTTACCAGAGGCTGGAAAGGGTAGCAGAGAGTAGGGGATAAAATGGAAATGGATAATATACATACAGTTTGTACAAAGGTACATAATGTACAAACATACAGTTAGAATGAATAAGATCTTGTGCTCAGTAGCACAATTAGGTGACTACAGTTAACAATAATTCATTGTATATTTTAGAACAACTAAAAGGATGGAATTGGAATGTCCCTAACACATGGAAATAATAAATGCTCAAGGTGATGTATACCCCAATTACCCTGATTTGACATTACAGACCCTAAGCCTGTATCAAAGCATCACATGTATCCCATAAATATGTAAAACTATATGCATTCATAATAATTAATAAAATACAACTTAAAATTTTAAATGAATGTATGCATCTATTCTCTACTTTCTAAAGATCATGGTGTAAATATGTGACAGTCATTATAGAAATTTTTAGAAAAACTTTACCCAGAGTTTGGATTATAAAATTATCTGGGCCGGGCTCTGTGGCTCATGCCTATAATTCCAGCACTTTGGGAGGCTGAGGCAGGTGGATCATCAGGTCAGGAGACTGAGATCATCCTGGCCAACATGGTGAAACCCCGTCTCTACTGAAAATACAAAAATTAGCTGGGCATGGTGGTGCACGCCTACAGTCCCAGCTACTCAGGAGGCTGAGGCAGGAGAATCGCTTGAACCCAGGAGGCAGAGGTTGCATTGAACCAAGATCATGCCACTGCACTCCAGCCTGGTGACAGAGGGAGACTCCATCTCAAAAAAAAAAAAATATATGGATTCTCTAAGCCCGGTGTCTCTTTTATGAGACAGCCCAGTGCATATGCAGGCATTCATCTGGGCCTATTTGCATGGACCTATGGGACTTGGGGGCAAGGAGAACTGCTGCAAATAGGATGATGATCACGCTGCCCTCTGACCCAGGAATCCTGTATCTTCTGCCATTGTCTACGAAGCTGTGGCAAGCTAATTTGTTAGCTTGCAAGTAAGGTAAAATATTAAACCCTTCATATTTCCTTAACATGGAATTATGAAGATAGGTTAACTGGTTCATAAAAATTACCTGAGACAAAACTCTAGATCCACTGATCTGAAGTCTAAAGATAGAGTTTGGGAATCTGAAGTATTATGAAGCTCCCCAAGTGATTTGTATGGATAATATATTTTAGAATCACAATTTCAGCACAGTATTTACCCTACCAGCTATTTAAACTAATTACATTTATTTTTCTTTTCAAAGTGTTAAAAATCTGGGGACGCAGACTGCCCAGAGATTAGCACATTATACATAGCAGCATTGCAAACTCAGGTCTTCTTTGTCCAATTTTACAGAAAAATTTAATTTAAAAATTAAGTTAGACGTTTTTCTTAGCTAAAATAGAACTCCCCATAAGCTCCCTTGCTTCTAAAACACCAAATGTTTTCAACTGGGTTATGTGGAAAGAGCTCCTACATTGCTGTCAGAAAGGCTCACTTGCTAATTTTTAGATATAACAAACTGATTATTCTCATTTTCTTTGACCCAATGGCCAGATAACATGAATCTGATAGACTTAAAGCTTTTCTGATTTAATTTACTCTTCCTTTTTTCCTTACTTCTTGCTCTCACCATTACCTTCTTTCACATCCCCTTGCTTCTCTAGTCTAGTGTTAAATGATCCTTCCATTTTTCCATCTCCTCCTAGAGATTTTCTGCCTCATCACAATTCAGTACTTTTGTATGTTTATATTTATGCATTATATATATTTTGATCTTGTTTACAGAAACTGGGCAACACAAATGTATATAAGAAAATATATAACCTGTTCATCATAAGGGATGCAATTTGAGCAGGAATAGGAATTCCTCTTACCTACCAGAAACTTACCTGGAGAAGGTGCAACTGATGTTGTGGAGTCATGTGCAAAGCTCTTGTTCCCAAGGGAAGACTGGGAGATGGATGCTATTATCATAAGAAACCAATCGACTCAGTGCCCTAGATATTTAAATTTCTTATTCCAGCAACCTGCGCTGTCACTCCCAAAGCAGTTCTCCTATGTTTCTTTTTGGCTTCAGTGACTTTACAATAAATAGACTGTTAACAAAGAATACATTTACAGTCTACAGTAGATAAAAAGGGATCATTTAAACATGGTATGTTGGAGAACAGGCTGTATATAATATAGTGTGGTGAAGTACTACTGATGCCATCTCTCCGTGGTTCTTGCTAATTGAGTTGATAGTAAGGGTCACAGCTGTCAAGTTTTAATATCTGAGGAATTTAAAAACCATGGTGTGCGTTATGCAGTATAAAACTTTCATAAAAATCACTATAGATAAGTCAAAATGGAAAAACCCTGGAAAGGATATAAAATTATTTTAAGGCAAAATTGTTTCTGTGTAAGCTCAATTATGTACTTGTTCTGAAGTTCAAGGTCTGAGTTTTTCAAATTAATGCCTCATGCTGCTTATGAATAAGATTGAAAGGAAACATAGATTTTTTGCTATTGTCTTTCAAAACATTACTAGATCTTCTTTAATCACTTATAAGCCATTCAGTATTTATCATCTTGGCAGATGTGGAAAGCAACATCATGGTTTGAGTTTAAAATTAACTTGTTGGAAATAAACCGTCTTTAACCATCATGACATCCTATTTAGACAAGTGAAAGAATAAAGTGCACAGAGTTGTTGGTATGTAATCTGATTACATTTATAACTTTCTTACCTAATATGACTGAATAACAGAATGAAACAGACCATGTGATATTTTAAATTCAGCATGGACTTCTTCTGATAGATTAATCACATATTGTATTGTCAATCAGGAAAGTGAGAATAAAATAAAACAAAGTATTTACCTCAAAGCTTATAGTATGCTGCATTTTGCCTTATTGCTTTGTTGTTGACAGCATTTTATTTTTATGTAAATGAAACATCAGAAATAAAAATTTGGCCAGGTGCAGTGGCTCACACCTGTAATCCCAGAACAATGGGAGGCTGAGGCAGTAGGATAGCTTGAGTCCAGAAGTTTAAGACTAGCCTGGGCAGAAAATCTAGAAGAAATGGATAAATTCCTCGATGCATACACCCTTCCAAGACTAAACTAGGAAGAAGTTGAATCTCTGAATAGACCAATAACAGGTTCTGAAATTGAGGCAATAATTAATAGCTTACCAACCAAAAAAAGTCCAGGACCAGATGGATTCACAGCCGAATTCTACCAGAGGTACAAGGAAGAGCTGGTACCATTCCTTCTGAAACTATTCCAATCAATAGGAAAAGAGGGAATCCTCCCTAACTCATTTTATGAGGCCAGCATCATCCTGATACCAAAGCCTGGCAGAGATACAACAAAAAAAGAGAATTTTAGACCAATATCCCTGATGAACATCGATGCAAAAATCCTCAGTAAAACACTGGCAAACCAAATCCAGCAGCACATCAAAAAGCTTATCCACCATGATCAAGTGGGCTTCATCCCTGGGATGCAAGGCTGGTTCAACATACAAAAATCAATAAACGTAATCCAGCATATAAACAGAACCAAAGACAAAAACCACATGATTATCTCAATAGATGCAGAAAAGGCCTTTGACAAAATTCAACAACCTTCATGCTAAAAACTCTCAATAAATTAGGTATGGATGGGACGTGTCTCAAAATAATAAGAGCTATCTATGACAAACCCACAGCCAATATCATACTGAATGGACAAAAACTGGAAGTATTCCCTTTGAAAACTGGCACAAGACAGGGATGCCGTCTCTCACCACTCCTATTCAACATAGTGTTGGAAGTTCTGGCCAGGGCAATTAGGCAGGAGAAGGAAATAAAGGGTATTCAATTCAGAAAAGAGGAAGTCAAATTGTCCCTGTTTGCAGATGACGTGGTTGTATATTTAGAAAACCCCATTGTCTCAGCCCAAAATCTCCTTAAGCTGATAAGCAACTTCAGCAAAGTCTCAGGATACAAAATCAATGTGCAAAAATCACAAGCATTCTTATACACCAATAACAGACAGAGAGCCAAATCATGAGTGAACTCCCATTCACAATTGCTTCAAAGAGAATAAAATACCTAGGAATCCAACTTACAAGGGATATGAAGGACCTCTTCAAAGAGAACTACAAACCACTCCTCAATGAAATAAAAGAGGATACAAACAAATGGAAGAACATTCCATGCTCATGGGTAGGAAGAATCAATATCGTGAAAATGGCCATACTGCCCAAGGTAATTTATAGATTCAGTGCCATCCCCATCAAGCTACCAAAGACTTTCTTCACAGAATTGGAAAAAACTACTTTAAAGTTCATATGGAACCAAAAAAGAGCCCACATTGCCAAGTCAATCCTAAGCCAAAAGAACAAAGCTGGAGGTATCATGCCACCTGACTTCAAACTATACTACAAGGCTACACTAACCAAAACGGCATGGTACTGGTACCAAAACAGAGATATAGACCAATGGAACAGAGCAGAGACCTCAGAAATAATGCCACATATCTACAACTATCTGATCTTTGACAAACCTGAGAAAAACAAGCAATGGGGAAAGGATTTCCTATTTAATAAATGGTGCTGGGAAAACTGGCTAGCCATATGTAGAAAGCTGAAACTGGATCCCCTCCTTGCATCTTACACAAAAATCAATTCAAGATGGATTAAAGACTTAAATGTTAGACCTAAATCCATAAAAATCCTAGAAGAAAACCCAGGCAATACCATTCGAGACATAGGCACGGGCAAGGACTTCATATCTAAAACACCAAAAGCAATGGCAACAAAAGCCAAAATTGACAAATGGGATCTAATTAAACTAAAGAGCTTCTGCACAGCAAAAGAAACTACCATCAGAGTGAACAGGCAACCTACAGAATTGCAGAAAATTTTTGCAATCTACTCATCTGACAAAGGACTAATATCCAGAATCTACAAAGAACTCAAACAAATTTACAAGAAAAAAACAAACAACCCCATCAACAAGTGGTTGAAGGATATGAACAGACACTTCTCAAAAGAAGACATTTATGCAGCCAACAGACAAATGAAAAGATGCACATCGTCACTGTCCATCAGAAAAATGCAAATCAAAACCTCAATGAGATACCATCCCACACCAGTTGGAATGGCGATCATTAAAAAGTCAGGAAACAACAGGTGCTGGAGAGGATGTGGAGAAATAGGAACACTTTTACACTGTTGGTGGGACTGTAAACTAGTTCAACCATTGTGGAAGTCAGTGTGGCGATTCCTCAGGGATCTAGAACTAGAAATACCATTTGACCCAGCCATCCCATTACTGGGTATATACCCAAAGGATTATAAATCTTGCTGCTACAAAGACACATGCACACCTATGTTTACTGTGGCACGATTCACAATAGCAAAGACTTGAAACCAACCCAAATGTCCAAAAATGATAGACTGGATTAAGAAAATGTGGCACATATACACCATGGAATACTATGCAGCCATAAAAAATGATGAGTTCATGTCATTTGTAGGGACATGGATGAAGCTGGAAACCATCATTCTCAGCAAACTATCACAAGGACAAAAAACCAAACACCGCATGTTCTCACTCACAGGTGGGAATTGAAGAATGAGAACACATGGACACAGGAAGGGGAACATCACACACTGGGGCCTGTTGTGGGGTGGGGTGAGGGTGGAGGGATAGCATTAGGAGATACACCTAATGCTAAATGACAAGTTAATGGGTGCAGCACACCAACATGGCACATGTATACATATGTAACAAACCTACACGTTGTGCACATGTACCCTAAAACTTAAAAGTATAAAAAAAAAAAAAACCAGCCTGGGCAACATAGTGAGACCATATCTCAAACAAACAAACAAACAAAAAATGTAGCCAAGTATGGTGGTGCAAGCCTGTAGTCCCAGCTACTCAGAAGCTGAGGTGGGAGGATCACTGGAGCCAGGGAGGCTGAGGCTACACTGAGCCATGAGCATGCCATTATATGCCAGCCTGGGCAACAGAGGAAGATCCTGAAAAAAAAAAGAAAAGAAAAGAAAGCAAAGAAAAGAAAAGAAGGAAGGAGAAAGAAAGAGAGAAAGAAATCACCTCCATCACTGTGTAGCAGATACTTTTTCCATTTATTTCCTTTATACAATATTTAGTATTATATGTCTGTCATTTCTTCTAAAAAAATCAATCGTTACAATATTCTCCAATTTTAATTCAATAGCTCTCTCTAATGACTTAATTACTCACAATCTCACTATACTTTTATAAGATCCTGTAATTATAATAGAATGCATTTGAACTAGCATGTACTCATTACGGCATTGTTAAAACTTGGGTTTTAAACTATTGGCATTTAGATGATGAGTCAACTGACTTTCCCACTCAATATAACTTTTTGATTGTGTTAAAAAATCAATTTAGGTAATGTGTGATAATTATTTTTAGCAGATATCCATAAATAATACATACCAACTATTAATATACATTTACTCCATCTTATTCAATTTTATGAAGCTTGCTTAAATTTTGTGATACATAGTAGAGTAAGAGTTCAGAATATGTTCTGATGTCAGAGGTTGTTTCAAAAAGCCACTCTATGATATAAAGGTAGGGAAATCTCATACATGTCACTTAGGCTCTCTGAATTCCAACTGCCTTATCTGTGAAAGGGGGTGTAAGAAAAAAATGTGTTTACTTCAAAGGGCTGTTTTAAATATGATGCACATGACTGGAGGCAGTAGTCGGGGAAGAGTCTTCTATTACAGTGCCTGGCAATTGGTGATTGTGAAGTATCATTGTAACTAAAAAGCACGTTAGGCTGGGCGCGGTGGCTCATGCCTGTAATCCCAGCACTTTGGGAAGCCGAGGCAGGTGGATCAAGAGGTCAGGAGATCGAGACCATCCTGACTAATATCGTGAAACCCCGTCTCTACTAAAAATACAAAAAATTAGCCAGGCATGGTGGTGGGCGCCTGTAGTCCCAGCTACTCAGGAGGCTGAGGCAGGAGAATGGCGTGAACCTGGGAAGCAAAGGTCGCCCTGCACTCCAGCCTGGTGACAGAGTGAGACTCTGTCAAAAAAAAAAAAAAACAACAAAACACACACACACACACACACACACACACATTAGCTGCTCACTACAGGCAGAGTCCAATTAACAAGAGCAAGATCTGTTACAAAAAAAAAAAGTGAATGTATTCCAAAGCTAGTTTGGGGTAAGGGACACAAAGCATCTTGTCTTTAAATATGCCACTTCAATTTTGGAGCAGAAAATTGGCATTTTTCTATTAAGGTAGGGGAGGAAATGGCCAAAGACGGGGTGCCCCTGCTAGTTTGGTGCCTTATCTACTGGGTAGTTGAGTTGGTACCTTTCTGGGCAGAGGTAGGTTGTAAAAGTGGCCAAGTGGGCATGCTTTCCACATGTTCTTCTAAAGTGACCCTGTGGAGGTGAGTTCTCTGGGGGCACGTTTTGGTCTGCACATCAACTGTCAAGAGGTATCCTTCTCGGAACATATAGGTGAATTAGCCCTGTGGGAGGAAAGTCTGTTGAGGGAGAGGTGAAAGGTTATATTTGAATTTCTTTCTTTCTTTTTCCTTTTTTTTTTTGGGGGGGGGACAGAGTCTTGCTCTGTTACCCAGACTGGAGTGCAGTGGTGCCATCTTAGCTCACTGCAGTCTCCACCTCCCAGGTTCAAGCAATTTTCCCACCTCAGCCACCTGAGTAGCTGGGATTACAGGGTCACACAACCACACCTAGCTAATTTTTGCATTTTTAGTAGAGATGGGTTTCACTCTGTTGGCCAGGCAGGTCTTGAACTCCTGGCCTCAGGTGAACCACCCTCCTCCGCCTCCCAAGGTGCTAGGATTACAAGCATGAGCCACCTCACTCAGCCTTATATTTGCATTTCTAAAGGGCTAAGTAGGAAAGGTGGAGCAAGGGAGAAGGGGAAAGAAGAAAAGAAGAGAAAACAATAAAAAATAAACTATTTCAGAAAAATTGGGGTCCTCAGTTACATTATCAATTTATATTTTTCACTCCTTTTTAAAGTGTATATGTTTTGTGCCCAGTGATGTCTTTTAAATTTGTGTTTTTAAACTGTAACATATAATTTGGCATGCTGCAATTTTTGTATCTTTAATAATAAATTGAATAGAAGTTTCTTAATATGTCATTGAAATTGAGACAAGAAATAGTATCAACAGGTTTGTGAAAATGTTTTAAAAATAGAACTTAAATTTTACAAGATTATTATTTTGTAAATTGTGAGGACTGCTTTTTAAAATATGGCACTTTTTAAAGAGTAATAATACAACTCATCTTTGAAGTGAAAGATTTCTAGAATAACTGGAGAACCATCTTTGCTTCTAGCCAGAATTAGTGTTTCCCTCCTCTTTGCTCCCATTATTCATTCTGCACAGCTTTGCCACACAGTTACTGTTACTGGCAGTAAATCCACATGGGTCTGCAACAACTTCCATTCTTGCCTCTTCAGAAGAAAGAATTTGACCAGGGGGCGTAAAGCAGAAGAAGAGAACCAGGCAAGTTTTAGAACAGGAGTGAAAGCTTATTAGAAGGCTTTAGAGCGGGAATGAAAGTAAAGTACAATTGGAAGAGGGCTGACGGGCTGACGGGTGGCTTGAGACATCAAGTGTGCAGTTTCATTTTTTGACTTGGGGTTTATATGTTGGCACACTTCTGGGGTCTTGCATCCCTTCTCCCCGATTTTTCCCTTGGGGTGGGCTGTCCACATGCACAGTGGCCTGCTAGCACTTGGAAAGTGAGCCTGCACGGCCTGTTCACTGGAGTTGTATGCATGCTCACTTGTGGCGTTCTTCCCTTAGCAGTCGAATGTCCCTGGAAAGTCATATACCAGTTAAACTCTGCCATTTTGCTTCTTAATGCGCATGCTTGAGCCCACTTGCCCAGCTCTTGAGATCTTATTGGGAAGCCCCTGATCACCAGTTTCAGGTATTTCTATCTATTGGGGGACCGCCTTTCTCTGCACCAGCTGTGACCAATTATTATTTTAGAGAGGCAGTGTAACAACTGCTAGACCACTGCCTGATAGTCACCTGACATTTCTGGTGGGGTAGGGTGGGGGTAGCCCTTTCCTGCCCTGCTCATGCCTGACTAGCTACCTACTCAAATACCATTTTAAAAGTACTGTTTTCAGTGTGTCCATGCTATCATACTGTGGGTAATCTGAGGAGTAATGTCTTATTCATTTACATTAGACAATATTTAACATTCTACTTGGAGTGTTACATATATTCAATACATGTCTGTGGAATTAACTCTATGATTTACATTTATGAAATTAAAACATTGAAAATTTACCACTGCATTGTTTTAACCTTTTTTTTCCCTATGGTCATTATTAATATCATTAACCAAAGGTTTTGAGGAATATGGTAGATTTATACTTGCTGTCTTTCTGGTGATAGAATTGAACTTTTTAACTCATATAAGCCAATAAGGAGACATGACATATATCTATGCTGAGTATTTAATTATCAACATGAGATCATCCAGAGTTCTCACTTCTCTTTGTCAGGACAATCAGCAAAGCTGTATATGGTCGTGCTCTGTCAGCCTGGGGCATTGAGGGCTTGAAATAAATAGAGCTCCCCTAGTGACACTGTGTGTGACACTGTAATATAAAAGATAAATACATCTTTTTGTGTAACACTATTGGGATGTTTAGATTTTTTTCCCCGACTTTAATTTAGCCTATCTTATCTAACTATTAAAAAGTTCCACCATGTAAAACAGAATTAAAAAAAAAAAGATTTGTAAAGATGGCTTAAGTTAACGTTGTTCAAAAGAAGAATGGAAAGGAAGGTAGAGACCAAACTTGGATTTAAGAAAGAGACTACAAATCCGAGGGACTTTAATTCCTGCACTATGTACGCCATAAGTTTACTTCACACTGAGAAGCAAGTAGGCTTTCTTAATCTTTCTTAGAATGAAACTTTAAAGAGTAGTCCAACTAGATGAAATATAAATATACATTAAAATATAATCATGTATTTTCTAATATATAAATCATAGTCAATATTATTTTAATATCAATTAAAAATTGATACATATGTGTGCATATTAGAAGATTGTATTTAAAAATGAAAATAAGTGTGTTAAGGTGAATTTCTTAAAGAGTATTTTAAAACTAATATTCTAGAGCCTCCCTATTTGTTATCCTAAGGTTTGTAAAATGCCTTTCCGATCTTAAGAACTTTAAAATTATATAATACATTGAATCTGTGGAAAGAACAAATTTAAAAACAAGCAAGGTCCTATTCTTCAAACACCACTAAGAGTTTTAACTACCTAAAAATCACATAAACAATTATTGAGACCCATAAAAATTCATAGTTGATCCAATGACCAAATGTCTTAGTGTATCTCACATTCAACAAAGGAGAAAAAGATTAGCAAAACACCTGCCAAATTGCATTTCATCTGTAAAACTTTTATTAGTTTAAAGGTAGTTTATATCATTCATATTTCTTTTCTGGCATTTGAAATTCAGTTCTTCAATTTAGGCTTAACATAATATCTGTAGCTATATAAAAGAGATGTAGAGTCAAAAAATCACATAAGAAATTATTTTGGTATAAGGTGTGAGAAATCTCTATTAAAGAATAATAATTAGATGTGTTTAGGCAACCAAATTTTTTTGCTTATAAACCTACTAATAAGTATATAATGAAACATTCCCAATTTCTCTTGCCATGAAAAAATGCATCTCAAATTATTGGCTTAATCATAATCATTTATTTTGTTCATAATTCTGTAGGCTGATGGGGCACAGCTAGGCAATTCTCACTCTGGTTGGCTCATGAAGGTGGCTGGAGTTGAGACCATCTTGAAACTTTGCTACTTATATTTCTAATATATCGCCTGGGAAAATCAAACAGCCGAGGACAAGTACTACTACGGCTCCTCTATTACCTTTCTATCTCTGTGTGGTCTCACCCTGTGGTCTCTCCATAGAGCCTCCAGGTAGCTGGATATCCTACACTGGGGCCCTAGGCTCCCAGATCAAGTATTCTAAGAGAGACCAGCAAAAGTTGCCTAACTGGCTTTTTCTTTTTTTTCCTTTTTTTTTTTTTTTTTTTTTGGAGACAGAGTCTTGCTCTGTTGCCCAGACTGGAGTGCAATGGTGCAATGGCAGGATCTTGGCTCACTGCAGTCTTAGCCTCCTGGGTTCAAGCGATTCTCCTGTCTCAGCTTCCCGAGTAGCTGGGATTACAGGTGTGCGCCACTACACCCATATAATTTTATTTTGTATTTTTAGTAAAGACAGGGTTTCACCATGTTGGCCATGAAATCCAGACCCCAGCGATCCAACCGCCTAGGCCTCCCAAAGTGTTGGGGTTACAGGCATGAATCACTGTGCCTGGCCCTAAATGGCCTTTTCTAACCTATTCTTAGAAATCACAAAGCTTCACTTCCACTGTATTCTATTTGCTGAAGCTGTCAAAAAAGCTCACCCAGGTTGAAGCCAAGGGTCACTGTTTCTACCTTTTGATGTAAGGGGTGCCAAAGAATTCGTAGACATGTTTTTAAACTATCACTGAGATACAAATCAGCATTACAGGATTAGACATCCAGTACAATAAAAATGTAAACTTAGAAGATCTGCAATCCAAAGCCTTTTAAATCTGTTTCATCTGAAATCAGTCATCGCACAGCATTGTTTAGTACACTGAGGCAGGACTACTAGAGTGAATTTCTCATGGTTGAACCCCTCATCATAGAGTAATTTTACTGAGCAAGCAACTTTCTATCACCTGATGTTTCCTCTGCTTCTTCAGCAGCTGAGGCATCAATTGTCTTGAATTTCGCTCCCATTCAAAGCAATAATGTGTTATTGACGGTGAGACATGCATGCCTGGCATTTAGAAATCCTGCAAGGCAGCTGTTTTGTTTCTTGAAACCATTAAGTTGATTACAGAAGATGATTAAATATGATATTTGTTTGAGACCAAATATCACCAGACTTGGCAGGCTGTACAATTAGAGTTTTGAAAAAAAAAAAAAAGTGGTTAAAAGAATATCATCTTTTGTTGAACGGCACAGTGATATACAAAGTAAAGTTTTTACAATTCAACCAACGTCTGAGCAAAACAACTGTCAGAGGCATGTGAACCACAGCAACTCCATCTTAAATAGGAGTTGGGTAAAATGAGGCTGAAACCTACTGGGCTGCATTCTGAGATGGTTAAGGCATTCTAAGTCACAGGATGAAATAGGAGGTCAGCACAAAATACAGGTCGTGAAGACCTTGCTGATAAAACAGGTTGCAGTGAAGGAGGCAGCCAAAAACCACCAAAACCAAAATGACCACAAGAGTGACCTCTGGTCGTCCTCACTGCTACAGTCCCACCAGTACCATAACAGATTACAAATGACATGGCAATGTCAAGTAGTTTCCCTATACTGTCTAAAAAGGGGAGACATGAATAATTCACCCCTTGTTTAGCATATCATCAAGAAATAACCATAAAAATTAGCAACCAGCACCCTGCCCTTGGGAGTAGCCATTACTTTATTCCTTTACTTTCTTAATAAACTTGCTTTCACTTAGCACTGCGGACTAGCTCTGAATTCTTTCTTGCATGAGATCCAAGAACTCTCGGGATGTGGATTGGGACCCCTTTCCTGTAACACAACTATTGATTATTTTTTAGAAGCTGGCTGCCATTTAAATGGGGCAATTAGTTAAAGACTGAGAATAGGCAAAATCTTGCAGTGCTACTGCTGCTGGTGCCCTGTGCCTAATTTAAATCTTTTAAAAGCCACAGATTCTAAGTCTCTAGAGAAAAATCTCAGAGAAAATTTGTCAAGGCTGGTATGCTTAAAGTTTCAGGAAAAAAAAAAAAAAAACACTAGCTCTCTTCAGATATATCTTTTAAGGCTAGTAACATTCTAATTATAGAGAGAATAAGGTTGCAACAACCAGCTGAAAGCATTTTGTGGATTTAAAAAGCAAATTAAGTTGAAGAAACACAGCTAATGTAACTGTAGCATCTGTGGTTCTCATAGGTTTATTCAGCCAAAACCAATGTAACCTTCAAGGTGACCCAAACTAGGAGAGGGCTATGGTATCTCAGGTATGATTAATAAATCATAATTTCACAAATGATTATAAAAATGATTTATTCTAAATATCCTATAAGCTATTATCAAAAACTCAAAAAATATTTCAAAGAATTATAAAAATAATACCTCACTTATGACGTGATCCCAACAAACTTAAAGTTTGATAGTATTGCCTGCTTTCCTACATGTGTTAAATTTGTCAAGCAGAGATAATTAATTGCCTGGCATATTCATAATTACCTCTTGTGCTGTGGAGTTATTTTTAAGGTAGAATTTTCATATGCACAGCCTTGCTGGGCAGTCTTGCACTATCCCTTGATGTTCTAACCTTTGTTTCTTTCATAAATTGTATGTAAGAAGCTGTAACAAATACTTGGCTTAAATTTTTAACGTTTTGCAATATAAATTATCGTAGTGTGCTTATTTTATTAATAAAATACATAAAACATACATTATAAATTATTTCTTTCCCCAAAAGTGACATTGTGACCTGCAGATCTAGGTTGTATGGACCAGAAAGAAAGAATTTGGTAACCAATGAGTACATTTTCAAAAAACAATTTACATGTATTGCTTTTACCTTGTACAATGACTTTCCTAGGCTGTGCTAAAGAGAGGGACTGAGAGCAAAAGTGAAGATATAACATCTTTTATAGGGAAGCTAGAGGACAATATAATAGAAAAGATGTGGGAAAGATTACGGCTCTTTCCCCTTGACTTCCTTCTGTTCTAACAAAGAATAAAAGATATGATTATCTGTAGATTTTATCTAATAACTTTCAAAATTCTCTACGAAGGACAGTATACTTTGGTCATCTTGATGGTTTTTAAATGATTGGAAGATAAATCTGCGTTTTGGGGAAAATATAACTTAAAACAGAAACCTTATCACAACCCAGAAAACCTCTCCATGAAGGTAGGAAGAGAAATGACGCAGTTTTGTTATTGAATAACCATTAAAAACAGAATATGATGCACATAAGAGGCAATCTGCTAAGAGATTGTAAAGACAGAAAGAAATGTCATCCTTTTATATAGCCAAACAGATAAAACCCATTACATACATCTTCTCAAGATGAACAGTAATCCTCAAGTAAGAGGACTTGACAACACCGTTTGTTGCACATAGTTTAAACTAAATTCACTTGACCTTTGAGCGACCGTCTGTGCTAGCTAATTGGCTTCGACAAAAGGAAAAATTTATTTCTTATATCTTTATGACAAAAGGTAGCTTTTCAATTTAGAGCAACAGGACCACCAAAGTTACATTCTTACTATCCCATAGAGACTGAATATGAGGTACTGTATTTCTTGACGGTTACATTTCAAAAAGAAGGCTCCAGGCACTTGAGAAAGGCAGTCTTGGGTCCTAAAGCTTTCTAGAGACTTATTTAACTCTCAAAAAGAGTTGCATACATTTCACAAAGACAAGCAAGGGACCTTCCTAGTCTTTTAAAGTCCAAGCTCTAAGAAAAGTGTTAGTAGTCTCTTTCCTGGTTTTCAACAGGGAGAATGAAACCTTTGATTTTAATTTGTATTTGCCCTTACCAGAGAAAGTACCTTCTTATTGCTGAGAGAGAAAAATGGCCAATTACATAATACAAACTCATTTATGGATGAAGGAAGTAACAAATAGAGTAGAAACATAATTTTCTCTGGGAGTATAGGCCCTGATAACTGCTCCAGTGTGATTTCCATTCACTATAATTGCCTCTTGAAGCAGGTTCCTCAAAGACAAGAAGATATGGTACACCCAAAGTAAAACACTTCTTCTTATTGCACTACTTTCCTTCCTATTTCATGCCTCTGCTTCATTCTTGAGATCCCCAGTCTTCAATGCTCACATCTAATGCTCATGGTCATCATAACCAATGGATAGATAAACTTAGGCCAAGTCTGTTTTTCCATGGTTTTGGTAGTAAAATCTGTATGATGATAACTTTGTAGGTGAGCTTTATGAAGTGGTGCAGTGATAGGAATGAAAAGTCATAAAAGGTTTTCTAATGCATATGGGCTTTCTCACATTTACCTCCACAAAATAATATAGTGCAAATTAATTACTCAACCTTGTCTTGCACAAAGTAAAAAAAAAAAAAAGGTGTTCTCTGTTATTATAACACTGCCACAGCAACAACTTTGATTTGTCATCTTCAGTTGTAAAATTAAGTGTAGGTTGCATGAACAATAAGAAAAGTCTTTACATGTCATTACTGATTAGTAAATAAAAGATAGAAGACATAAATTTGGAAGATTACACCTGAATTCTGAAAGCCTACATTAAATTGGCTAAATATATATAAAATGACATTTTTGTTTTCACTTTAAGGGTTCCAGAGAATTTTACGACCTCTACTAAACCCCTGGGCTATTTAATGTACAATGCCAACAAAACCACCAATCTGAAACAGATTTGCCTTAATTTCTCAAATGTATATCAAGTCATTTAAGCCATCTGCCAAAAGGGTGATTACTGAGACAAGGGCCTTATAAATTCACTGACTTTATTTCA
This sequence comes from Homo sapiens, assembly GCF_000001405.40. Taxonomy (NCBI): domain Eukaryota; kingdom Metazoa; phylum Chordata; class Mammalia; order Primates; family Hominidae; genus Homo; species Homo sapiens. The sequence continues at coordinate 42,195,114 of NC_000014.9, read as the reverse complement.
ACTGAAAAAAATGTTTATATTGTCAAGTAGCCATAATAATGAGAGACAAAAGCAGTACTGGATAACAAATTTAATAGGCAATTAAAAACAATACTGGTCCTCATAATAATACGATTTTTCTTTGTTTAAAAAAAAACTTAGATGGATTCCATTTAACAATGTATACTTGGAGCAAATGGCTATAAAAGCTGAGATTAAAAGAAAAGACATTAGCAGGATGTGATTGTTGAAAGAGGGACATGAGCCACGGAATACAGGCAGTCTTTAGAAACTAGAAAAGGTGAGAAAACGGATTTTTCACTAGTGCCTCCACAGGGAATGCACCCTTGCTGACACCTTGATTTTAGACCAATGTGAGATACATTTTGGACTTTAATCCTCCAGAAATTTAACATAATAAATTTGTTATGTGTTAAGCCACAAAATGCGTGGTAATTTGTTACAGCAATAGTAGAAGATGGATGCAATTCTGTATCCTACATTGAGTACATTAACATTTTAGGATGTGGACATCTTTGATGTGTGTGTTTGGGGAGGTCACTATTCTACCTTGCACAATGGCTAAATTAATTATCACTACAGGCAACTCATTTTCAATTTCACTGGAGAACTCTAGAAGTCAGCATAGAGCATACCTTTTAGCATTTCCCATCCAAGGATGAGTTAAGGTTCTAGTGTATTTATCTACCAACCCAGAAGTCTTAGGTTGAGAGTTGCTTCTGTATCAAAAGTATATGTTAAATACTCCCTTATAGCCTGACCTGTGGTCAACAGATTAGGTTCCCAAGGTAAGTAAAAGCCCCCAGACAAATTAAGGCAGGGGCTGACATTGGGATGATGGGCCAATGTATATGGAAATGATGAAGGCACTTGCAGCACCTAGTTCATCCATGCCCCACATTAACTTTATTTCATCCTGCCATTGATTATTCAAGGTAGTGGCTAACCACAATTTCTTTATAAAAAATTGACTCTGTCTGGAGGGTTCACGTAACAAGCTACATTCACACTGCTGCAGTTGTTATCAAGGTCACATATGATGTAAATCATCTGTCTTCTCTATTATCCATTCTAGATTCTTCTCACCCTTCACAAGCATTTTTGTTGCTTTAGGTTGCTTGTCCAGTGGAGTAACTCAAATCTACATCCCTGAGGAGTTTGGGCTCCTGGCTACTCTACTCTTGTCAAGCCATGGCTACCACAATATTCTACCTACAGTTATCACCAGGCATGGATCTATTCAAAGCACATTAATGAATCCCCTGAGTTACTGATATACACATTCTTAATCCTATTATATGTCAGAGATTGTATCTTTTCCTAAAAACCAAGGTAATTTTTCCTAGGTGGTATAGTAACTCCTTTGTTTTCTTATCTGCTTCCATAAAGTATCCAAATTGATCAGGTAAAAGTCATATTGAGATTGGTGGAATCATATTTGTGCCCCACAATAGAGGCAACATCTTCTCTACTCCAGCAACAAGACCAGTAGTTCAGGAAAACTGAATTATAAAGGGTTGGGAAGCACAACTTCCTTAAGTGAGTAACTAGCTGTGATTTTCCATATAGTCAGTTCTCTGCTGCAAAGAACAATTCTTTAAACAAGGCCAGGGGAGTCTTCTGGCTTTTGCATCATAGTTGTTATTTTCTTCTGGCTGTGCTTCAATAGCAATAAACAACCAGCTAATTTTTTTTTGTCTTAAAATCACCATTGCCCTTATATCTAACAGATGCTGGAGACAGGAGACATTGCAAAAGCCAGTGCTCCTTACTTTACTCGTGTTTACAATTATGAGTCATTTTAATAGCTTTATAACAGCATGCCATGACTCATCACAAAATTATCTTCTTATAGACTTCTGGCCAGTGAATGAGGTGATTCAATTTCAGAGTTCTATCCTGGGAATTTGCTTCTTATGTTTAGTTCCAATAGTAATTTTATTAGTTTGGCTTCCTCCAGAAGCCAACCCTGTGGCAAATACACAAATGCAAGTAGTTTATTTGGAAAGTCATCCCTGGCAACATGGATGGAAGTGGAGATCATTATGATAAGTAAAATAAGCCAGGCACAGAAAAACAAACATTGCATGTCCTCATTCATTTGAAAGACCTAAAAGATCTAAAAGACCGAAAGATCTAAAAGATCTAAAAATCAAAACAATTGAACTCATGGAGACAGAGAGTAGAAGAATGGTTAAGGAAGGCTCGGAAGGGTAGTAGGGGGTGGGGGGAAACGTGCAGATGTTTAGTGGGTATTTAGTAGTCAGGAAGTGAAACAGGGAAGGGAAAGGAAGGCAGTCAGTAAGGAATGCATTAACACAGCATCCAAATAACATAGGCACAAAGGCAAAATAGGAGGTCACCAGCTCATATCCTAACAACAGCAAGAATTCTCCACCCACCTATGGGCAAAAGTATCTTTGTGGGAGCATTGGGATTCAAGTAGGAGGTTGTAAAACCCTGGTGAAACCCAAAGCCTAGGATATAACAACTGTAAATTTTAAATATATGTATGCCCTCAATATGTATACACCTGAATATATAAAATAAAAATTAATAGATCTAAACAGCAAGATAAACTGCAAAGCAATAATAGTAGAGGACTTCACCACCTCACTTTCAGCAATGGACAGATCATCCAAACAGCAAATCAATATGAAAACATTGGACATAAATTATATTCTAGGACAAATGAACTTAACAGATATATATAGAATATTTCATCAAATATCTACATAATACATAGTCTTAACTATGCATGGAACATTCTTCAGTATAGATAATATATTAAAACACAAAAGAAGTCTTAACAAATTTAAGAAGCAAACCAAGTATCGTTTATGACCACAATGGAATAAAACTAGAAATCATAACAGGAGGAATTTTGGAAAAATGATAAATGCATGGAAATTTTGGAAAATTCACAAATACTTACACCAAAACAACAAATGAGTTAAAGGATATTATAAGGAAAAATTAAAAATATGTTGAGATGAATAAAAATGAAAATACAACTTGCCAAAACTCATGGGATGTGGCACAAACAGTTTGAAGAAGGAAATTTACAGCAATGAATACCTAACTCAAAAAAAAGAAAGATCTTAAATAAGTAAATCAATGTTACATTTCAAAGCTCTAGAAAAAAAAGAGAACAAACTAAGCCCAAAGTCATTAGAATGAGGTAAATAATAAAGATCTTAGTAGAAATAAATAGACACTAGAAGAACAATAGATCAGTAAAATTAAAAGTTGCTTTTTGAAAAGATAAAAAAAATCAATGAAATTTTACCCAGACTAACTTAAAAAAAGAGACAAGACTCATAAATAAAATCTGAAATAAAGAAGAGATATTACAACTATCATAGAAACACAAAGGATCAAAAGATACTATATCTCCAAAAATTGTATATCCTAGAAGAAATGGGTAGATAAATTTCTAAAAACATATAACCTACCCAGACTAAATAAGAAGAAATAACAAACATGAACAGACCATTGATGAGTCTGTTTAAGAAGGTTGAATTATTAATAACAAAATCTCCCACAAAATAAAAGCACAGGACTGGATGTTCTTTCACCAGAATTCTACTAAACATTTAAATAATGAATACTAATTCTCCCCAAACTCTTCTAAAAAATTAAAGAAAAGGAAATATTTCCAAATTCATTTCATAAGGCCAGTATTACCCTGATTTCAAAGCCAGATACTGGCACCACATTAAAAGAAAATTATAGGCCAAAAGCTTTGAAGAATATAGATGCAAAAATTCTCAACAAAATACAACGAAACTAAATTCAGCAGTATATTAAAAGGATCATTCACCATGATCACGTGGCAGTTATCCCCGAGATGCAAAGATAGTTCAACATAAGTCAATCAATAAACATGATACAACATATTAATGGAATGAAGAAAAAAAATACGATAATCTTAATATATGCAGGAAAAGCACTTGAAAAAATTCAACATCCTTTCATATAAAAAGTGAACATATTAGATATCAAATGAATGTACCTAACACAATAAAGGCCATATATGAAAAGCCCATAGATAACATTATACTCTATGGTGAAAAGTTGAAAGCTTTTCCTCTAAGATCAGGAACAAGACAAGGATACTCACTCTTGCCACTCAATACAGAACTGAAAGTTCTAGCGGGGACAACTAGAGAAAGAAAAGAAGTAAAAGTCATCCCAATAAGAAAGAAATGAGTAAAATTTTGTTTACTGATGCTCTAAACTTATAATATGAACCCTCCCCCAAATCAGTTGGAACTGATAAACAAATTAAGTAAAGGAACAGTAGATAAAACCAACACAAAATCAGTAACAGTTCTTTACACTGACAATAAACTACTTGAATAAGAAATTTAAAAAAATTGCATTTACAATGGCATCAATAGAAAAAATAGTTAAGAGTAAATTTAACCAAGGGGGTGAAGAAGCTGTAAACTGAAAACTATAAAACTTCATTGAAATAAATTGTGGACAACACAAATAAATGAAAATGAATTCCAGGTTCATGGATTGTAAGAATTAATCTTATTGAAACATCCAATGTGACCTACAGGTCAACACAATCTGTACCAAAGCAATCTATGTATCAATGCAATCATTATCAAAATCTCAATGTCATTTTCATGGCAAGTGAAAAAAAAATTGGAACATCCATAGAAGACCCCTAATAGCCAATTTTGAGCAAAACAAAACCCAACACAAAAAGCTGAGAGCATCTGACTACCTGACTTCAAAATCTATTACAAAAGCCTAATAAGAAAACAGTAGAAAAACAAACACATTGGCCAATAGAACAGGATAGAAAGCCCAGCAATAAGTCCATGTATTTGCAATTGCTCGATTTTTGGCAAAGTTGCCACAAATATACAGTGGAAAAAAAAAAAAACAGTCTCTTCAGTAAGTGGTGTTTGAAAACTGGATATTCACGTATGGAAGAATAAAATTGGATCCTTATCACATACCATCTACAAAAACCAACTCACAAAGGATTAAATATTTAAGCATAAGACCTGAAATTATAAAAGAACTAGAAGAAAACATAGAAAAAATGCTCCATGACATTGGCCTAGGCAAAGAGTTCTTGTACATGACCCCAAAAGCACAGACAACAAAAGCAAAATAAACAAATGAGATTGCATCAAACTAAAAAGCTTCTGCTCTTTAAAAGAAACAATCAATACAGTGAAGATACAACCCACAGAGAAGGAAAAAATATTTGCAAACCACGTAACTGACAAACGGCTAATAGCCAAAACATATAAGAAACTCAAACAACTCAATAGCAAAAAAAAAAAACCCAATTTAAAAATGGACAAAGAACCTAAATAGACATTTCTTAAAAGAAGACACATAAATGGCCAAGAGATCTGTATTTTTAAAAATGTTCATCATCACTAATGATCAGTGAAATGCAAATTAAAACTACAATGTCACCTCAAACCGTTCCTATGGCTAGCATCAAAAAGAGGAAAGATAAATGTTGCCAAGAGTGTGGAGAAAAAGAAATCCTTGCGCACTTTTGTCGTAAATGTAAATTAACACAGTCAGTATGAAAAACAGTATGGATGTTTCTCAAAAGAACCAAAAAGAGAATTATGATGTGATCCAGCAATCCCACTTCTGGGTATATATCCAAGAGCAATTGAAATTCATATGCTGAAGAGGTATCTGCATTTCCATATTCATTGAAATATTATTCATGATACATAATATATGGAAACAAGGTAGGTGTCTATCATTGAATGAACAAATAAAGAAAATATAGTATATGTATACAATGGAAGACTATTCAGTCTTAAAACCTAAGGAAAATCTGTCACTTGTAACAAAATGGATCAACCTGGAGGATGTTATGTAGGTTAAAGAAGCCAGGCACAGAAAGATAAACACTGGGTGATCTCACTTATATGTAGAATTTTTAAAGGTTGAACTAGATATAGAGAGTAGAATGGTAGTTACCAGAGGGTGGGGGAAGGGTGTGGATAGAAAAATGGAATGTGTGGCTCAAGGTCCCAGCTAGGAGGAATAAGTTTCAGTGGCCTATTGCACAGAATGGTGATTACAATAAAAAATAATGCGTTGTATACTTCAAAATTACTAAGAGTAGATTTTAAATGTTTTCGAGACACACACACACACACACACACACACACACACACAGAGGAGATGAATTTGTTAATTAGCTTGACTTATTCCATAATGTAAACATATATCAAAACATCAAATTTTACCCCATAAGTAAATAAATATTGTTTTTCAATTTAAAATAAAATTAAAAAAAGAATGAATTAATAAACAAGTTACCTCTATGGCCAAGGGGCTTCATTCAACTGGGAAACTCTGGGATCCTATGTAGAACACATAATTCAGATTATCCCACTGAGGGATAATAGCTTGAAGGTAGTTCCAGATGTCATTAATTCTCTGGGATTCTAGGCTGACTAAACTTGGGTAGAGAGGGCTTTGGAGTCCAGAAAAAAATACTCAGGTAAGTGGAAGTTTGTGCTGAAAGTTAGAAATTGGGCAATATGCAAGGAAATTGTTATATATATGAGGAGAGGGTAACAGCAAGATCTGTTACAGCTAATAATATTTCTTCATAAAACCTACCAAGTAATCACTTTCCTTGAAGATGTTTCATCCTCCAATCCATAGACTATGTATTGATAAAATAATAACTGATATATAATCCCCTGTTTATGAATGAAGACAAAATTTTTGGCTTTAATTATCTTAACATACGTGCCTTGAATCCATCTAGAATCAGGGACCATCACTCCCAACCCATTTCTATATTAAATTATCAGGATAGTTATATTGGTATAGAGGTGTTGAATCTATATAAACTTATGCATACCTCATGAAATAAGAATCACAAATCTTTTGTGTTTATTTGAGGAATCCTAAATTAAATTGACTTCTGGGTTTGCCTTTATAAAGTTTCTTTGCTTTCTTCACCTACAGTTGCAGTAATCTTACTTTGAACATATTTCTTCTTATATTCACTTTCCCAAGAGGTTTATAATTACAGAGTTTATACTGGCTAGGACCTATTTGGTTACTGAGTCAAAAGCATAATAGAAGTAGCTATTTCTTAGGCCATCTAGATTTTACCACATTTTTTTTTTGTTTAGTTTAGCATTTACTATAATAGAAACAGATTTCCTGTAGTATCATTTGCCATGTTTCCTACTGATTCTAGTACTTTTACAAATGCACTAAAAGATACATTTATTGATTGTCAAAAATTCTCCTCCTTTAAATACTATCACAACTTCTGAAATCTCAAAGCAAATTTCAAAAGCCTACAAACACACAGACGTGACTTTTGGAGAGTTTAATAATTAAATGTTTACTTAACAAAACTATCCTTCTCAACCAGTTTTATGAGATGATTGTTCTGAAAAAGGATATTTTAATTTCAATTAGTTACATAAATTATTTTAAAATAACTGCACTTTGGTTATATTTCCATATATGCATGCAAAAAAGACTAGGAAAGTATCTTGTTTTTTGTTTTGTTATTTTTAGAGATGACAAAAATTGGTAACTTTCGTCTGTAAGCAACTGAAATCTAATTATCAGTTAGGAGAGCTTTCACCTTTCTCCTGAAATGCAACACTTATCTACTAAAATATTTAAATATAATAAAATTTACATGATGATGTAGATTTGTGGAGTTTGTATGTGAATGCATGATGATTTTTACAGTTCAGCTAATATTCAATCAGATAAGTACACTTGGGTGGCGCTGTATGTTAATGTCCAATGAATATTTACTTAATTTAGTTAATATTTAAATATATTTTTAGAAACAAAATTCCTAACAGCACATGTGGTAGGCTGAATGATGACCTCCATAGGTCCAAAATTCTAGGATCTGGAAATGTTACTGTATGCGCCAAAAGGGGACTTTGCAGATATGATTAATTTTAGGATATGGAGATGGTGAGATTTTACTTAATTATCTCAATGGGCCTTAAATATGAACACAAGTGTCCTTATATGAGAGAGGCAGAGAGAGAGAGATTTGATTACAGTAGAGGAAGAGTGATGTGATGCAACGAAGCAGTCAGGAGCAAAGAACTGCCAGCACTTCTACAAGCTGGAAAAGGCAGGGAAATAGAATTTCACCTAACTCTCCAGGGGGAACCAGCCCTGCCAACAGCTTGCTTTTAGAAATTTAAGACTCCTGTCTGCCGAACTGTGAGATAAAAAATGTATGTTTATCTAAACCATTATGTGGTATTTGTTATAGCAACCATAGTAAACCAATACAGCATACAAAGAAGTAATTCTGGAAAAAAAATTAATCACATAGGATTTTAGTTGCAGAAATTTTCTTACAAAGATTGGAAATAAATTTCCCATAGTACTTATGTAGTAAAATGGTTAAAAATTCTGAGCAATCTTGCCAGTATGCAAAGCCTTCATATTTAACACATCTCTCAAATGCCTTTTTTGAATGAAGCCATATCACACCCCATGTGTTTACTAATGTCCTAAACCAGTGCTGACTTTAGGAAAAATGATAAAAATTAATTACATGCATCTTCTATAACTTCCTTTTTTAAGTTATCTACTCTATAAATAGTAGGTGGTCTCCATTCACTATTTACTCTCCTCCAACTTGGAAAGAACCTGCTAATTTATGATCAGTAATATGCAAGTTAATGATGGCTAGTTTTGATTTTAATATAGATCACGGTCTTCGCTGCTTGTTTTATTGATATGTGTAAGATGTAGACATCTTTGATTAGAAAATGTTTAATATATCTCTTAAATCACATTTAAAAATAAACTGTCAAATCTACATGCTACTCAATTCTACCTCTGGCCCAGTGCAGCTATATCATATCACAGGACCCTGGGTGATCAAGGGTACTAGAGATGTGTCACAGGAACAAAAAAGTAATTGTAAAGTCTTAGCTCATAGTTTCTGTCTGTCCCAGAAATTACAAGGTCCTCATACATTTCTTCCCTTTTCTCAAATGTATGCACCAAGGGGGTGAATTCTGGACCATATTTGATGTTATAAAAGGAAAAGAAGACAAGTACAATGTGAAGGGTCAGAATGTGAGTAGCTGCTTCCCAGGCCGAAGCTTCAAGAAACATCTTCCCAGTTAATGATGTGTAAGAGCACTCTACATCAAAAGCAAGAATTTATGACTGATCAAACCTAAAATTTCACTTCCTCCTTGGTTCACAGTGGGTTGTATTCGAAAGGGAATAAGGAAATTGGTAAATTTAATATGGGAAGGTCAAGAAGGGGACAGCAGCTAACAAATGAGTTCTAAGTAGGCTCTATATTTTGTCCCTTTGTGATAAGGAAGAGACCATGAATTAGCCCATCTGCTTTTATATATATAACACAATAATAGATTCATAACACAAAGAATTATGAAAAACTAACACCCAATGTGTCATTTATAATCAACTTAACCTGACACAAGAGGTTTATTTGACATGACCAAGATTCTCTAAAGTTAAATTTTACTTCAGATATGGAGAAGAGGACTAAAGAATAAAAATCAATAATATGACTAAATTGGAGATATTCCAGGTTGAGACCATTTTAAGTTGTTATAAATGCATGTATTTGATATAGGGATTCAGGAGTTTTCTTCTTGTGATTGAATGCATAACAAAAGAATTGTTTTATTCTGTGTTCATGTCTAGCTACCAGTTTGGACATGGTGCTTTGAGGACAAATTTTGCTTTCATTTGGAGTGTGGAAACTGAAGAATTTTACAAACTAGAGACCAGTTGGGATTTTGTAATCAGAAGCCCACATAATTCTCAGGTCATTTAATTCTTGACCTCCACTTCTCAGTTCCAGCCTGGCTGACTGTATTTTTTCTTTTGGTTCTGGAGATTAACATATTTCTTTTTTTTTTACAGCTTTCCTTTCCTTTTTGTCATATGCAGAAAATGAAGGATCAAGTAGTTGGAAATAGAAAAACATCAAGGATAAGTCTTGGCTCTTGATTCTTAGTGAAATAAAAGAACTCCATTAGCTAGTGGGTCTACATCTACAAGTGGGGCTTATTCCCCTACAGAATCCACAGGCAAATAAATGTTGGCAGTGATACTGGAAGGTGATTGATAGACTATTCTATAAACAGGGATAGAAGCTAAACATTACATTCCCAGAACTGTGGTTACAATTATTGTTCCCTAGTCATAAATGAGTTGTTGGATTTTTAGAGAAGAGAGCTATAAAATGAACAGAAAGCAGGTCAAATTGTAAAGTCATATAAATCAGGGTGAAGGGCAGGAATGAAATCCAAAATAATTAAAGAAGCCAAGAGTTAATCTGTAATTCAAACAGCTTGAAGAACAGCTCTGGACATAAGATTTTCCAAATTTCTACAAAAATATGTATGAAGATATTATATATGTATATATTTAAATGACACAAAAATCTAAACCTTTTACCTACAATCAACCAATGCCTGAACTGGAGCAGAGTTTATAAAAATAGGAGGTTTTATATCAATGCTTCATTTTTTCACAAGAAGGTAAAATTATAAATAGTTTTTCAATTTCCCAACCACAAACACTGTTAATCATTGTGATGAGGAATCAATAAGAAAATCAGTAGTTGAACCTATGGTATATGCATTTAGTATACTGTGAGGTTATATGCATGCTCTTCCCATCCAGTATTTCCTGACTTCCTCCAAAAATCCCATTTTCAAATGGTCATAAATCTTCAGAAATGAAAACTCCGTGGAAAAAAATGAACAGTTAACAGAGGTAGTTAACTGCTTTCTGTGAGGAAAATCATTGGGTGTAAACATACAGAAAAACTTCTACATCAATTCATGCTAAGAGTGTTAGATTTCATTCATATCATTGGAAATTTGAACTAGAGCTGTGCATATGAATTTATACTTCAAATACACCAAAACAGTAGGATACACGTAAACACACAATCTCACCCATCTATAGAGAGCATAGCAGGGCTGATTTCTTCTCATTGAAGAATGAATAAAGAAACAAAAAAAAAATGCTGTATTAAAAACATCTCCAACCAAAGGAGGGGAAAAAATAAGTGTCATAAGAAAGAGATATGCACAGATTACTTTCAAGAGGCCAAGTTTGTTGTAAATCTATAAGGATTGCAAAGTACAAAGAGAATTTCATCAAATAAACACACATTCCCCTTGAGCTTAATTCTTCCCAACTCAGTGGTGCATATCAAGCTTCACAGGCAACCAATCAAGTTACTCGGTATAATTTTGACAGCATACAGAGGTGTACATAAGAAGCGTGGCTATGTTAGTCTCCCCTTGTCTGTGGTGTTACTTTTTGTAGTTTCAGTTACCTATAGTCAATCATGGCACTGAGATAGATGAGTATAGTACAATAAGATATTTTGAGAGACCACATTCACATAACTTTTATTACGGTATATGTTATAGTTCTATTTTATTATTAGTTATTGGTGTTAATCTATTACTGTGACTAATTTATAAATTAAACTTTATCATAGGTATGTATGTATGGGAACAAAGGTACTATATACAGGGTTCAGTACTATTCTAGGCTTCAGGCATCTGCTGGGGGTCTTGGAATGTATGTCCCATGGATGAGGGAAAGCTACTATATTCTGTTTCATGTTTATATTTCACAGAAAAGATGCAATTGAAATGGCTTGTTTCTACTCATAAAGAACTATCTATATTGATCAAAATTTGAAGCAGTTGTCAAGATTACTAAGATAGAATTTTTTTTCTGAGTACCCACATTGCTGAATGCTTTAACTCTTAAACAGCACCTACTGTTTAATCCACTTTTCTCATGGAGAGAGGAAGAGAAAATCCGCACGCAAACATATGTTCTCTTTTCCAAAATAACTTGGTATAAACTCCAGCCCCATTTGCTGATGAGTCAGTTGTATCCCAGGGACTTTAAGGACTCCTTTTGCCTAGCCGGATTTTGGCCAAATATCTGAAGTACTTCATAGACTAAGAAACTGACTTACCTGCTTATATTAAACCAATATCAAAGTCATGGTTCTATCTAGAGTATTATTTTTATAACAAAGGAGAGCAAATCCAAATGAAAGAAGGGCTGGCATTTCTGTTCCAGGTATCCTTTATCTAGTTTTCTTTTTCCTTGACTGAAGCAAAGAAAGAGGGAGGATGGGATGCGAGTGCAATAGAGAGTATCTTCTTGTGAGCAGAAGACCTGTCTTCTCCCACTGCCACATCTACACTTGGTCATTATCATGTCATTCTCAGTCTAATCCCCTAACTAAAAATATAAGAGAAAATTTAACTTCTTGTTTATACTTATTCATTGACTTTACTAAATATTTCAGATTGAGTAAGGTTGAGAAAGCACAGCAATCTTGAACTAGAACGGGTAACAAACACGTCTGACTCTACTTGGGTTTTGCTGTACTATTAACATTTGCAGAGTAGAGAGTGAGACCTGGGGGCTCAACAAAATATTAGAAATATCTTTACTGAACCTTCCTAAGGCCACTTACTCTGAGCCTTTGTATCTAGTTAAAGCTAACAAAGTGGATGGTGCAACCCCTCAAGATATTTGACAATATATTAATGTTTTTTCTCAGATACCTCTGAACTATATTAGAGGAGAATATTTTTATTCATTTAGTTTACCTCAAGGCCACACTGTACATTCAGCTAATTTATATGTCCAATTTTCCTGGACAATTATATCAAATGTTCATGTATTTTTCATGCCCAATTTTATCAACCAGGTATTACAGAAAAATCACAAGATAAGGTAATGCAGTGAGCACCAGATAGCCATATGACTAAAACACACATTATCTACTGATATATAATCTATACCTACCTACATATTTTCTACTGATCTATCAAGAAATGTCTCAAGTATACCAAGATTTATTAAAAACTTGTAGAAAACAATTTTACCCTCTGATTCTCCTGTAAATCTATTTTTGGTGATGTTCTCTGAATAAAATAACAAAATTTCTAGAATTTATAGCTTTAAGACAGAAAATACTATGAATATTCTAACTCATACATTTCACTGCCTACTTGACATCATTCTTTTTTTTTTTTTTTTTTTTTTTTTTGAGACGGAGTCTCGCTCTGTCGCCCAGGCTGGAGTGCAGTGGCGGGATCTCGGCTCACTGCAAGCTCCGCCTCCCGGGTTCACGCCATTCTCCCGCCTCAGCCTCCCAAGTAGCTGGGACTACAGGCGCCCGCCACTACGCCCGGCTAATTTTTTGTATTTTTAGTAGAGACGGGGTTTCACCGTTTTAGCTGGGATGGTCTCGATCTCCTGACCTCGTGATCCGCCCGCCTCGGCCTCCCAAAGTGCTGGGATTACAGGCGTGAGCCACCGCGCCCGGCCGACATCATTCTTGAAATGCCTAATAGACATCTCAAATGTAATGTGCCAGTGGTAATTAATCTCCAAGAATGCCCCCCCTCGAAAATCACATCCTTTATTATTATGCCTTTTGGAGATCCTTCTCACACTGAATTTGGACTTGCTTAATTCAACACATGCAGTGGAAGGAAACTGTGCCAGTTATAGTCCTAAGCCTTAACAAGGCCTGGTAATTTACATGTTTATTTTTCTGGGGCTCTAAGCCATCATACAAGTGGTCTAGTTACTGTGCTGGAGAGGCTGACTAAACTACATGAAAAAGCTATACAAAGAGAGAGAAACTCAGCAGCCCCAGCAGTGTAGCCCTCTAGCCATTCCTACCAAGACACCAGACATCTGTGTAAAGCTATCTTGGAAATTTCAGCCCCAGCCATCAACCACCAATATCCTTTTAATAGACTCCAAGCAAGACAGTGCAAAATCCATGCAGCTGAATGTCAGTCAGTCCTTGGAATTATACAAATAATCAAATGACTAATGTTTTAACTGCAAATTAATAACCTCAGCTGGAGAATGTGTGTAAGCTACATTTTTATTTGGATGCTTAGGAGACATCTTAACATGACATGCTCAAGACTGAACCTTTCCACGCAAACTTGCACCACACTCCAGTTTTCTCATCTCAGTTGATGGCAACTCTATTCTTTCTGTTGCCTAGACATCCAAATTAGTAATTATCCTTTCCTTTTAATTTCTTTCATACTCCATACCTGCTATTTCAAGTTATTCCTCTGTACTTTCCAAATGTATCCAAATTCCAACCTGGCCTAAGCAATCCTAGTATCTAGATTAGGTTACCATAATAGCCATTTAAGGAATCTCTACTTTACCTTTGCCCTCTGTAGTTTATTCACAGCACACAGTAGCTGGGGTGACCCTCTAAAAAATAAATCATATAATGTATCTCCTCTGCTCAAAACCCAAACGGCTCCTCTTTTAAAAAACCAGAGTGTGTATAATGGCTGACAATGCCCTCATATAACCTCTCTCCCTGCCTCCAACCTTTCTGATTGCATTTCTTCACTTATTTTCTCTTGATCACTCCACTTTTGTCCTACTGAATCCCTGAAGTTCTTCAAACTTGTCGTCACGTTTGCAACCTAGGGACTTTTCAGTAGCTCTTATCTCTTCCTGGAATGCACTTCTCTTAGATATTGACAACATTAATTAATTCTAATTCTTCAAGTAATTGTTCAACTGTTCCTTTATCTATGAGGTCCACTTAAACCCTACTTAAAATCAAAACTCTTTTTCCTAACATTACAGATTCCTTTTTACACTACTACTTTTATTGTTTTTCTTCTTTTCCTCACAGCATTTAGCCAATAAACTGTGTAATTTACTTTCTTATAATGGTTGTGATTTTTGTGTCTCCCTTGCTAGAATATGAGCTACCAAAGTGCAAAAATTGTTGTATACTTGCTCAATGATATATTCGGAACTATTTTTTATAAAAATTATTTTAAATTGACAAATCAAAATTACACATTTTTATGGGGTACTGTGTGCTGTCTAGCTATATGCATAGAATGTGGAATAATTGAATTAAGCTAACGAATATGTCTACCGACTCATCTTTTGTCATGAGACATTTGAAATATACTCTTTCAGCAACTTTGAAACACACATTCACTATAACCACCCTGCTATGCAGTAGATCTCAAAAATTTATTCCTCCTTTCTAACTGAAACTTGGAATCCTTTGACCAACATTGCCCCATTCCCTTTACTCATTTCCATCAGTCTCAGGTAACTACCATTCTCTTTTCTACTTCTATGAGTCTGACTTTTTTAGATTCCACATATAAGTTAAATCCTGTGGTATTTGTTTTATTATGCCTGGCTTATTTCACTTAGTATGTCCTCTAAGTTCAGCCATGTTGTTGCAAATCACAAAATTTCCCTCTCTTTAAATCTGAATGGAATTCCATAGGGTTTATATACCATGTTTTCTTTATCCATTTATCCTTTGATGGACACTTAGGTTGATTCTATATTTTGGCTATTGTGAATCATGTTACAATAAGTATGAGTGTGCAAATATCTTTTCAACATAGTAATTTCATGCCTTATGAGCATATACACAGAAGTAGCATTGTGGGATCATACTGAAGTTCTATTTTTGGTTTTCTGAGAAGCCTCCATACTGTTTCCATATATAATCTCTATACCAATTTACATTCCCACTACAAGAGTTGCCACTCAAAGATAAGGGTTCCCTTTTCTCCACATCTTCTCCAATACTTATTATAGCTTTTCATTTTTTTGATCATAGGTAATCTAACAGGTGGCAGTTGATATCTCATTGTGGTTTAACTTACACTTTCCTGATAATTAGTAATATTGAGCATTTTTAAAATAAACTTATTGGCCATTTTATTAAACCTGTTGCTTCATTTTATGAACTTTCATGTCTTTTTTTGAGAAAATGTCTTTCAGACATTTTGCTCATTTTAAAATCAGGTTGTTTTCTTGCTATTGAGTTTCTTATATATTGATTTAGTATATTGATACTTTATCAGGTGTGTGGTGTGCAAATATTTTACAACATTCAGGGAGTTGTATTTTCACTCTAATTGCTTTTATTAGTGTGCAGAAGTTTTTTTTTAAGTTTTATAATATTCCATTTATTTTTGCTTTTGTTGCCTGTACTTTCAGAGTCATACCCCAAAAAAATCATTTCCTAGACTCATGTCATGAGGAATTTTTCCTGTTTTCTTTTAGTAGTATTACAGTTTCAGGTCTTATTTTTAAATATTTAATCAATTTTAATTTTGTTTTTGTATATAGTGTGAGATAAAGATCCAATTTAATCTTCAGCATGTGGATATCCAGTGTTTTGACACCATGTATTGAAGAGACTGTCCTTTGCCCATTGTGTGCTCATGGCATCTTTGTCAAAAGTCCATTGGCCATAAAGGCATGGGTTTACTTCTGACCCTTCTCTTCTGTTCCATTGGCCTATGTGTTTGTTTTCGTGTCAATACCATGCTGTCTCTTTTTTTTTTCTCCTCAGCCTGACTTTCTTTGAAAATAGGTTGTTGTTGTTGTTTTTGATATATTTTGAAATCAGGGAGTTGATGCCTCCAGCTTTGTTCTTCTTGCTCAAGATTCCTTTGGCTATTTAAGTGTGTGTGGGGGGGGAGGGGTGAAGATTTCATAGAAATTTTAATTTTTTTTTTATTTCTGTGAAAAATGACATTGGAATTTTGATAGGGATTGCATGGAATCTGTAGATTATTTTGGGCATATGGATATTTTAATAATATTAATTCTTCCAAGCCATACATATAGAGTATCTTCCCATTTATTTATATTTTCTTTTATTTATTTCATCAGTATTTTGTAGTTCTCAGTATACAAATCTTTCACCTTCTGTCCTAAACACACCCTGTGGCACATAGTAGGAGCTATAAACTGACTGTTTTATTCCCCTCAAAATTTGTGTGTCAAAGTCTAAATCCCCAATGTGATATTTGGAGTGTAGGACCTTTGTGAGGTAATTAGGTCATGAAGGTGGAGCACTACTAAATGAGATTAGTAGCCTTATAAGAAAAGATCATGGGAGACATGATCTTTCTCTCTGCTATCTGAGGATATAATTACAAAAATAAAAAACAGTGCCCTTGATAGATACCAGATCTGTAGGCATCTTGATCTTGGATTTCCCAGCATCCAAAACTATGCCAAACAAATTTCTGTTGCTTGAGCCACCCAGTCTTTAGTTTGCTGTTATAGCAACCTGAACCAATCAAGATAGTAGGCAATCAACAAATATTTGTTGAATTAAAACATGACTCAATGTAATAACTGTAAAATTAAAATATTCATAGAAATATCTTACCATTCGATTTTTTTCCTACTCTGCTGAGTAATAGCCACAGAAATGCCACTCAGGAACCTAGATGATTTTTGAATTTCAACCCTGCCAATAACATTTGGATGTGAAAAAAAGTAGAAAATTTAAAGTCTACACGAGATGCTCTCAATCTGCTATCATATTTTTTTTTCCCTAAAACTGAGGTACACTTAGCAATTTTATGAGAAAAAAAAATGTATTGCTCACTGGGACGGCTGTAAAAAAAGTTAGTTTATAAAAAATGTACCAGTTTGTAATACACACAATTTTTAAAAATATTTTCACAAATCATAGGTTTCCTAATACATCTGACAGTCCATGAATGCAATAGAAATATATGCAGTTTCGTTACTCCTCAGAGTTAATACATTTAATTTTCTAGAAATGTAGTTTCTAGAAATAAGTAGTTTCATTCATTTCTTAAACAAATGAAAAAATAAATAATAGTTATATACAAAGAACCACACTATTTACTTCGGGATACATACAAGTAGGGATGGCACCAAGAATGAGATAAAATAATTGAAAAGTTGTTGGGAAGAAAATATTTTAGTGTAGAATGTTATTATTTTATTTTTTGAGGATAATACACATATGGAAAACAAATAGTAGAGGGCATGTTCACCTATTTTTTTTTCATTTGGAGTTGAATGTATGTTTTAAGATTTTGAAGAACATTAAGAAAAGGTACAAATATTTCACATTAGTTTTACATTTTTACTGAAGTTAACATATGCAAAGTGCCCAACTCATAAGAGTACAGCTCAACAAATTATCATACTGTGCTGTGAAGAGACTCTAAGCAAGCTCTGTCAGGTGTAGTTATAGAATTTTGCCAGAACTCAAACCTCCAAATTTTGCCTCTTTTGAATTACATATACATGGCATCAGGCTGTGTGTTTTTTTTATTGTGTATGACTTCTTTGGCTTAAGATTATGTATGTAAATTTTACTTATGCATTTGAGTTATAGTTAATTTTCATTACTAAATACTACTTTATAATATGAATACATGGCAATTTATCCATCTAACAGTCAGTGAACATTTGGGTAACCTGTAAATTTTGTTAAGCACAAATAATACTGTTATGAAGACTTTTACATACCTTTGATGCACATGTACCCACATGTCTGTTGGATATTTTAGAGACTGCTGTGGTGTGCTGCCTAGATCCTCTCTTCTAGGACTGAAGTGCTCATATCGCAAACTGTTGATTGAATTGGTAGTGAACAGCCCTCCACTGAGTTCTACTCTGAAATTTGTCATTCATTACCATGAGGTGCCTCCTCTGAGGTCAAGACCACTCTTCATGAGAAACCCATTCCAATGACTAGATGATTCAGGGTTATAAAAGACTGGCAATTTAGCTCAAATTCTGGATAGCTCTCAAGGACCGATGCATTTCAAAACCACTGCATAAGATTAAATGGAGGTCTTTTTGTTGCAAATGCTTTGCAATTCAACTCTTTCTCTGTCCAGACTTGTTTCCGCACTTTTCCACAGGTATTGATACTGAGAGCAATCTCTAACAAATATTATGCACACAAGTTCCTTATCTGCATGAGATTCCCAGGGAACTCAATTTTTCAACTGGTTGTACCAATTTACAATTTCAATGGCAGTATATCATTGTTTTTTCCATCTCACTGCCAATAAATTGCATTATCTGTCCTTATAAATTAACTATTCTGTGGTTCTATTTGTAATGGGCATTTATCTTTCTAATTAATTCTTATTAACACAAATTCTGATTTTGAGTACCATATTTATTATATATTTATTCACCATTTTTATAATTTCTTTCTGCATGTCCATTCAAATTTTTCAACCATTTTTAGTTGTTGGATGATGTTTTATACATGTACATCCAGTCAATTTATCAAATTGGGTTTTTAGATCATCCATACTTCCTACCTTTACCAAATTTTTTGTCTGCATGCTTAGTAGTCACTCAGAGAGATTTGCTAAATTTGCTTTTCACTGCTCTAAAATTTGACATATTTTGAAACCATGTTATTAGAAGCATTCAGATAAACCATTGACCATGTTATTATCATTAATTGTCCTTTATCTATGGTGATGTTCTTTCCTTTTAATTCTACTTTGTGTGCTATAGGTACAGTGGCAGCAACATCCTCTGGTGGATTGTGTCCTTAGTTTCTTTTCAACGTTATACTTCAAAATGTGCTGATTCTTTATATTTAAGGTTTCTCTCTTGAAAATGGCTTATAGTTTTGTGAATTTGTGTGTGTGTATGCATGTGCATATCTTTTAATTACTACAAAAATCTGTCTTTTGATTGGAGCTTTTAGTCTATTCACTTTTAATGTAATTACATGCATATTAGGTTTTAAATCTACTAGTTTACTAATGCTTCCATTTGTCCCTATAGCCCCGTATTACTTGTTTTCTCCCTTGTTACTTTATTTTTGGTTATTATATCTGTTAATGCATTTTTCCCTTATCTTAGTTTAGCACTGATATATTTATTTACTATTCTTGTAATAGTCACTCTAGCTTTTGCAATGTGCCTCCTTATTAAAGTCTAATACAACAGTCCCATGTATAAATTTTGACTCCCCAGAAAACTTAATAGTCTACTATTGACTAGAAGTGTTACTAATAATGTAAACAGTAAATCAACTCATATTTTCTGTGTCATATGTATTATATACTATATTCTTATAATAAACTAGAGAAAACACAATGTTATTAAGAAAATCACCATGGAATACTACACAGTCATAAAAAAGAATGA
This sequence comes from Homo sapiens, assembly GCF_000001405.40. Taxonomy (NCBI): domain Eukaryota; kingdom Metazoa; phylum Chordata; class Mammalia; order Primates; family Hominidae; genus Homo; species Homo sapiens. The sequence goes on along the minus strand of NC_000014.9, from coordinate 42,175,080 downwards.
AAATCAATTTATGTTTTCTATGTCATATGTATTATATACTATATTCTTACGATAAACTAGAGAAAATACAATGTTATTAAGAAAATCACCATGGAAAACTACACAGTCATAAAAAAAGAATGAAATCATGCCTTTTGAAGCAACATGAGTACAGCTGGAGGTCATTATCTTAATCCTCATGGTAGAAAGGACACGTATTATTACTCAGAGAGGTTGGGTGAATTGAGAATATCACAGAGTAAATTAGTGCAGAGTAGAGACTGGAAAAAAACTCTTCTGGTTTTGTGTTTTTTCATTATAATACATTTTCCCTTTGTAATATTATGTGACGTATTACATAAATATATATCTGTAATGGTGAGAAAACTATTTTAATTTTCACTCATACACAAACTCAACTGTTAAAAACACTTCAGTGCTTGTAAAAAACAAACAAAAGAAAACCTTAAGAGAGGCACTCAATTACAACTGCAACAAGTGCTGTTCTCGGCACAAACAGCTGTTCAAACAGTATTCCAAAGGGACAGGCAATATTACAAAGAGCCACTATAGAGTAAAATTGAAGGAGAGACAAGAGAGGCAAAAAAGGGAGCAGCTGAAGCAAGTAAGAAAAAACAAAACCGAACAAAACAAAAAAAAAACCTTAAGAGCCAATGGAGAGGCTAGGAAGTCCATGTCTCAAGCCTACACTACATCTTCTCCAGAGAGGTTAATGTGGAGGCTCTTCAAATCCTTGTGATGAAAGCTTTTATTGATTTGTATGTCTGGCCAAGTGATGTCTCTTCCATATATAGAGTCATCTTGCTATTGTTCAATCAATGTATCAGGGAAACTGTGGAATTCAGATCTTCAGTGCCCTACTCACCGTGAGGCTGGCACCAATGTTTCCACAATTTAGGCCAGACTATCATTAGAAATTTATCAATAATTTATAAAACTCTAATATTTTTTTTCTAATTTTACTATTTATCATGATAGATGTAATACCATTATATAAGAATCTTTGTTTTTAGGCTGAAAATTTTGTCTTTAAATAATCTGTAAAAAATTTATATTTTTATAACAATCCATATTGCTAGGTATTCATCTTGGGTATCTGGGTCTCTGCTTCACAGAGTGTCATGTTCTTCAATATTTACAGAGGAAATGCTATGATAGGTGGGCTTTTTAAATTTACTTCACACAACTGGGAAATATTAACATGTCTTTATTAAGTAAACCAATTAAGTGTTTCTACATGTCAGTTTAATTGTAATAGTATAAATTTATTCCTAATATCTTTTAACTTCCTCAAATATTGGCCATCACCTACATTTAAACTTTCCCATAACTACACATCGAGAACGACTCTTATGTAAATAGGAGTAGTTATGTAAACAGGTATGTAGAACAGAAAATAAGAAACATAGAAATGAAAGTATTTTTATTTATATCTTTTTATCCCAGTGTGATGGTTAGTTTTATGTGTCAATTTTGCTAGACTACAGTCTTCATTCAAACACTGATCTAGGTGTTAACTGTGAAGGAACTTTGTAGATATGACTTAAGTCCATAATAAGTTGACTTCAAATAAGAGAGATTATTGTACATAAACTCAGTGATTCAATCATTTGAAATGAATGAAAAGCACAGCTAAACATTCCCTGAAAGAGAAGAAAATTCACTCTTGGCAATAGTTTTAGCGTGCAGCTGAGAGCTTCAGTCAGCTGTCTCTGACAGCCTGCCCTAAGGATTTCAGATTTGCTTAGCCAGCCCCCATAATGGTCAATTCCTTGCACTAAATATCTTAATGGATATCTAAAATACATATAAAATTAATCTAATAATATGCTAATTTGCCATATATCTAAATATCTATCAATAATATGTATCTCTATATCTATTTATTTATTATTTCATTTTAGTTCGATAGAATCCTGACTGATTTTGGTATCAGAAGTGGTTCTACAGGAAAAGCATTTAAGAATAAGTTTTGTTGAATTGGTTCCAGGTTTTCTGGTATTATTTCTATAATTTGATTAAAGTCACTAATGATTCTTTTTCTAGTTAAAAAAGAGGGCATCAGTAGTACATAGCATGAAAGAGGTACACAAAATACCACCATTGGAGACTCCTAATCAAATACCTACAAAAGGTGCAGTCTTTATGGGTGACCATGTACCTGCCATCTAGAACATTTTAATTAAGTTAAAGAGTATAATGAGATAAGCCAGTTACTCCTATCTACACTGGAGAAAGAAGCCTGGGATCAGGAAGGCTGCGGTCAGGAAGAATAGGCTCAGGGCTCCAAATTCCCAGTCCATGCTCTGCATTAAGGAACTAAAAGCTTCTGTATCTGTCCTAAATGAAACTCTTATATCCTGTAGCCACCAGGACAATATTGTTGAAAACCCAACTCAAAGTCTAACTGTGAGTGGTTTAATTTCAATTTAAATTAAGTTCTTAACCTCACAGGGTGGCATCTGTTAAAATGAGGGCATTCAGTGAGAAGAAATGGGACCCAGAAAATTGGAATGAGTACATACGGAAGGATTCCAAAAAAGCTGGGTATATCTAACTCCTAAATAAAATCTGCTGAGTCTTCATTACTAGAAGTTCTTCCACTTCTGCCTGAAGAGGTTAGCCCTCTATTGCCTAAAGAACCTTTAATGACCTCCCATGGGGAAGCTACCTTGCATGGAGCTGCTGATTCTCCTCAAGGCCTATCAACCTCTTTACCCTTCTTTTGCTTCTAGACTTATAAATAAATCAAGTCCCAGAAAGTCTTGAAGAGTAAGGTACAAAGTATAACCCAAAATATGTTCACTGCATATCAAAATAACTGCAACAACATATTCCCATCCACAAAGACAGAAATCAGCAGAATATCTGTAGAAACCAATCTTAAAGATATGGGTTTTTCATAGAAAGAATATAAAGTTCAATCAAGGTTCTTAGCTTCCTTGCATTGGGTTACAATATGCTCCTTTAGCTAGTAGGAGTTTGTTATTACCTACCTTCTGAAGCCTACTTCTGTCAATTCATCAAACTCATTTTCCATCCAGTTTTGTTCCTTTGCTGGCAGAGGTGTGAACCTTTGGAGGAGAAGAGGCGTTCTGTTTTTTTTTAATTTTCAGCCTTTTGCACTGATTTTTGCTTATCTTTGTGGATTTGCTTACCTTTGGTCTTTGATGTTGGTGACCTTCATATGAGATTTTTGAGTGGTCATCCTTCATTTTGATGTTGATGTTATTGCTTTCTGTTTGCTAGTTTTCCTGCTAACAGTCAGGCCCCTCTTCTGCAGGTCTGCTGGAGTTTTCTGGAGGTCCACTCCAGACCCTGTTTCCTGGGTATCACCAGCAGAGACTGCAGAAAAGCAAAGATTGCTGCCTGCTCCTTCCTCTGGATGGTTCGTCCCAGAGGGGCAACCACAATATACCAGCTGGGGCTCTCCTGTATGAGGTGTCTGTCAACCCCTGCTGGGACGTGTCTCCCTGTCAGGAGGCATGGGGATCAGGGACCCAATTGAGGAGGCAGTCTATCACTTAGCAGAGCTTGAGCACTGTGCTGGGAGATTCACTGCTCTCTTCAGAGCTGGCAGGCAGGAACATTTATGTCTGCTAAAGCTGTGCCCACAGCCGTCCCTTCCCCCAGGTGCTCAGTCCCAGGGAGATGGAAGTTTTATCTATAAGCCCCTGATTGGGGCTGCTGCCTTTCTTTCAGAGATGCCCTGCCCACAGAGGAAGAATCTAGAGGGCCAGTCTGGCTACAGCGGCTTTGCAGCACTGGAGTGGGCTCCACCCCATCTGAACATCCAGGAAGCTTTGTTTACACCGTAAGAGGAAAACCACCTACTCAAGCCTCAGTAATGGCAGATGCCCCTCTCCCCACCAAATTCGAGTGTCCCAGGTTGACTTCAGACTGCTGTGCTGGCAGCAAGAATTCTAAGTCAGTGGATCTTAGCTTGTTGGGCTCCATTGGAGTGGGATACACTGAGAAAGACCACTTTGCTCCCTGGCTTCAGCCTCTTTTCCAAGGGAGTAAACGGTTCTCTCTCACTGGCATTCCAGACGCCACTGGGGTATGAAGAAAAACTCCTGCAGCTAGCTCAGTGTCTGCCCAAACAGGTAACAGGAACTGCTAACTAGAATAACAAGTTTAGAGAAGAATACAAATGACCTGATGGAGTTGAAAAACACAGCATGAGAACTTCATGAAGCATACACAAGTATAAACAGCCTAATCAATCAAGCTGAAGAAAGGATATCAGAGATTGAAGATCAACTCAATGAAATAAAGCATAAAGACAAGATTAGGGAAAAAAGAATGAAAAATAATGAACAAAGCCTCCAATAAATTTAGGACTATGTGAAGAGATCAAACCTACATTTGATTGGTATACCTGAAAGTGACAGGGAGAACGGAACCAAGTTGGAAAACACACTTCAGGATATTATCCAGGAGAACTTCCCCAACCTAGCAAGACAGGCCAACATTCAAATTCAAGAAATACAGAGAACACCACAAAGATACTCCTCAAGAAGAGCAACCACAAAGATACTCCTCAAGAAGAGAAGCCCCAAGACACATAATTAACAGATTCACCAAGGTTGAAATGAAGGAAAAAATGTTAAAGGCAGCCAGAGAGAAAGGTCAAGTTACCCAAAAAGGGAAGACCATCAGACTAACAGTGGATCTCTCCGCAGAAACCCTGCAAACCGGAAGAGAGTGGGGGCCAACATTAAACATTCTTACAGAAAAGAAATTTCAACCCAGAATTTCATATCCTGCCAAACTAAGCTTCATCAGTGAAGGAGAAATAAAATCTTTTACAGACAAGCAAATGCTGAAGGATTTTGTCACCATCAGGCCTGCCTTACAAGAGCTCCTGAAGGGAGCACTAAATATGGAAAGGAAAAATCAGTACCAGCTACTGCAAAAACATACCAAAATGTAAAGACCATTGACACTATGAAGAAACTGCGTCAACTAATAGGCAAAATAACCAGCTAGCACCAAGATGATAGGATCAAACATACACATAACAATGTTAACCTTAAATGTAAATGGGCTAAATGCCCCAATTAAAAGACACAGGCTGGCAAATTGGATAAAGAGTCAAGACCCATCAGTGTGCTGTATTCAGGAAACCCATCTGATATGCAAAGACATACATAGGCTCAAAATAAAGGGATGGAGGAAGATTTACCAAGCACATGGAAAGCAAAAAAAGCAGGGGTAGCAACCCTAGTCTCTGATAAAACAGACTTTAAACCCACAAAGATCAAAAAAGACAAAGAAGGGCATTACATAATGGTAAAGGGATCAATGCAACAATAAAAGCTAACTTTCCTAAATATATGCACCCAATACAGGAGCACCCAGATTCATAAAGCAAGTTCTTACAGACCTACAGAGAGACTTAGACTCCCACACAATAACAGTGGGAGACTTTAACACCCCACTGTCAATATTAGACAGATCAACAAGACAGAAAATTAACAAGGATATCCAGGACTTGAACTCAGCTCTGGACCAAGTGGACATAATAGATATCTACAGAACTCTACACCCCAAGTCAACAGAATATACATTCTTCTGAGCACTACATAGCAATTATTCTAAAATTGACCACATAATTGGAAGTAAAACACCCCTCAGCAAATGCAAAAGAACAGAAATAATAACTAACAGTCTCTCAGACCACAGTGCAATCAAATTAGAACTCAGGATTAAAAAACTCACTCAGAACTGCACAACTACATGGAAACTAACAACCTGCTCCTGAATGACTACTGTGTAAATAATGAAATGAAGGCAGAAATAAAGATGTTCTTTGAAACCAATGAGAACAAAGAAGTAACATACCATAATCTCTGGGATACATTTAAAGCAGTGTGTAGAGGGAAATTCATAGCACTAAATGCCCACAAGAGAAAGCAGGAAAGATCTAAAATCAACACCGTAACATCACAATTAAAAGAACTAGAGAAGCAAGAGGAAACAAATTCAAAAGCTAGCAGAACGCAAGAAATAACTAAGATCAGAGCAGAGCTGAAGGCAATAGAGACACAAAAAAACCATTCAAAAAATCATTGAATCCAGGAGCTGGTTTTTTGAAAAGAAGAACAAAATAGATAGACTGCTAGTCAGACTAATAAAGAAGAAAAAATAGAAGAATCAAATAGACACAATAAAAAAATGATAAAGGGGATGTTACTACTGATCCCACAGAAATACAATCTACCATCAGATAATACTATACACACTTCTATGCAAATAAACTAGAACATCTAGAAAAAATGGATAAATTCCTGGACACATAAATCCTCCCAAGACTAAATGAGGAAGAAGTCGAACCACTGAATAGACCAAAAACAAGTTCTGAAATTGAGGCAGTAATTAATAGCTGCCAACCAAAAAAAGCCCAAGACCAGATGGATTCACAGTGGAATTCTACTAGAGGTACAAAGAGGAGCTGGTATCATTCTTTCTAAAATTATTCCAAGCAATAGAAAAAGAGGGACTCATCCGTAACTCCTTTTATAAAGCTAGCATCATCCTGATACCAAAACCTGGCAGAAACACAACAAAAAAATAATATTTTAGGCCAATATCCCTGATGAATATCCATGCGAAAATCCTCAATAAAATACTGGCAAACCAAATCCAGCAGCACATCAAAAAGCATTTCCACCACTATCAAGTTGGCTTCATCCCTGGGATGCAAGGCTAAGTCAACATACACAAATCAATAAAAATAATCCATCACATAAACAGAACCAATGACAAAAACACATGATTATCTCGATAGATGGAGAAAAGGCCTTCAATAAAATTCAACACCCCTTCATGCTAAAAACATCAGCCATGACGCATGTCAAAATAATAAGAGCTATTTATGACAAACCCACAGCCATTATCATACTGAATGGGCAAAAGTTGGAAGCATTCCCTTTGAAAATTGGCACAAGACAAGGGTACCCCCTCTCACCACTCCTATTCAACATAGTTTCGGAAGTTCTGGCCAGGGCAATCAGGCAAGAGACAGAAATAAAGGATATTCAAATAAAAAGAGAGGAAGTCAAATTATCTCTGTTCGCAGATGACATGATTGTATATTTAGAAAACCCCATCATCTCAGCCCCAAAACTCCTTAAGCTGATAAGCAACTTAGCGAAGTCTCAGGACACACAATCAATGTTCAAAAATGACAAGCATTCACATACACCAATAATAGACAAACAGAGAACCAAATCATGAGTGAACTCCCATTCACAATTGCTACAAAGAGAATAAAATATCCAGGAATATGACTTTACAAAGGATGTGAAGGACCTCTTCAAAGAGAACTACAAACCACTGCTCAAGGAAATAAGAGAGGACAAAAACAAATGGAAAAAATATCCATGATCATTGATAGGAAGAATCAATATTTTGAAAATGGACATACTACCCAAAGTAATTTATAGATTCAATGCTATTCCCATCAAGCTACCAATGACTTTCTTCATAGAAAAAAAACTACCTTAAATTTCACATGGAACCAAAAGAGAGCTCACACAGCCAAGACAATCCTAAGCAAAAAGAATAAAGGTTGAGGCACCATGCTACCTGAGTTCAAACTATACTTCAAGGCTACAGTAACCAAAACAGCATGGTACTGGTACCAAAACAGAGATATAGACCAAGGAAACAGAACAGAGGCCTCAGAAATAACACCACACATCTACAACTAACTGATTTTTAACAAACCTGACACAAAAAAGCAATAGGAAAAGGATCCCCTATTTAATAAGTGGTGTTGGTAAAATTGGCTAGCTATATGCAGAAAACTGAAACTGGACCCCTTCCTTACACCTTATACAAAAATTAACTCAAGATGGATTAAAGACTTAAATGTAAGACATAAAACCATAAAAACCCTAGAAGAAAACCTAGGCAATACCATTCATGACATGGACATGGGCAAAGACTTCATGACTAAAACACCAAAAGCAATAGCAACAAAAGCCAGAATTGACAAATGGGATCTAATTAAACTAAAGAGCTTCTGCACAGAAAAGAAAAAAGAAAAAGAGAAGAAAAAGAAAAGAAAAAAAAGCTATCATCAGAGTAAACAGGCAACCTACAGAATAGGAGAAAATTTTTGCAATCTAGCCATCTGACAAAGGGCTAATATCCAGAATCTATGAAGAAATGAAACAAATTTACAAGAAAAAAAAAAACAGCCCCATCAAAAAGTGGGCAAAAGATATGAACAGACATTTCTCAAAAAAAAACATTTATGCAGCCAACAAACATTTGAAAAAAAGCTCATCATCACTGGTCATTAGAGAAATGCAAATCAAAACTACAATGAGATACCATCTCACACCAGTTAGAATGGCGATCATTAAAAAATCAGAAAACAACGGATGCTGGAGAGGATGTGGAGAAATAGGAACACTTTTACACTGTTGGTGGGAGTATAAATTAGTTCAACCATTGTGGAAGACAGTATAGCGATTCCTCAAGGATCTAGAACCAGAAATGCCATTTGAACCAGCAATCCCATTACTGGGTATATACCCAAAGGATTATAAATCACTCTACTATAAAGACTCATGCACACATATATTTATTGCAGAACTGTTCACAATAGCAAAGACTTGGAACCAACCCAAATGCTCATCAATGATAAACTGGACAAAGAAAATGTGGCACACATACACCATGGAATATTACACAGAGATAAGGTAGAATGAGTTCATTTCATTTGCAGGGATATGGATGAAGGTGGAAACCATCATGCTCAGCAAACTAACACAGGAACAGAAAACCAAACACCGCATGTTCTCACCATAAGTGGGAGTTGAACAATGAGAACATATGGGCACAGGGAGGGGAACATCACACACTGGGGCCTGTCGGGGGGTGGGGGGCAAGGGGAGGGATAGCATTAGGAGAAATACCTAATGTAGATGACAGGTTGATGGGTGCAGCAAACCACCATGGCACAAGTATACCTATGTAACAAACCTGCAGGTTCTGCCCATGTATCCCAGAACTTAAGTATAAAAAAAAAAAAAAAAAAAAAAAGAAAAGACACATGCAAAAAAAACCCAAAAAACACAACAAGTAAACAAACAAAAGTTCAATCAGCCTGAATTGATTGATATGGGCCCATTAAATGAAAATTCTGCATTTAATATTTTAGCTCAATGATTTACAGAAGGCTCTAACTTTTGTTTATTTGGTTGGCTGAAACGTGGACCCAAAGGTGGCCTGTACTAAATAAAATTTAAATACCAATACCAACAACTCCCCTGGTATAGTGTAGAGGAAGATATTTAAAGACTTAGGGAGATTGAAATATTATGCTAGATATATAATGTAAGATGTCCTCACTCGTCTTAAGAGATTCTAAAGGACATATCTTTTATCATGTCTCTAATAAAAACATTTGTGAGGGGAGCTCCAGTATCCTTGAAGGGATTTATGCCCACTCTTATTGATAGGTCAGAAATCAGAAATCACAGTGAGGCCTTCCACTATCAAACTGGGATTCTTAAATGTCATGGGATAATGAGATCCCCGGGTGGTAGTGGCTCAGTCGCAGTATTTAGTTGTCAAAGCAACTTGGCCATACTCTGATAGATAATGGTTTCAAATAATTAACCAGAACAATTTGTCTAACAGAAACCTATGGCATTGGCTAGTGTCCCTAAGAAAGAAACAGATGGGAACTGTATTAAATCTGTATTGGATATGTTTTAGCAGAGGATGGTGACAAGAAGTTCACCATTACTAGGCATAGAGAACAGAAATCTAACCTGAATCACCAAAAGAAAGATTCATGGTCCCCCAATTCCCAGAGTTGAGCCAGTTTATAGAATGAATAAAAGGGAGACTGAGTCCCCTAGAGGAAGGCCTCTGCTACGTTACCAAAAATTTGTATTGTTAATCATTCTTCCTCCCTTCCCCAAGTAATCCATGTCCATTTACCAAGGTAAAAGTGAAATAATTAGAGTATTCAGGAAATACTGGATACTATAATCCCTGAACTGATACTAATTCCAGGATACATAAAACTTCACTAGGGTCCACCAGTCACCATAGGGGCTCTGCAGGTCAGGTAATCAATGGAGTTTTAGCTCAGGTCATATTACAGTTGACCTATTGGGTCCATGACCTCATCCAATACTTATTTTCCCAGGTCTGGAATGTATAATTGGAATAGATAACACTTACAATTCCCACATCAGGTCTCTGACTTGTAGAATAAGGGTTATTAGGCTAAGCAGCAGCCACCAGAACTGCCTTTAACTGCAAAAACAGTAAACTGAAAGCAATGCTCCATTCCTGGATATATTGCATCAATCAGTGCCACCACCAAGAACTTGAAAGATGCAGGTGGAATTCCCGAAAATCAACGATGAACTTGCCTATTTGGCTTGTACAAAAAGCAGATGGATCCTGATGAATGAGAGTGGATTATCATAAACTTAATCATCTGGTAACTGTAATTATAGCTGTTATTCCAATTGTGGTTTTGTTGCTTGAGAAAATTAGTACATCTTTTCACATCTGGTATGCAGCTAAACAGACAAATGTTTTTCTTTTTCAATATCTGTCAATAAGATCACAGAAAGCAGTTGCTTCCTGTAATACATCTTCACTATTCTATTTTAGGCCTGTGTCAACTCTCCAGCCCCATGTCATAATTTATTCCATACAGACCATGCTTGCTGTTCTCTTCCACAAGACATTATGTTGCTTCATTTCATTGATGATATTATGAAATTAGCTATCATTAGCAGATTGTAGTATTTTATCTAGACATATTGATAAGGAACTTTTGTGTCAGAGGCTAAGAAATAAATATTACAAAAATTTAGAGGTTCTACTTCAGTGAAATTTCTTGAGAACCAGTGGCATGGGGCATGTTGAGATGTCCTTTCAGAGGTGGCCTTGGCCCCTACTCCTGCTATGTTATCTTTCTGTTTCATATAATCCTTATGTACTCACAGGGAGTTCCCTCTGAGAAGTTGACAACAGAAGAGAAAATTCAGGCCAGGTTTAAAGATGCTCTTATTTCTTCTATCATACTATAAATAAGACCTAGTGATAGATACATCAGTACTGTGACTGTTTACCATAATCTATTTTACATCTTAAAAAAGCTAGAGGAGAATAAATTGAACATTTCTAGCATAAAGAAAAGACAAATATTTAGGGTGATAGATATCTCAAGTACATTGATTTGATATTTACAAATTATATGAATGCATTAAATTGCCACATGTGCCACAAAACAGTGTACAACTATTATGCATCAATAGTTATAATCATAAATGGTGGTGCAAGATATGCAAGAACTCCATGAAAGTAGAAAGCAGCCGTAAAGAAGAATTAGATAATGTCTTTGCAGGGACATGGATGTTAGGGTGATCAGACCCAACCCCAGGTTGTGGGGGCAACAAAGTCCGGGGGAGTCAAAAGAATGAGAAAAGACAGTTTGAGAGAGAAAGTGGGTCCAGGGGACCATCATGAGTGTGGAAGCTGTGAAGGTCCCAAGCTCTGGAAGCCCAGACTATTTACTGGTGATAAAGAAACAAGTGGTGAGAATGTGGGGTTGAAAGGGATCATTGCATTAATCACATGATTTACAGCTGTGACACTTTAGCATCTGCTCTGCTACTTGAGATAATGGAGAGCAGGTGCTTTAATTCAAGATACAATCAATCCTGGGAGAGCAAGGAGCAAGGAGCCAGCAAGTCTATACACATTCCAGAGGCTACAAGGGGTTTTATACCCTGAGCCCTGGATTCTGTCCAAGCCACAAGGGGTTTTATGCCCTGGGCTTAGACTATGGTGCATCAGGGTAGCCGTCCACCCTTTAGTACAGAGCTTGGTGTTCCAAAGGCCACAGGAGGTTTTAGACCCTGGACCCCGGACATGTTCCAACACTCTTTTACATTATGTCAGACATGCAAGCCCTGCCTCAGCTTCTCCCAACACTTAGCTTTTCTCCCAACAATGGATGGGGCTGGAGGCCATTATCCTTAGCAAACTAGGGGAGGAACAGAAAACCAAACACCACATGTTCTCTCTTACTAGTGGGAGCTAAATGATGAGAACACATGAACACATAGTGGGGAACAACAAACACTGGGGCCTATCGGAGGGTGGAGGATGGAAGGAGGGAGAGGATCAGGAAAAATAACTAATGACTATAGGCTTAATACCTGGTTTAGAAATAATCTTTACAACAAACTCCCATGACACAAGTTTACTTATGTAACAAACCTGCACTTGTACACCTGAACTTAAAAGTTAAAAAAGAAAGCAAGCTGTGGCCCTGCAGCTCATTTTGAGACATCATTGAAGAACAGACATGAAGGGAAATATTCTCAGTAGGCAGAATTTTGAGCAGCTATACCTGGTTGTTCATTTTTCCCTAAAGGAGAAATGGTCAGGAGTAAGAGTTCATTACTCTGATTGGCTGTTGCCAATGGTTTGGCTTGATAATCAGGATGTACCCAAATGGGTAATTGTCAATAATAAGGTCTGGAGAATTGATATATGTATAGAATTCTCCAGGGAATGAATTTGAAGATATTTGTGTTTCATATGAATGCTTACCAAAGGGTGACTTCAAGAGAGTAAGATTTTAATAATCAAGTGGAAAAAATGAATGAACCATTCTATGGATACCAGTCAGCCTCTTTTCTTAGCTATCCCTGTCATCACCAAATGGGATCATAAACAAAGCGGCCATGGTGACAGGGATGAGGGCTGTGTATGGGCTCAGCAACATGAACATCCACTCACAAAGACCAACTTGGTGACAGCAACTACTGAGTGCCCATTCTGACAGCAGTGGAGACCAAAACTGAATCCCTGATGTGTCATCATTTTCCAAGGAGATAAGCCAGATATCTAGTGATAGACTGATAATATTAGAACAGTTTCATCCTGAAAGGGGCAGCTCATTGTTTTTTCTAGAATAGACACTTACTCCGGACATGGATTTGCCTTTCATGCATTCAATAGTTCTGCCAAAACTACCATCTATGGACTTACAGAATGTGGTATTCACATTCACAGTATTCTACATAGCACTGCCTATGATCAAATGATTCACTTCACAATGGATGAAGTGCAGCAATGGAACCATGTTCATGAAATTACTGGTATTACCATGTTCTCCAATCATTATGAACCATCTAGCTTGATAAAATAATATTACTACCTGTTGAAGACTCAGTTATCATGACAATGAGCATTGTAGAAAGGTTGTAGGTTGGAGCAATGTCTTCCATAATGACATATATGCCCTAAACTGTTATCTGATGTATAGCACTATTTTTCATAGACAGAATTCACAGATCCAGAAATCAATGAATGAAAATGGAAGTAGCACCATTTCCTTTTTAATAAGTTGATTAATTAATTTATTTATTTTTTTGAGACAGGGTCTCTCTCTGTCACCCAGGCTGGAGTGCAGTGGCCTATCTCAGCTCACTGCAACCCCCGCCTCCTGGGTTCAAGCGATTCTCACACCTCAATCTCCCTAGTAGCTGTGACTACAGGCGTGCACCACCACACCTGGCTAATTTTTGTCTTTCTTGGTAGAGATGGGGTTTCACTATGTTGGCCAGGCTGCTCTAAAACTCCTGACCTCAAGTGATCTACCCGCTTTGGCCTCCCAAAATGCTGGGATTACAGGTGTGACCCACTGCACCCAGTCTACCATTTACTATTATCCCTGGTGACTCACTAGCAAAATTTTTGCTTCCGTCCCTGTGCTTACACTCTTCTGGTCCAGAGGTCTCTGCTTTTGAGGAAAAAATATTTCCACCAGAATACACAATATTGATTCCACTGAACTGAAACTCTGAGAATATTATAAGTCTATTTTGACTCCTTTTGCCTCTGAATCAACAGACAAATAAAGGAGTTAATCTTCTAGCTGGGTGACTAATCCTAATTACTAATGGAAAATACAACTGTTAAAACAAAATTGGAGGTATTAAAAATAAAGTAAAACTGGAATATAGGTGATCTTTTAGGGTATCTATTAGTACTACCATGACTTGTAAATAAAGTCAATGGAAAACATCAACAAATCAATTCAGACCATAGTGATAATGAACAGACCCTTCAGAAATGAAGGTTTGGGTTATCCTATGGAGTGGGCTGAATTTTGGACCCTTAAAAGGATATGCCCAAATCCAAATTCCTATCATCTGAGAAAATACTAACTTTTATGAAAAAAAAATGTAATTAAGAATCTTCAAAGAAGAAGGTTATCCTGGATTTTCTAGGTGGACCCTAAATGCAGTCACATGTATCCTTATAAGAGACAAGCAGAGGGAATTTTGAAACAGACACATAAAAGAGGAGGAATCAATGTGATTACAAAGGCAGAGACTGAAGCAATGCAGCCACAAGCTCAGGAATACTAGAACAACCACTGGAAGCTGCAAGAGACAACGGATGGATCTCCCATAGAGCTCCTGGAAAGAGTGGGCCCTGCCAACACTTTTACTTTGAATTTCCAGCTTTTATAACTGTGACAATAAATTTCTATTGTTTTAAGCCAAAAGCCTGCAGTAATTTGCTATGACAGCTACAGGAAACTAATATGTCCCACCATACAAAAACCACAACCAGCTCAGGTGCTTGTGAGGGTAAAGGGAATATGAAATATGTAATGAAAGAAGATAGTTATAAATAGCAATTATGACCATGTTGCAGAAAAAAAGGAATGTAATAGTTATGAATTCCTCTCCCTATTTTGTCAGGAATATGTTAGTATATTTTAAACAAACATATTTTTTTCTTTTATTTCTTCTCTCCTCCTCTTATGATCTCATGGAAGATGTATTATAATAATGCAGTGTTACAGTTATATCAAAGAAGAGGAAACATCACCCAAGGGCTTTGCATTCTCTTCTGTGGAAAGCATTTGTGTATTTTCAGTAGTATGAAGAAAGATCAAAGTAAGACTTTGTAATTTTCTTTATTTGACTAATATATGTGGTTTAAGAAAATGTACAGGGGTGCCAAGTCAACAAACGGTAAACTGTGATGGGTAGTTTCACGTGTTAACCTGTATATATTACAATTCCCAGTAATTCAAAAAAAAAAAATCCAAGATAATATTGTTTGAAAGGCATTTTGTAGATGTGATTAAGTTTACAATCAGTTGCCTTCAAGTAAGGAAGATTATCCTGATTCAATTAATTGAATAAGGTCCACCATGATCACAGCAGTGCTGAAGCTTGTTTGAAGAAGAAATCCTATCTATGGACAGAAAATTCAGCTTCAGCCCAAGAGTCAAAACCTGCTCTTCTTTGTGACCGGCTAGTCCCTACAACTGCATAAACCAATTCCTTAAAATAAATTTCTTAATATATATCTTCATTAATTCTGTTTCTCTGGTCGAACGCTGACTGATAAACCCAGCAGAGGATTTGTTACTCAAGGCATCCTTGTTTCACTGAAATCATTTATGTCTTGTGATTTTCACTCTAAACTAGGAATACAGTTATAGGATATACTTCTGATTTACCATAGAGTACCTACTGAACTACACTAGAGAGCTGAAATGAATTACATTTAAAAGAAAGAAAGAAAGAAGGAAAAGAAAGAAAGAAAGGAAGGAAGGAAGGAAGGAAGGAAGGAAGGAAGGAAGGAAGGAAGGAAGGAAGGAAGGAAGGAAAGAAAGAGAAAAAGAAAGAAAGAGAGAGGAGAAATGGGAAAAATTCTAGTGCTTAACATTTTTACTGCTAGAGAAGTCTAGAGAATTCTTTCCCTATTTTGTCAACCTGATCCAGGGAAATAGATCTTTTCCAGAAAGAGTATTTTTTTACTCTACAGAATTTTAACATCCATCAATGTATTTATCATTCTCCCGAAGAGTTAAAGGACATTCGCTTTGTTTTTTTACATGACCCCCTTCATTCTTTTTACAATGTCAGTCATTATTCTAGACATGTAGAAAATGTAATCTAATATTGTCTAACATTCTAGTTCTACTTTTCTTTATGAAACCATAAATTTGATATTATATTATCATTATGATTTTATAGTTAATATTTAATTGTATTACTTATGTGATTTTTAGTAATGTTGAATTTTTCATGTTTGTCATTTATATACTTTCTTTTGATAAATGTTTATTCATGTTAGTTACTCACTTTTTTATGTGATTATTTGTTTTCCTTTTTTCTTGCCTGTTTGCATCCCTTGTAAATTCTGGATATCAGTCCTTTGTTGGATGCATAGTTTGCAAATATTTTATCCCACTCTGTGGGTTATCTGTTCACTCTGCTAATTGCTTTTTTTGTTGTACAGAAGCTTTTTAATTTAATTAGGTACCATTTATTTATTTTCGTTTTTGTTGCATTTGCTTTTGAGGTCTTAGTCATGAATTTTTTGCCTAGGCCAATGTCCAGAAGAGGTTTTCATAGGTTGTTTTAGAATTTTATTGATTCATGTCATAGATTTTAAGTCTTTGATCCACCTTGAGTTGATTTTTGTATAAGGTGAGAGATAAAGATCCAGTTTCATTCTTCTACATGTGGCTAGCCAGCTTTTCCAGCATGATTTATTGAATGCGGTGTCCTTTCCCCGATTTAGGTTTTTGTATGCTTTGTCAAAGATCAGTTGGTTCTAAGTACTTGGCTTTATTTCTGTGTTCTCTATTCTGTTCTATTGGTCTATATGTCTACTTTTATACCAATACCATGCTGTTTTGGTAACTACAGGCTTGTAGTATAATTTGAAGTCCAGTAATATGATATTTCCAAATTGGCTCTTTCTCAAATATGATTGGCTATTTATGAGTATCTATTTTATTTTAAATCTCCTTCTTTTACTAAATTAATAAGTTTATAGCTAAGTTCTATAGAATATACACAATAGGTCCAACATATACAATCTTTTGTGCATGATTATGCAGCTGATTGTTTCTCCGAGCATTCAGTCATAGTGGTTGTTTTTTTCATGTGTGTTTTATTTATTTATCTGATTATTTTGAGGTTATTATCTTCCTTAAAATTTATCTGTGATATTCTTTAAAACCTGAATATGAAATAACTCTATTGAAGAAATGTTTCTGCTTGGTAATTAAAAGGACTTAAATTTTGCAGTGGGTTATTGTTTAGGATGCAGAGAAATTAAAATTAGAGCTACAAATTTCCATTAGGCATAGCTTATGATTTATAATTATCAGAATGAAATTTTTGCAAATTTTCCCCTCACATTGAACTGACAGAGAGAGGCAAATATCATGATCTCTCTCAACTAGGTCAATTCCTAGTTCACTCACTGGTATTGTTGCCTATTGCGTTAGCAAATCACTTTTTTTTTTTTTTTTTTTTTTTTTAATGCTTAACGTTTATTTCAACTTCCCATGTTTCCATGGACCCTGGCCTGTTCCCTTTCCTCTCAGCTCTGGATCTTTTAAAACCTGTGTGCTTAACTACCAGGTAGTGGTTGATGCCTCTAGCAAAAAACACCAGCATAGTGTCTAGATTTATGATTTCTCATTACTTCTGGCTTTGGAGAATTACCTTACATTTTATGTAGCTCTAGAATATATTTTACGTTTGAAAAATTTAGTTTTTTAGGATATCTATAACAGATGAGTTTTTTTTGGTTTTCTGCCATCTCTCTGAAAATGGAAATGAGTTAAGTTTTTATAGTTTTGGTCATGTCCCTTTTCGAAAGACTTTATTCTTTCAATCTGAAGCAGTTTAGGAGTGAGGAAAGACAATGAAGTGATAAAGGAATTGCCAAATCTTCTTTGAAAATATAAATACAGGATAGTTTATTCTTGAGTGAAGGTGTAGAGAAGACTGTGTGTTTTAAAATTGTGATTATGAATAAAAAAACATAATGGTTACTGCTGAACTAAAACAACAAACACAAGTTGCATAGTCAACTATTTTGTTTGCAATCAAAACAGCTTTTAGTTTAGACTGGAAATACTGGATTTTACCCAAGAAATATAAATATATAAATTATTTTGTTCAAATCATCTTTCTTGTTTTCACTTGTCACAGGGAACAATTCTCACAAATACTCACAGAGTTACTTGTAAAAGCATGTGATATGAAAATTTATGAGATTTAAACCAGTGTTTAAGTTCTGGAGGACAAAGGGGAGTCAGTTCAAGTCTCTCCTTTAACATTTTTGTTAATATGAAGTAATATTCTGGAGCAGACAAGCACACACAATTTGAACTCTGAAAGTGTTGATTAAAAATGAAAAGGTTTTAGAAAGGCCAATCTCCTGTGTATTGTCTCTAAATGGAACTCTGTTCTCTGTTTACAGTGGCAACTGCAGCTGCAATTACATGACTTATTTAAATATTTCTTGGTAAGCAAGTCTTCACAGCTAGATGTAATATTTCCAATTATGTTATCAAATAGGGAGAGCAAAAGCAATGTGTATTCAAATAATCCATACTTCAAACCAGATAAAAATACTCATAGAGCAATAATGTGTGAAGAAAAAACAAGAATCCTTATTAGATTAGTTTAATGTATCGATCCCATTACAATGCATATGCAATCATGTGATAATAAACGAATGGTCTAGATGACATGTTAGTCTTGTGATATTAATTTTGTACAATTTTCAGTAGGCTGGCAGTCTAATTTTAGTTGAGCCTTGCGAAACTGTAAATTTATATATTGAAATATTTTTGAAATGTGTATATATCCTGAAACTTTGTAGCAAAAGTCATTTTTTAAAAACGCTTTTATCTTTGTAGGTAAGATGATGAATAATTTGTTTATTAATTCAAAATACTTATTGTGCAGAAACTCTGTGTCAGACATGTTAAAGACCAGAGAAACAGCCATGAACAAAGAGGAAAGGCCTGCTCCAAAGCAGCTTTCATTCTAGAGAGAAGAGGAGGAAATCATATATCTAATATACTAGACAGGGGCAAGTGCTAAGAAGAAAAATTAAAAGTTAAAGGACTAGGAGTGATTAGGAATGCTCTATTTTAGGTAGATGATTAGAGACTTGACTCTCTGATGTCAGGTAAAATAAATACTAAGACAAAGATGTATTTTCTTTCCACTTTCTTTTATAACATATAATTTACATTAGTGGTTAGACACATGTGACTTGAATTTATCAAATAATTTAGTATTAACATTGTATTTTATAATAATGAAAGATTTGTACTCACCCAATTGTCTTTGACATTTTATTCCTGTTATGGTAAATACTACATATAGGTGAAAAGATTTGTCTAAAGCAGGAAACAAAGTTTGTTGTTATACAACAGAACACATTTACTTGGCTTATAGTAAACTAGCTTATAGTAAACTTAGCATCATGCGTAACCAATTTCGTTAAAATAACCACCAATATACTCAAAACTACATAATAAAATAGGTTTTATATCGAAGTATGCAATTATTGCCAAGGTATTATGAACTAGTAAATTCAAGAAACATTACACATGTTTACCTATGACAAACCTGTACATTCTGAACTTAAATTAGAAGTTGAAAATAAAAAAAAAATTACATTATTTCTAAAGAAGACGTCACTTGTTAATATTGGTGCAAATGTAATTGTAGTTTTTGTCATTACTTTTGCCTTTTCACAAACCTAATAACTGGCAACTCAAGAGCCAATAATAATAAGATGATGAACATGGATGTATATGGAGGTGATATCTTTTTTGAACATTCCAAAAAATTTTCGTATTCACAGTTCTTATGTTTCTATTATTTTTTTTTTTAGCTGACTGAGTTTATACATTCACTTCTGGGACCTAAGCTGTAAGAGAAACTAGGGTCTCAAAATATATTTATTCTGGGTGAAATGACAAATGACTGTCATTTGGTTGATAGGCAGATGCTTCTTTTTTTCTTTTCTTTTTTTTTTTTTTTTTTTTTTTTTGAGACAGTCTTACTCTGTTGCCCAGGCTGGAGTCCAATGGTGAGAACTTGGCTCACTGCAACCTCTGTGTCCCGGGTTCAAGTGATTCTCCTGTCTCAGCCTCCTGAGTAGCTGGGACTATAGGCATGCCCCACCACACTTAGCTAATTTTTGTATTTTTAGTAAAGATGGGGGTATCATCATATTGGCCAGTCTGGTCTTGAACTCCTGAACCCAGGTGATCCTCCTGCCTCGGCCTCCCAAAGTGCTGGGAATACAGGCAGGAGCACCATTCCCAGCCATTTGGCAGATGCTTTATTCTGCTTTAGGAAAGAACTATAAGACTAACAGAGAGATTTTGCTTATATACATATATTTTCCATATGGTTCTTTCATTATTATTAGTAGTAGTAGTAGCAGTATTTTGAGTCAGTGTCTCACTCTGCCTCTCAGGCTGGAGTACAGTGGAGCGGTCTCGGCTCACTGCAACCTCTGCTTCCTGGGCTCCAGAGAGTCTCCTGCCTCAGCCTCCCCAGTAGCTGGGATCACAGGCCTGCACCACCATGCCCGGCTATATTTTTGGTATTTTGGGTAGAGATGGGGTTGCACCATGATGGCCAGGCTGGTCTCGAACTCCTGAGTACAAGCAATCCACCCACCTTGGTCTCCCAAGTGTTGGGATTACAGGCATGAGCCATTGCACTGAGTCTAAATTTTTAAATAAATCATTTCCAGTGTAGATACAATTTGTGAAATGCAACAAAAGTAAAATTTACTCTAGGTTTAAATAAAATTGTGAATAACTAATTTTATAAGTGTTTCTTTATTTTCAGATTATAAAACCTAATTAGACACAATAACGATATCCGAATCTATTGAAAAAGAAAACTATAAGTTACCTTGGGCAGTATGGCCATTTTCACAATATTGATTCTTCCTACCCATGAGCATAGAATGTTCTTCCATTTGTTTGTATCCTCTTTTATTTCATTGAGCAGTGGTTTGTAGTTCTCCTTGAAGAGGTCCTTCACGTCCCTTGTAAGTTGGATTCCTAGGTACTTTATTCTCTTTGAAGCAATTGTGAATGGGAGTTCACTCATGATTTGGCTCTCTGTTTGTCTGTTATTGGTGTGTAAGAATGCTTGTGATTTTTGCACATTGATTTTGTATCCTGAGACTTTGCTGAAGTTCCTTACCAGCTTAAGGAGATTTTGGGCTGAGACAATGGGGTTTTCTAGATATACAACCATGTCATCTGCAAACAGGGCCAATTTGACTTCCTCTTTTCCTAATTGAATACTCTTTATTTCCTTCTCCTGCCTAATTGCCCTGGCCAGAACTTCCAACACTATGTTGAATACGAGTGGTGAGAGAGGGCAACCCTGTCTTGTGCCAGTTTTCAAAGGGAATCCTTCCAGTTTTTGCCCATTCAGTATGATATTGGCTGTGGGTTTGTCCTAGATAGCTCTTATTATTTGGAGATACGTCCCATCAATACCTAATTTATTGAGAGTTTTCAGCATGAAGGTTGTTGAATTTTGACAAAGGCTTTTTCTGCATCTGTTGAAATAATCATGTGGTTTTTGTCTTTGGTTCTGTTTATATGCTGGATTACATTTATTGATTTGCGTATATTGAACCAGCCTTGCATCCCAGGGATGAAGCCCACTTGATCATGGTGGATAAGCTTTTTGATGTGCTGCTGGATTCGGTTTGCCAGTATTTTATTGAGGATTTTTGCATCAATGTTCATCAAGGATATTGATCTAAAATTCTCTTTTTTGGTTGTGTCTCTGCCTGGCTTTGGTATCAGGATGATGCTGGCCTCATAAAATGAGTTAGGGCGGATTCCCTCTTTTTCTACTGATTGGAATAGTTTCAGAAGGAATGGTACCAGTTCCTCCTTGTACCTCTGGTAGAATTCGGCTGTGAATCCATCTGGTCCTGGACTCTTTTTGGTTGGTAAGCTATTGATTATTGCCACAATTTCAGAGCCTGTTATTGGTCTATTCAGAGATTCAACTTCTTCCTGGTTTAGTCTTGGGAGGGTGTATGTGTCGAGGAATTTATCCATTTCTTCTAGATTTTCTAATTTATTTGGGTAGAGGTGTTTGTAGTATTCTCTGATGGTAGTTTGTATTTCTGTGGGATCGGTGGTGATATCCCCTTTATCATGTTTTACTGTGTCTATTTGATTCTTCTCTCTTTTCTTCTTTATTAGTCTTGCTAGCAGTCTATCAATTTTGTTGATCCTTTCAAAAAACCAGCTCCTGGATTCATTAATTTTTGAAGGGTTTTTTGTGTCTCTATTTCCTTCAGTTCTGCTCTGAATTCAGTTATTTCTTGCCTTCTGCTAGCTTTTGAATATGTTTGCTCTTGCTTTTCTAGTTCTTTTAATTGTGATGTTAGGGTGTCAATCTTGGATCTTTCCTGCTTTCTCTTGTGGGCATTTAGTGCTATAAATTTCCCATCCCCATCAAGCTACCAATGACTTTCTTCACAGAATTGGAAAAAACTACTTTAAAGTTCATATGGAACCAAAAAAGAGTCCACATCGCCAAGTCAATCCTAAGCCAAAAGAACAAAGCTGGAGGCATCACACTACCTGACTTCAAACTATACTACAAGGCTACAGTAATCAAAACAGCATGGTACTGGTACCAAAACAGAGATATAGATCAATGGAACAGAACAGAGCCCTCAGAAGTAACGCCTCATATCTACAACTATCTGATCTTTGACAAACCTGACAAAAACAAGCAATGGGGAAAGGATTCCCTATTTAATAAATGGTGCTGGGAAAACTGGCTAGCCATATGTAGAAAGCTGAAACTGGATCCCTTCCTTACACCTTATACAAAAATTAATTCAAGATGGATTAAAGACTTAAACATTAGACCTAAAACCATAAAAACCCTAGAAAAAAACCTAGGCATTACCATTCAGGACATAGGCATGGGCAAGGACTTCATGTCTAAAACACCAAAAGCAATGGCAACAAAAGCCAAAATTGACAAATGGGATCTAATTAAACTAAAGAGCTTCTGCACAGCAAAAGAAACTACCATCAGAGTGAACAGGCAACCTACAAAATGGGAGAAAATTTTGCAACCTACTCATCTGACAAAGGGCTAATATCCAGAATCTACAATGAACTCAAACAAATTTACAAGAAAAAAACAAACAACTCCATCAAAAAGTGGGCGAAGGACATGAACAGACACTTCGCAAAAGAATACTTTTATGCAGCCAAAAAACACATGAAAAAATGCTCACCATCACTGGCCATCAGAGAAATGCAAATCAAAACCACAATGAGATACCATCTCACACCAGGTAGAATGGCGATCATTAAAAAGTCAGGAAACAACAGGTGCTGGAGAGGATGTGGAGAAATAGGAACACTTTTACACTGTTGGTGGGACTGTAAACTAGTTCAACCATTGTGGAAGTCAGTGTGGCGATTCCTCAGGGATCTAGAACTAGAAATACCATTTGACCCAGCCATCCCATTACTGGGTATATACCCAAAGGATTATAAATCATGCTGCTATAAAGACACGCACACGTATGTTTATTGTGGCACGATTCACAATAGCAAAGACTTGAAACCAACCCAAATGTCCAACAATGATAGACTGGATTAAGATAATGTGGCACATATACACCATGGAATACTATGCAGCCATAAAAAAATGATGAGTTTGTCCTTTGTAGGGACATGGATGAAATTGGAAATCATCATTCTCAGTAAACTATTGCAAGAACAAAAAACCAAACACCGCATGTTCTCACTCATAGGTGGGAATTGAACAACGAGAACACACGGACACAGGAAGGGGAACATCACACTCTGGGGACTGTTGTGGGGTGGGGGGAGGGGGGAGGGATAGCATTAGGAGATACACCTAATGCTAAATGACAAGTTAATGGTTGCAGCAAACCAGCATGGCACATGTATACATACGTAACTAACCTGCACATTGTGCACATGTACCCTAAAACTTAAAGTATAATAATAATAAAATAAAATAAAAAGAAAAGAACACTTTTCACCATCAAAAAAAAAAGAAAACCAGTATATAAATAGTAAATATTATGCAAACAAATATGCTAAATCTTGAGTAAGTTACTTTCTGTTCGATTTTGAAAACTGCTTTATTAAAAATTCAAACTGCAATTTATAAACACATATAAACTTGAAAAATGGTTTTAATATGAATCAGTGAATTCCCTTTCAAAATATCAAAATATGCTATAGTTAAAATAACATTTCAAGAATTTACATTAAGTACATTTCATGTTTCCTAAGATTTCAATAAAATACATATCACATTAACAGAGAATATGAGGGGCTTTTGGCTATTTTGAGGTTTCAAAGAAATATCTAAATTTGAAAATACTGAATTTCCATTTCAATTTCCTATCTCATACAATTTACTATGTAAAAAAATGTTATATTGTGACCTCAGTTTTTAAATGTAATAGTTCATCTTAATATTATTTTAATATTTTATCATGTATTTTAAAATTTTACTTTTTTGTACATAATTTTCACCAATTTAGTTTCTTTAGAATTTAAGGTCCTTTTTTTTAGTTGCTTCTTTTCAAATTGATTTCTCTTCATGTATAGCCCTTATTAATACTATTTTTTGGTCTACTCCAAATATTCAAAAGCCATACAAAAAGTTTTAAGGTTCAATTATTTGAGGCATATTTAATATGAGACACTTACAGTAGATTATTTGTTATAATGAATAAAAGAGCTAATACTATTATAAATACATCTGGTTAGATGTTTAACATGCCTGTCATTGGAATTGTAGAAAATACCCTTGGAATTTGCCTTTCAAGATATAGTACACCTTAATTAGAGCTGAAAAATTCAATGGTTTGAGCAATTGGTATCAGAAAGATAACACTTTAAGTCTAATACATTTTGTTATTTTTCTAATTAAAAATGCATACTTTTTTGAGATAATAGAGAAGATATGAAAATATAAGAACTATAATTCCAATACCAAAGATACTAATTGTCTTCTTTTCTAGACTGAAAACTAAAAGAGGAGCGGTCAGATCCTTCCTGTCCAAAAGCATACTTTCAGTTTCTCATACTGTGCCTGTAACAAAGTTTCACTAAGTAACTGTTCATCCAATGAAAGAATATATGAGTTATATACATTCTTTCTTTTAGTTCCCTCTCTCTCTTTATACACACACACTCTAAAGTGTTTGAGGTCTTTCTTTGTGTGTGTACAGTGCTGTATGCATTTCCTAATTTATATCAGCATAATAAACTTAGACATTTGTGCTACTATTAATAACCAGTCTCCAGCATCAGCAATTCTCAGTGCTGTCTTGGTTAGTCCTCTGTGTCTGTATCATCCACCTACCTCTCCCACTCCACTCCATGAGATTTTAATACCTCCTTGCTGTCTCTTATCCTATACCCACTGCCTCTGACAACAATCCTTTCATTCTCAGCAAATAATCTCACCATCTCTTACCTTGTAGCCACTCATAAGCTTCTCAGCAGATAAGTCATCTTTTCTTCTTCCATCCAGTATGAGTGGATTCAGCCCTCTTCTTTAATTTCTTGGTTTTCTCTGTCAGAGGCACGAGAAGAATAACCACTGTAAAATACACCCAGAGAGTTCCCCATTATAAGTGGCTTCTCTACAGGGGCTGATGCATTTGCCAGAGACTTTTCCTATTGGGAGAAGTAATTGCTCTGAGTCCAGTGCCTTCTAGCTTTTCTGTCTCACCTAAGGGTGAAAAAATGTTTAACGAAGGTCAGGGCTTCAAATAAATAGATTTGGAAAACTGCAGAAAGGGAAGAGAGTGAGGTACCGGAAGGAAAAAGCTATTCCAGTGGGAAAACACTTGTAAATTCACAGCTTCTAAACACAGTCCCACTGAAACAATAAGATGTAAGTGGACGATTACTGAACACTTCATCTCCTCAGTACTTGTCACCACACAAACAGGGCTCCAATATAATATCAAAGGATTATAGCTGAAAGAGGTAAAAGACAAAGACTATATCTGTAAAAGAAGTATTTAGGTAAGACGAAATCAAGAGTGGTGACAAAAACAAGGACACTGGAGGAATTTGAAGTCACCAACACCCAGAGCTACAGCAGATATTAAATACAGTTCAACTGCTGGGGAAATTCCTAATAACTCTAACACTGTAGGCCTACTTGATTCAGTGGTTATTATGCAATAAAATACACATGACTTTCAACAAAAATCTAAAAGGTATGCCAAAACACAAGGAAAAATCATCTAAAGGGGCAAGGGAATCAACAGAATCAGACTCACACATGATGCAGATATTACAAGATACAGAATTTAAAATGACTGTGATTAATATATTAAGGAATGCCATGGAAAACAATTAGAAGACAGTCAATAATAGACAAGTATTGGGAGCAGAGAGATGGAAACATTAAGAATCAATTAAAATGAAATGTTAGAAATCAAACAGAATCCAAGAGAAATAATTCTTTAATGGTATTATCCGTAGACTGGACACAAAGAAATTATCAGTGAGCCTGCATATACATCAGTAGAAAGTGCCCAAACTGAAACATACAAAGAGTAAAAAAAGGTAGGGGAGGTAGCAGGATACCAGAACATCCAAGGACTGTGGGACAATTTCAAAAGTTGTAACATGTAAGAATTGGAATAGCAGAAAGAGAAGTAAGAGAGGAGTGGGAGAAATACTTGGAATAATAATTTTCTAGATCTTTTCAAATTTAATGACAGACACAAAATCACAGATGTAGGATGCTCAAATAAAATACGCAGAATAAGACCACACAAGAAAACAACCAAAGCCCAACAGCACCACCTGGGAAAATCATATTCAACTGTAGTTACCCTGATTTCAATATTTCACACTATATGCTTGCATCAAAATATCACATGTACCCCAAGAATATATACAACCAGTATACTAGTATATACCCATAATCATTAAAAATTTAAAAATGAGAAAAATCTTTAAAAAAACCACAGATGAGAAAAATACAGGAGGAAAAGGATAAGGGATAAGAAGTACCGAGACATTTTCTCAGCAACCATGTGGGTAAGGAGGGTAAAGTGAAATATGTAAAGTGTTAAAAGAGCAAAACCTGCAGCGTAGAATTCTCTATCCAGTGAAATATTATTTTAGAGCGCAGCTTAAACAAAACTTATTCAGTCATTGAGAGAATTGATCACCAACAGACTTTCTTTGCAAGAAATGTTGAATTAAATAATTCAGGGATAATTGAAGTGATATGAATAAAAAAATCAGATTTACATTTAAAAAGGGGGAATACATGAAAAGAAAAAAGTGACATCAGTGTAAACTTTCATTTCTCTTACTCTTATTTGATCAAAATATAATTGCAAAACAAAAACAGGAGCAATAAATGAATGCATATAAAATAGAACTCATAAGATGAGTGACAGCAATGTCATAAGGTACAGAAAGGAGGAATTGGAAATACTCTGTATAAGGTATGTGCACTACATGTGAAATGATGCAGTGTTATGTGAAGGTGAATTATATTAATTAAAAGTGTATATAATAAACTCTAGCACAACTACTATAAAAATTAAAAGCTCAGTGGATGGGCTAACCAGAAGAGTGGAGAGAATAAAGGAAAGCAACAGGAAGCTTAAAGATGGAACAACAGAAATAATTCAACAGAAATAAACAATAGAAAAAAAACAGAATAGAAAAAAAATGAAAGAGACAACACACCCTCAGGAATCTGGGAAACAATAACAAAATAATCTTTTTACCAGAATCCCAGAAGGAGAGACAAAAGATGGTTCAGAAAAGAATTCAAAGAAATTATGACTAAAATCTTTCAAATTTGGTAAGATACATTAATCTAAAGATTCAAAATGGTGACAGGTTTAACAACAGGTTAAACCCAAAGGAATCCATTTCAAGATATATTTTAACCAAATGTAGGAAAACTGAAGACAAAGAGAAAGTCTTAATTAGCTAGGGAGAAACAATACTTTGCTTTTAATTATTTGAATTAAAGTGGATTCTTCATCATAAACCATAGGAGTCAAAATGATACTTCACAACATACTTCAAATACTGAAAGATCTGTAAATTATACATCGGAAAAAAGTATTCATGTGAAGTGAAGAGCAAATGAAGACATTCTCATATAAAAAAAATCTAAGATAATTTGTCATCAGCAAATACCCCTAAAAAGATAGCTGAAGGAGGCTTTTCCAGGAGAAAGACAACAAAATAAGGAGTTTTGGAACATCAAGGAAAAGAAAAACAATAGAGAGAACAAAAAATATAGTAAACACAATACTTTTTCCGTCTCTTCTGTTTTCTAAATTATGTTTGAGGGTAGAAATAAAAATATATTCTTAGCTGATATGGATCTTCATGTATGTAGAAAAATATTAAAGACAATTATAAACAGGAGAGGGTAAATGGAATTAATGTAAAGTAACATCTTACACTTTATTTAAACTCACAAAATGATGACACCAATATATCCTTTTGGTGGTGAAATTGTTCTGTATCTTGAGTGCAGTGGTAGTTACAGAAATCAACACATGTGATAAAATGGCACTTATCTTTCCACAGAACTGTACGCCCACATTGTACCAATGTAATTTTACTGATATTTATGTTGTACTACTGTTATGTAAGCTGTAAAAATTGTTGGATATTGGGTAAAGGGTATAAGGAAACTCTCTGTACTATTTTTGCAATTTTCTGTAAATCTAAACTTATTTCAAAATTGTTGAAGATAATTCAAAATAATCAATAATTATCTTTCCCTATGTGAATATGCACTCTTTTCAAAGGTCCCAAATCCAAAACTTAGAAATCTTTATATTAAGCATATTAACAAAATGCCTGCTTTAGCCTGCCATTGAATGCCAGTGTGTGTCAATGGCTGGCATTTGACAGTCACTAATTATTCATTTATAGTGCACCTCCTGAATTTCACATAATGCTCTAGTCATTGTTTAGGTCTGATTGGTTAAGGCATGGCATTTGCTTGGCTTAACAATTCATATTTGGCTTTAAGTGTTTTTAATACTGCGAGAGCTTGACTTTTGTATCTTGACTCCAAGATATTTTCCTAACACATTGATTTTAAAACTGTTTTTCTTTCACATCTACACAGGCTTTAGAGTGTATTAAGGAAGGTTTGCTGAGTTTCAGTGTTCCAAATCTCTCATCACTTCATAATATAAACAGAGACCATGGCTTTCATAAAGTTTATATATCTTGTGAAGAATGCGCTTGTTACTAAAATAGGAAACACAATTAAAACTCGTTTTTAGTCCAAAAATGCTAATGAAAGTCTTTTCTGTCTGATGACTTTGTTTTCCTCGAAGAGGGGGAGATAATCATGAAATAGAAATGTAGCTTGTCATTTATCTCTTTTCCTAATCATTTTCCTTCTTTTCCTGTGTAGTGCTTTGATAATATCTGAATTGAATTTCAAATATTTCTCTCTTTATTACATTTTAGGTAACATTAAAACCAAAGAATGAATGTTTATTGAAGTTTTGTTTCATGTTACCAGCAAAACCAAAACTGAAAAAGAACTGTCATTAGTTGCCTAGAATGGGAAGATCTAATGTCCTGGATCACCGCAATGAAGCCTTGTAAAAATTAAAGAGATGTAGTTAGATGCCCAGACACCAAGAGAAATGTTGAAAATCAAAGTGAGATTGATGAGGTGCTTAAGTACCTAAGCACCTGAATCATAAGCCAATAAGTTATATCACCTTTTAAACTTTTTTCAGTGTTGCTGTTTTTCTTGAAAATCCTGAAGGCTTCCTTACAATGAGTTCAGGAGATACATATTATATCAACTTTACTTCCTTCTCAGTAAATAACACTGTTTCAAAATCTGAATATATCAGGCAGATACAAGTTTCAACTTGAGAAGCTATAGTAGCAAATCATAAGCTGTCTGCCTGTATAACAGGAACAAAAACACAATTAAAAACAGAGGAACAATTAAGTATCAAGAAAGGAAAAATATGAAATGAGCAGACATAATAGAAGTTTGAGTTTTAAAAAAATTACCCTTTATGTGTCCACATGTTCTCATGATTTATCTCTCACTTATAAGTGAGAACATGAGGTATTTGGTTTTCTGTTCCTGCGTAAGTTTGTTAAGGATAATGACCTCATGATGCATCCATGTCCCTGCAAAGCACATAATCTGGTTATTTTTTATGGCTGCATAGTATTCCATGCGTATATGTACCACATTTTCTTTATTCAGTCTACTATTGATGGGCATTTATGTTGATTCCATGTCTTTGCTTTTGTGAATAGTACTTCAATGAACATACGTGTGGATGTATCTTTATAATAGAATGATTTATATTTCTTTGGGTATATACCCAGTAATGGGATTGCTGAGTGGAATGGTATTTCTGTCTTTAGGTCTTTGAGAAATCGTCACACTGTCTTCTACAATGGCTGAACTAATTTACACCCCACCAATAGTGTATAAGTGTTAACTTTTCTCTAAAACCTTTCCAGCATATGTTATTTTTTGACTTTTTTTTGAGATGGAGTCTCACTCTGTTGCCCAGGCTGGATGCAGTGGTGTGATCTTGGCTCACTGCCACCTCCGCTTCCGGGGTTCGAGCCATTCTCCTGCCTCAGCCTCCCAAGTAGCTGGGACTACAGGCACATACCACCACGTCCAGTTAATTTTTGTATTTTTTAGCAGAGATGGGGTTTTGCCATGATGGCCAGATGGTCTTGGACTCCTGACCTCTGGTTATCCACCCACCTTGGCCTCCCAAAGTGCTGGGATTATAGGCATGAGCCAACGTGCCTGGCCTTGACTTTTTAATAATAGCCATCTGACTATTGTGAGATGGTATCTCATTGTGGTTTTGATTTGCACTTCTCTAATGATCAGTGATGTTAAGCTTTTAACTAATGGGTACTAGGCCTAATACTTGGGTGACAAAATAATCTGTACAACAAACCCCCATGACACAAGTTTACCTATGGAACAAATCTGCACTTGTACCCCTGAATTTAAAATAAAAGTTAAAAAATTAAATAATTAAAAAATAATTTAGTACCAGAGGCCAGAAAGATTACAGAATATGACATATTAAAATAAGTATAATTATATTGTTGAAAGATAAATAAATTACATATTAATACAAAGCAATACCTTATCTGTTCTTAATATCTCAGTGCGACTTATACCTTGAACTTTTGTAGAGCTTGCATGTCTGTGTATTTTTACATACAAATACAGGAAAGTATAAGCTATATATTACATTCTATAAATTATAAACATACAAGATTTTTAAAAAAATAATGATGTAACATTTGCCAGGCATCTTGCTATTTGCAGAAGAAAGCACTTTTTTTACCTAATTTGTCAAAACATATTGTGGGGGGGGATTATAAAATCCATTTTAGAAATGGAAATTGACTTAGTCATGAAGTGTCTTGCCCAAGGAAACACAGAAAGAAAATGAAAAATTTGACCTGGGGCTTTGTTCTTGTGCCTGGAATTCTTACATTCTTTTTATTCTACCAAGATATGTAAAGTGTTATCATGAAAAATGAAAGCAATCAATAAACTATAATATAAATAAAATATGACTTTACCTATTTTTAAATACATGTATAAACTCAAAGTTCTTTACTGTAGACAACAGCATAGAAACATATTAAAATTGATTAGATAAGTCTAGATAACAGTAAAAAAAAAGCTATGTCCAGATCAATATTGACTTCTATATATTAATAAACAATATCAGAAGTAGTTTAAGTGATGATGCTTACAAAAGAAGTACAATATAAAACTGCAGTCAAGAAAAAAAATGATTATGCCAGTTTGCCAAAACTTGCCTGTTTAGCAAGCTTGCAATTTTATTAGCAAGAACTTTTTGGCTGGGCACTGTAGCTCACACCTGTAATCCCGGCACTTTGGGAGGCCAGTGTGGATGGATCACTTGAGGCCAGGATTTCAGGACCAGCCTGGCCAACAAAGTGAAACCCGTCTCTACTAAAATTACAAAATAGTAATAATAATAATAATAATAATAATAATAACAACAACAGGGCGTGGTGTGTGCCTGTCGTCTCATCTACTCA
Organism: Homo sapiens; assembly: GCF_000001405.40. NCBI lineage: Eukaryota > Metazoa > Chordata > Mammalia > Primates > Hominidae > Homo > Homo sapiens. Next base: position 42,143,069 of record NC_000014.9, on the reverse strand, counting down.
GGAGGCTGAGGCAGGACAATCGCTTGAGCCTAGGAGGTGGACATTGCAGTGAGCAGAGATGTACCACTGCATTCCAGCCTGGAAAACAGAGAGATACTCTGTCAAAAAAAAAAAAAAAAAAGGAATTTAAGAATTATCTTACATATTCCTAGACTAAGAGACTAAGGCAAGCAAGATGATCATTATGAAGGAAAAACATAAACATAAGAGAAGGGCTAATTTATGTTGAAGATCACAAATCTTGTGCTCTTGTAATTCAAACAAGTCCAAATATAAAATATTGATTTATGTGTGTTTGAGATTCTTGTAAACTTTTCTCAGCTCAATGATAGTTCTTCATTTTCCTTCTCTCACAACTGTGTTCTAAATCACAGGTCTTTCTATACCCATAATTTAGAGACTGAATTAAAGAACTGGACAGCACAGTAATGCTAAGAGAGAACAGCAGGGAGAAGAGAAATAAATGGTTATATTTTCAGAAAGAAAAAATCAGGTGAAATTTTACTTCCATCCATTTCCCAGAGTGAGCAAATGAGAAAAAAGTTAAACTTTATCATTATTGAAAAAAAGACATCCACAACTCTAGAGATTTAGCAGTGAAATACTATATAGTGAGCATGCTAAAGTAACAAAGTTGGGAACACCTTGGGTTTTGTTCGGAAATACTTTGCATTTATTTATTTATTTATTTATTTATTTATTTTGAGATGGAGTCTCGCTCTGTCGCCCAGGCTGGAGTGCAGTGGCGCGATCTCGGCTCACTGCAACCTCCACCTCCCATATTCATGGAATTCTCCTGCCTCAGCCTCCCAAGTAGCTGGGACTACAGGCGCATGCCACCACGCTTGGCTAATTTTTTGGAATTTTAGTAGAGGCGGGGTTTCACCGTGTTAGCCAGGATGGTTTAGATCTCCTGACCTCGTGATCTGCCCGCCTCTGCCTCCCAAAGTGCTCGGATTACAGGCGTGAGCCACAGCGCCTGGAAAAAATAATTTCTTATTAATGATCTCAAACAAGTAAGCATCTCCACATTTCTTCTTAATCAGCAAATGTAATACAATGTAATGGTTAAGAATATGTGTTTGAGGATCAGGTTCCATGGGTTTGGATCACAGGCAGAATAATTAAAATCTAAGTGAAGGGAGGCAAGTTAACATCCTTAAGTCATGGTTTTCTCATCTGTAAAATACCATTAATAGTTTTACTTATGAATATATTGTACTTAGCAGTGCCTGGTTCAGAGAAGGTGCTCATTAACTACTCTAGTCATCATTACTACTAAGAATGAAGCTTTGTTAAATGTCAGGACTGCTATTAAATAGAGAGAGAAACAGTGTTTTAAGCTAAATATATCTAGTTCTGTCATTTAAGTGGATACTGTAATTAATGGGCTTGGTGATATAAATCTTTGTATTTATTCACTTCCCATCAAGCAGGTTGGTGAATAATGGAAAAGGAAAGGTGAACATTGAAAATCTCAGTTAGTTTGTGTCCTGTGGCTGATGATTCATTATTTGTACAAAACATTGATGAGTTCCATGAAACATAAAAGTGAGCAACCATAGAGTGTATGAGTGGAAGTTAAATTGCTATATGAAATGAAGACTGTAGCGCTGAGTTTCGGAGATCTTGAGAGAGGTGAAACCCCAGAGAATTGTAGAGGAAGGAAATATGTGAATGGATTATTTATAGAAAAAAAAGAACATCAAGCAATCTGATAATGGATAAGTCTGCAAGTACCCTAAAACTAAATGAAGTTCTGCTACACACACACACACACACACACACACACACACACACACACACACACACACACACTGCATACATGCCTTGGATGAGTAATTTTACCAAGAGAAATCAAGGAGAAGGTTTCTGTGTCTCATCTTGAATCATCAGTGACAGAATGTGTACACAGTGTGGGAGATAAGGCGATCCACTCATTAATTTAAAAGCAGCAGTAATGTAGAATTAGAAGTGGCTCAAACACCATCCTCCCTTCACTACCTTCCTACTACCTTCCATACCCCAATCTCCAGGATGACTGAAAAATCCCCAGGCACTCATTCACATGCACTATGATTCAAGCTGATTTAATTTGGCACTCAAAGGAAGGGTACCTCAGCTGGTATATGCATTTTACTATCATGATTAAGCATTTAAAACAGCTCATTGTACAGTCATGTAATGGATTTCTGCTATGTCTTTCTGTTATGTCTACTGTAATGTCTTTCTGTTATGTCTACTTTCCTTTTGAAAGTTCCATTCATTAGTGGTGACTGATTTTTATGTCCATTCTGGTGCTTTGTGTAGTCTTTCTAATGACTTCTAAGAATTATTGGAGTGAGATTTCTCCATGTTTCTGTGTCTCATTTGCTGTTGTCATCAATGTAAACACATTTTTGTTTACTGTTGTGGCCTGCCTAAAGTGATATTATAAATATCAGATCATATGATTTTTAAAAACTATGCCTGGATATTTTATTAATTCATTTTTTCCTGATATATGTATTCTTAAATTATGTATTGTTATAGTGTTATTTTAATCATTCTTTTTGATTTACATAAATAAGAAAGCAGGTAAGTTTATTTGTGTCACCCTTTGCCAATTAATCAATCACCAATTTAATCTCCTTTGTTTGTTTTGCTATCTTCTTGAAATTCCCTCACCAGTCATTTTTATAACTTTTAAAGTGAATCCTATTTGCTCATTAATAATAGCAACACTGTTAGAAGAGGGAACAGGGGCCCAAGGGTTTTCTTAACACTAAGCCGAGCCACATGGAGAGACAAGCATGGAGCATGTGCTGGTTTGCACACTCAGGGCAATGGAATAAATAGAAGAAGAGGCATAGCAATATGCAACAGCAGGCAGTGAGGGTCAGGTGAGTCAGGCAGAAGGAACGTCAAATTTAGGGTACTGGGACTGGTGGCTGAAATGAGAAAAGTATGGAATCTGAGGGCAGAATTTCAGCTTTAAAGAATCCAATCTCTAGAGAAATTTACTAAAAGTTATATAAAACTCTGCAAGCATTAATTCTATTTCGTGAAATATTGTCAAGAAAGTGACTGAGGCACTGGGGAACAAAAAACGCTTCACAGTTTTAAGAAGTGAAGATGTAAGGTGCAACGTTAATAAATTCACTCATTCAAAAGGTGAATTGAGGGCATACTATGTGCCAGAAACTGTTCTAGGATTTTAGGTAGAGTAGTGAAAAAAATCCAATGAAAACAAATGTGTATGCCTTCATAGAAACTACATCCTAGTGACAGGATATAGACAGTAAAAAGGACTTAAAAAATAAAATGCACAGCATAGTGTATTAGATACTGTTTGTTAAAAAGAAAAAGCAAAATGGGGATGAGGAGTGTTGGAGAAATACTGAAATCGTGTTGTGATAAGGTAGTTCCTAGATTGCATATACTGAGATAAACCTTATATACTGATGTTTTCCTAAGGAGAAAATACAATTTTTGTGACCAAAACTGAAGTGGAAAGGGAAACAAGTCAGTGAAGGAAGAAAATCAAATACTAAGTGGCACATCACTGAACTGATGATAGCTCCACCAGAAAACAAAGCTGCTTGGAGAGACCTGATGAAAGCACGATATTTCCTTTTTCATCAACTGTTAGTCAGAAATTCATCCCACAGAGGAGGGATTGGTAAACTTTTAATGTAAAATGACATATAGTAATATTTTAAATTTACAGACCATTGGGTCTCTGTTGCAACTACTTGACACTGCTGATAGAGTGCAAAAATCAGCCATAGACAATACTGAAATGAGTATGTGTGGCACCTAATTACATTTTATTTACAAAAATAGATGTCAGACCAGATTGAACCCTGGGCCATAGTTGCTCATCTCTGCTATACAGTATTAATTCCTGCATATCGTCAAGTTATGTTATCTGCCCAATATTAGCAGCAGTGGCATCCTTGGAACAAGCTAGAGTATACGTGATGAGCAGAAAGAAGTTCATAAAACATGTATATGCCGTGTGTGCCAGTGTTGCCTTATTGGTCCAATAAGGGTAATCAGTGCATATATATAGCCTCAACAGTAACAAATAAGTCCAAAGGTAAAAGGAAAGGTGAGATGCATGAATCTATGTACTGTGGGATCTTCCACAATCAACCAATAGGAACAGAAGAACCTCTGTAGTAGGATTAGTACCATGAGGAAAAGGAGTAGGAGAGTCTTTGCCATGAAAATTCAGACAGAGCTCAATGAGCCTTTCTTCATGAAAGATGTAAACTTCCTCTCTGAGGCCAGTTGATCTAAACTGAAATTTATCAATATATTATTCAGGAAATTAAAGCTGACTTCATCTTGGGAACCACATAAATTTCATGTAGTACAGAAGTCCTCACTGGGAAGTGAATATTTAAAGAAAGATCAGAAGGAAGTGAATACCTATGTTGTACATAGTTCTGGTGGAAGAACATTCTTGGCAGAGGGAGTTACAAGTGCAATGCCCTGAGGTTGGGAATTATTGGCATGTTGTAGAAATGAAGGCTAGGGTGGAGGTAAGTGGAATGGTGTGGAATGATATGAGAAAATTAAGTATTAAGTCAGAGAAGTTAATAGGAAGGCAGATCACAGAGGGTCTTACGGGTCAATAGAAGAACTTTGGTTTTTACTATAAGTTAGAGGAAAACTCCTAGCATAGAAACAACTGAGATATGTTGGTGGCTTGGACCACAATTATAACAGTGAAAGTTGTAAGAACAAACAGGATTTCCTAAAGGAAATATTTGAAGGTATTCAACCTTAGTACCTTAAAGTTTGACATGTTAGTAATTAAAATGTATATTATACTCGGATAGACCAGGACCATAGAAACAAAGCAAAAACTATGTAACCAAACCTATGTCAAAATAATACACATTTCAAATTTAAATTTAAAATTCCAATTTTATAGATATGGTGGAGAGATTAGAATAATTCAAGTAATAGTGAATTGGAGTTGAAGACATAAGTATAAGCTCATGTTTAGCTTAATGTAGATATATATGATTACATACCAAGTAGTGAATATTTCTATATTATTGTGTGTTTGTGTATGCAGGAGATAGTATGCACACATATATTTCCTTGTTCTGTCTGTTGAGACAGCCTAGAAGCAACCACATCCCATTAGCAATAAGAGTGCCAGCACCCAGATTTTGGTTTCTAATACCATTCTTCAATAAAATAAACTAGGGGCCAGGCGTGGTGGCTCATGCTTGTAATTCCAGCACTTTGGGAGGCCAAGGCAGGCGGACCACCTGAGGTCAGGAGTCCGTGACTAGCCTGGCCAACATGGTGAAACCCCGTCTCTATTAAAAATACAAAAATTAGCTGTGCATGGGGGTACGCGCCTGTAATCTCAGCTACTAGGAAGGCTGAGGCAGAAGAATCGCTTGAATCCGGGAGGTGGAGGTTGCAGTGAGCCAAGATCATGCTACTGCAGTCCAGCCTGGGTGACAGAGCAAGACTCCATCTCAAAAAATAATAAATAAAGTAAAATAAAATAAAATAAAATAGGGCTCCTTGGAGAAATGGCTGATTGTACAACTGAGTCAGGATATATGCAAAATAAGCCTGGAGCATCTTGTAGTGTAGAAAGTAAGAAAATGCAAGTGGTTCCCAACTTATAATGGTTCCACTTTAGGATGGTGCAAAAGCAATTAGCATTCAGTAGAAACCATATCTTAAGCGCCCGTATAACCATTTTGTTTTTCACTTTCAGTACAGTATTCAATAAATTATGATATTCAACACTTTATTATAAAATAGGCTTTGTGTTAGATTACTTTGACCATTTGTGGAGAAAGTATTCTGGGTACATCTAAGGTAGGCTAAGCTAAATTATGATGACCAGTAGGTTATGTGTCTTAAATACATTTTTGATTTGTAATATTTTCAGTTTCCAATGGTTTGTAGAGACATAATTCCATAATAAATCAAGGAGCATCTATACTCAAAACAACCTAACACAATTATACTGATATGGTAGAGGAATACAGGAACCATCTGAAAGTTTACAATGGCCAAAGCTAGAGCAATTTGAGCAAAAAATATGTAAAGTGGTATGTGATGATAATCTAAAATGTAAGATAAATATTCATGATTTAATGGTATAAATGAATAATTGAATAAATAAGCAAAAGGGAGAAAAAGAGACAAATATCTCATTCAAAGAAATTTCAAGTAATTTATGTAGATACTGCACCATCAAGGAGGTGGAGAATAGCTCCCCACTCCTGAAGTATGGGCTGTACATAGTGACTTTGTTTCAAAGAATAAAGGGGCAAAACAGTAAAATTTGAAAGAATCCCAAAAAACACATTAGCCAGATTATCAAGGCTAGGTTCAATATTTGATAAGTTATGTTGATAGAATGCACATTTGATATGATAGGATAAGAATGGCACTTTATCTCTGTTAAATTCTTCTTAAAATTTAATAGCTCAGTTGATTGAGAAAAACATATCACACAGATTCTAATCAAAGGGAATTCTACAAACCATACCTGGCCATACATTCTCATAACTGCCAAAGTCATCAAAAGCAAGGAAAACCTGAGGAACTGACTCAACCAAGAGAAGCCTAAGAGGGAAAACAACTAAAAGTATTGCTGTATTCTGGATAGAATCCTTCAAGTAAAACATGAAGTTAAAGAAATAAACCAAGGAAATCTGAAAAATATACAGGTTTTAATTGATAATACTATATCAATATTTTTTCAGTAACTGTGATAATTATGTACCTTGCTAATGTCAGATGTTAACAACAGGGAAAACTGAGGTGAGATATATGAGAAGTCTATTTTCTTCACAATAACTCTATTAATCTAGAAGTTTTCTAAAATTGAAAGTTTAAAAGAAGCAAGGGAACAGTAAATACAATATTAAGAATGGTGATTATCTTTGGGTAGAGATATGAAAGACAGTTTATTCAGGGTAGGAATTATAAGAAACTCATTTATTTTGAGGTTTTCTTAACCTGTGAGGTGATTACATAGATGTCCATTATATTAATGTGGATTGAAACTTACATATCTTCTTTTGATGTAACACACATTACACAAGAAAAATGTTTACATAAACTGATTTATGGTAATCCTTAGGGTTTTTAAATAGGGAACTGAAACAATCAGATTTATATTTTGTAGAAAGCACTTGATCTGGAATGCTGATTATTGGTTGGAGGGGCCTATATTAAAGACAGTGAATGATAATTAAAGTACACAGAAAAGAAGCTAAAGGGAAATCAACATTTTAGGAATGAAAGAAAAAATGGAATCCTTACAGTAGGCTGAGATGTAATGGCCAGTGCTAGAAAAATGCCAATCTGGGATGAGTAGGAAATCACCAAGGACAGGTGAATTTCAAAACTGAGAGTACTTAACAGACTCAAAAGTTGAAGTGTGTTTAAGTAAGCAAAAATGTCTACAAAACTAATACAAATTAATTATTAAAAATAGGTAAACAAGATCATTGAGTTTTGCAGTATGTCTTGTCATGGTGCTCCCAGTGAGAATCTTTTCAAATAAGTTATGGGACTGAAAAGCAGATTGCAGTGTGTCAAGTAATAAATAGGATAGAAAGAGCAGAAAATAGCAATCCATATAACAGATATATAGCAACATTTAGTTCACCAGAACAGATAAGTAATAAAGAAAACATATAACTTTTCTTAGAAATGAATGAGCAATTGCCTAATGGCACTTGTTTATTTATATTTAACTCACAAATTATTGAAAACACATCTATAACATGCTGTATATTGTTCAGGAAACTAAAGAAAAAAATGAATACATTATAGGCCCTGCTTCCTATAAACTAATTGCATAGCTGTCCATAATGGCAAAGATGAGCAAAGGGCAATTCATGATACAGTGTAAGAGATGAGCTTCAGAACACTGGGAGCATTGACAAGTGTTTAATATTTGTGCGTGCCACAGGAAAGACAATTTTTAACTGTGCATGGAAGAATACGTAAGAGTTAGCCAGTCTTAGAAAGAATGGAAGAACGTTAAGTAGGAAAAATAACATATACAAATGCACAAAAATGAAAATGCATGGAGTCTTTCACAAGTAGCAAGCAGTATAGGTAACTGGACTCTCTATGCATTAAATGCTGTGTGTGTGTGCATGCGCATGTGTGTGCACATGTGCTGGGATTAGGGGCAAAAGAAAAACCAGTAGACAAATTGAAGCTGGACTGTTGAAAGTTTTGAGTGACATGATAAAGTCTCTAATCTTGTAGGTAATGGGGAGTTATTCCAGATTTTAAAATCAGGGCAATAGCATGACCAAGATGTGTTTTAAAAATATCTTTTTGGCAGCAGCTTAGAAGAGAAATTGAGGCAAAAACAGAAGGTGGAGCTGGATTGGAACCAAGGAAACCAGTTGGTAGTCTATTTTAACATTTCAACAGAAAACTGGGGATGTACTGAACAAAAACAATAGCAAAAGAAATAGAAGTCAGGGAGTACAGATATGAGATATTTTAGAGGTTGAACAAAGTGTCTTAGTAACTAACTGAATGTTGGCGCTGAGTAGGAAGGAAGATTAAAAGATATCTAAGGCATCCCATTAACAGAAGTACGAAAATATACAGCTGTGCTTAGTTAAGAATGAGGACAGGATTATGAAATCAATTTCATATTTTTGATTATAAAAATAACTGTTCAATGTTTAATGTGTAAAATATAATAAAGTAAAAAAGAAAATGAGACTCATACCCTAATTTCCCCAAATTAGTCACAATAGTTAGCACAGTGTTAACATATTTAATCCATAAATTTTTTAATATAGTTAGCCCTATTACATTTTGTGCCTTCTTTGCCTACATATTATTTTGAAGCCCTGACACAATAAATCTTTAAAATTATGGCTGATATTTTCATATATCATGATTCAGTAAATCATATTCCCATTCTATCATTAGCACTAATAAAAATGTTTGTACAAAATGTTTATTTATATTCAAGATTGAACTTCAAGATTATCCCACTTCTAGGTATAGCTCCAAAGGAAATGAAATTAGTATCTCAAAGACATATCTGCACCCCCATATTCATCACATTATTCACAATAGGCAGGATGTGAAAACAACCTTACTGTGCATTCATGGATGAATTGATGAAAATGTGATACAGACACACACATATATACAGTAAGCTATTATTCAGCTTTAAAAATGAAATAAGTTCTGAAACTTGTAACAACTGGATGGACCTGGAGGACATTATGTTAGGTAAGATAAGCCAGACACAGAAAGATAAATATCACATGATCTTACTTACACATGGAATTTAAACAGTCAAGCTCACAGAAGGAGATACTTGAATGGTGGCTACCAGGGCTAGGAAGGTGAGAAAAATGAGAAAGATATTGGTTGAAGAATACAAAGTTGCAGTTATGTACGAAAAGAAGTCTAGAGATTTACCGCATTTCTTATATTCATTCATTCATTGAACATGGGGATACTTACTCCATTTTTCCTTGGATATGATACTGGTTTGTGTATCAACTGGACATGCTATATATTCTTGCTGGTTGACCTGCAAGTCACCTGTGGCATTGCTGCACTGGGGCAGATAACTCAATTCTCAATAGGGATCTGAAGCCCCACTTACTGCCAGGTCACAGACAAATTTTCAAAGTCACCCCACTATGGTTCTCTCACTAAACAAAAACTCCAAATAATCTAAACTTCTCTACCTTTATGAGATACTATGAAATCAAGGACATCAATAGTACTTCCTCCTCAGAAATGAGTTGAGGAATTGTTTTGAAATCTTATTATCAATTCATGATTTATATATTCAGAAAAATTATTCAGAGAATGTTACTTATCTTCAAGATCTAATCTACCATTTTTATAAATGCTTTGCTGAATTAATCTTCATATTATGTATACCATATACCTAAATAAATGTACACCTAATATAATGTATACCTTCATATTATGTATACCATAAACCTAAATTAATTATCTGCTTTCAGAAAAAGATATACTAGAGGAGTATATACTCCTCTAGTATGCCTGTTTTTATTTTTGGTAATACCTGTGTTCACAGTGTCAAAAAAATAAGATATAAAGGCCGAGCGCGGTGGCTCACGCCTGTAATCCCAGCACTTTGGGAGGCCGAGGCGGGCAAATCACGAGATCAAGAGATCCAGACCATCCTGGCTAACATGGTGAAGCCCCGTCTCTACTAAAAATACAAAAAAATCAGCGGGGCGTGGTGGCAGGCGCATGTAGTCCCAGCTACTTGGGAGGCCGAGGCAGGAGAATGGCATGAACCTGGGCAGTGGAGCTTGCAATGAGCAGAGATCGCGCCACTGCTCTCTAGCCTGCGCGACAGACCGAGACTCCGTTTTAAAAAACAACAAGAACAACAACAAAAAAAAAAGATATAAAGGACTTCAATGGCGTTGTAAGAACGAACCCAAATAAATAAAATGAAATAAAATATACAAATAATAGATAAATCTGCTTAATGAAATGGACAAAATGTCAATCAGGAGGAGTCACCCATTAGTCAGATGGCATTTATCTAAGCAGTGAGGAAGAGATAATAAGTACTTCCTTTGAATTGAGTCAAGTACCTTTAAGCACTGAGAACTAATCACAGAGAAAACAGTTCTTCATTTGATTGACGGGCATTAGTTGCAATAAAGATTTAATTAATCAATTAAGTGTATTTATAAGGATGATTCGAGTCTAATCTGACTTAACTTTTCAATATTTTTTTAAATTTTAAAATGTTTCGCTTACATAATATGCAATTTTAAAATTAATTTTATTACTAGTATTAGTTACAACAATATTTATCTGATATAAAAATGAAAATAAAGACATAGATCCAGATTTTCACAATTTCAAAATGTTCATTCTGTAGAAAATAATAATCATATCTTGAATAAATAATGATTTACCCTCTTTGAATCCTAGTATTCTATTGCTGAATTCAGACCATTGGACTGTTTACTATAATTAAACATGTGACAAAATTATAGCCTTTCATGTCTATTCTTGGGCCATAACTCTATCGCTTTCCTTATATATAAAAAAGAAACTATTTACACTCAAAACTTGTTTCTGTAAGAGAAAAATTGATTGGAATTATTGTTTGTTATCTGATATGGTTTGGCTGTGTCCCCACCCAAATCTCATCTTAAATTTTAATTCCCATAATCCCCACGTGTCAAGGGAGGAACCCAGTAGGAAGTAATTGAATCATGGAGGCAGGTAACCTCATGTTGTTCTCATGATAGTGAGTGAGTGCTCATGAGATCTGATGGCTTATAAGGGGCTTTTCCCCCTTTTGCTTGGCACCTTACTGCTGCCATGTAGAGAAGCACATGTTTGCTTCCCCTTCCACCATGATTGTAAGTTTCCTGAGGCCTCCCCAGCCATGCTGAACTGTGAGTCCATTAAACCTCTTTCCCTTATAAATTACTCAGTCTCAGGCATATCTTTATTAGCAGCATGAGAACAAACTAGTAGATTATGTCTTTACAAATGCTTTTTAAATAACCACTATATACATTAACGCTGTTGGAGTCAGTAACTGAGGTCCAAAGGGAACGATTTTAGGATTGCAAATGTGTCATAACACATCAGTTTTTCAGATATGGTCACAACACATGCTTCAGTTATCTGATCCTTTTCCTCTGCTATACTTTTCTGATATAAAAATTGGATATTTTTGATTGCCTTAAAAATCGAAAGCAGTAATACAACTGTACTGCCTAAATATTTGAGAACAGTTTTGTAAACTCATAACATTTCATTCTCTGTGAGGTATCATAAGAGAGGTTGAATAAATTACATATTCACAATTATCGTGTAATAAGAAAATAATGACAGGCAGCTTCTTAAAACAATTTCTATATATAAAAATATATATATATATATTGATCCAACAATTTGGAACATTTCTCTTTCTTCTTCAGGTATACCTACATTAAATCACTGTAGCCTTGAGCTTATAGTCATGTGTAACCCATCTGATAACATTCCATTACTCATCTTATCTTATTGCAACATACAACTATTTCTAAATCTGAGTTTCATTTTTCTGACTACCTAAAGCAATCTAAGAATTTTGGTGAATTTCTGATAAGAATAGGACCAATATGACTAACCTTGCTATTTCTGTGTTTAAACTCCACTCTGAAGTGGACAGGTAAAGAAAAACCAAGTAAATCAGACTCAATCTGTTGTACTGGGTCACAGTGAGCTTGTACTCAGAGGGTGCTTCTTGCTATAGCAAAGCATTTCTGAGATTCCATAATAAAATTATCAGGGTGACATAAATTTACCTGAAGGAGATTGGATTGAATTCAACCCAACAGGGTTTATTAATTTACTCTGCCAAGGAGTTAAGGCAGAGTCTCACAGATTTATCTGAGACACTGTTCTGCTTTATCTCCTCACAGTAACAAAAATTAAACAAACAAAAGAAAACAGAAGGAAGTCTTGTGGAAATTAGTTTAGACTGTCTTTTCCTTCCAAAACAGTCTTTAAAAATTCTTAATATAAACAACAAATAAATAAATGTGACATTATTTAGTCACTATTTACGACAGGAAATAATTTAAGTGAATATTTTTGAAGACTTACATATCAGAGTACAAAATAAATAACAAACATAAAATGTTTATTAATTACTAATTAAAATTATTTAATTCATCAATGTCAGTAGCATTGAAGCCCCCCTGATATTTCTGTCCAGCTTTCTCTCATACACAAATGTACAACTGACCTGAATGTCGCTCTTTCCATCCCATCAAAAAGGCCATCAAATTCTAATTGCTCATCTTAAAAAGTCTTGCAAATTTGGTTTCTGTGTTCAGCCTTCTCTTTACTACATTAATCGAAACTGACTTCAACTACTGCCTTTTTTCACGGCGTTTGTTCTCTTTTTCCTCTCTAAATAAAATTAGTTTTCCACACTAATATCTTCTTCAATTCAAAAACGTAATTCATTTTGTTTAAAAACCTCCTTTTTCTTATGGTTTGTGCAGTAAATACCTTGACACAGACACTAATCTCAATCAGATATTGACTCAACCGCCACTAATTCCTACCACATACCTGTGCTCCTGACTCGCTATTTTTAACACTGACTCTACATAGAGCTCACTTTGGAGCGCCTTCAACTATATGGATGCTTGAGCTCCACCTCAATCACTTGTCACAGCCTCTATTGGTATGGAGTTCAGAATTAGTATTAAAAGCCAAAACCTTATGATTTTAATATAAACCAGTGTTGAGAATCACTGCTCTAAAATCAATGAAAATAATAAGTTTCCCTCAAATAAACGCTTTGAAGATATTCATGAGTTCATATTTAACATTTGGAATTGCAAAATCTAAATCCTCCCAACTTCACCACACTGGTTCAAGTTAAATTTTTTGGAGTCATGCTGAAACAGTGTGGACTCTTCTATCTGTCAGATTTTATTTATGCTATGTCAATCTACATAATACATTTTACTTTCTGACTGAAAACTCCAGGAACTCTTCTATGTGTTTGTAAGTTCAGACCCTAAGAATACAAATCAACTATAAAGACATTTGTCACCAGAATGGTGAGAGTGTTTATTCCAAATAGCTATGGGTGGAGGAAGCATCTAATTCAGGCTGAGTTTGGGTCCCCATAAGGAGACAGTGAGAGAAGGTAATTAATGCTGGAGTTCATTGTTGAAAAACAAGCACAGTTCCTTTTCCATCAGCACCTCAGAGTGGTTTCTCTGCCCCAGTAAAGGATTCACTGGTTGTTTCTTTGTCTCTTCAGCTGTCTGAATAGTTCAACAGGAAGATTCTTCCACTTTTTTTTCTGTGTTAAGCTGTCACTTTCTAAGAGTCAAGTTTTGGGTTCTTCATACTTGGTTGGTGATCTATTCACTTTCTTCATTTCTTTTATCGTTTTAATATTGATCTTTTCTATTGTGTTATAAAATACTCTCTAAAGACTTGATTGTTGGAACAAAATTGGCAAAGTTAATGTTTAATAGAGAATGACGCAAATTCACTTCCTGAGGAAAAACTTAGCAACTTTTTAAATCTTGGATATCAATTAGAGTTTTACTTTATTATCTGTTGTCTTGTTATCTTCACCTATTGTAAGATTATTACATAAAACTACTAAAAATTTGGGAAAACTGTAAAATACCTTTTATGGTTAAGTTGATTTCAATAATATAGTTATGCAAATTTAGGGGGTTGTTTTTATTTTTGGTTTGTGGACTCTTTGGTTACATTTTGAGTTTGTTTTAATCAAACAAATGTATGAGGTACATTTACAGAAAATAAGATTCACCATTTTAATTGCCTATTTTAATTATTATTGCAAAATATAATTGAGAAACCATCATCATAATCAACATATAGAACATTCCCATCACATCAAAATTTTTCCTGCAAATCTTTGCAGTTGATTGCCTTCCCTGGACCTGGGCAACCACCCGTCTACCTCTGTCACCATAGCTTTGACTTTTCTAGCATTTCACATAAATGAAATAATACTGTTATTAGTCTTTTGCAACCACCTTCTTTCACTTACTGTGCTTTCAAAGCTATTCATATGAATGAGTACAGTAATAATCCATTCTTTTTCATTACTGAATATAATTGCACTGTATGAATATGACAAAATCTGTTGATGCAGTTACGTGCTTGTGAACCTTGGGTGGTTTTCAGTTTTGAGTGATTAGTAATAAAGCTCCCATAAATATTTGAGTACAAGTTTTTGTATGGAAATATGCTTTAATTTATTTTGGGCAAATAACCTAAGAATGGCATTTCTGGGTCAGATGGTAGGTATTTACTAAATTTTGTAAACATTCCAAGCTAACTTGAGAAGAATATATCTTCTTTCCACTTAATAGGGCAGTTTATGAGATTCTACAAGTATCATGAGATCAGTCTTGTTAACTGCATTGGTCTGTATTTTCATATCATCATTGGTGTTGTTTACTAATATGTTAATTAAAAATTCTTGCCATAAATGTCAATTTAAATTTTTCACTTTGTAATTCTGTCATTGGTCTTGATATAGTCATGAGCTACACTGCTTAATACACACCAATTTATGATTGTGATAATTTATGTTTGATTTCTTTAACTATTGTATAGTGTCTCTCTTTCCTTGTTAGTAGGTTTTTCTTAACTGTATTTTTTCTGATCTCAACATATAAGCATCCTGGCCTTATGGCGTTTATGGTCAAATGTAACTACATTATGATTAAGAGAACACAGGAAAAACAAAACACACATACACATTAGAAAAAAAGAAGTAAAACATATGATATATTGGATTTTGCTAATTACTGAGGAAAAGCTAAACTAGGGAAAGGATAGGGAGTTCTGGGTAGGGGAGGGCATAAAATTTAAACAGGATGGTTAGGAAACATCTTACTAAGAATTTGTAGTTGAATAAACTCCTGAATAATAAAATTTTCAGATAACAGGGCACCAGGCAGGGGTAAACATGTCCAGTAAGATGGACTTGAGTGTTTGAAAAATTGGTAGAAGTTCAACAAATGAGGTGAATGTGGCATTAATGAAAGAAAGAAACATAGGAAATACAGTGAATGATGGGAAGAAATCTAAGAGACTCATTAGAAAGGTAAAGCAGCACCACAATGTCTGGGCCATGAAATGCCTCTGACTTTAACTGGGAATGGCATGGAAATTATTAGAAATACATGCGTAGGCAAATAGCATGAGGTGATATTTAACAGGGTTTTTGTGGCTGTTTCATGGAGAATACACTGAAGGGGGCTATTGCAATTATCTAAGTGAATGATGATGGTATGTTGGACCAGGAGGAGTTTGGGCTAACAAGCAAAATGGAAGTGACTGAAATGTCCAGCTGAGATTCGCTCATAGAGTATATGTAGAGTGATGAAAGACTGACTGCAAATTTTGGTTTGAGAAAGTAAGTGGGAAATTGCCATTAATTTAAGACAGCTAGAGGAATAGGCTTGGAGCAGGGAGCAGATTGGGAATTCATTTTTTGATGTATTGAATGTGTACACACATATAAACACTAATTCATACACATGCTAGAGATGAGTGTAGTTTTTATCTTGTATTGGTTATTGGTAGAAAAATCATGGGATCTGGAATTTTGAAAAGCTAGACTTTATCATTAACTAATGCTTACTAACATTGTGACCACAAGTGAATCATAAAACCTCTGGCCTTCACTTTCCTGATCTGGCAAATAATCATAATAAAACCATGGATTGTTTTATGTAGTAATAATAATAATAACAGTAACCATTTTGATTCAGTTTTTACAGTGAAGCAGTGCTAAATGCTACATACATACATACATACATACATACATACATACATACAGTAGTCAGACTCCAAAATGGTCTACAATTTCCCCCCATGGTATTCACACTGTTCTGTGGTTCTCTGTCATGTTGTATTAGGTTTGGTCTGTGTGTCCAATTGCACACAACAATACAACAGAAGTGATTTTTTAAAACAGGACTTTTATTTTAAGTTCAGGGGTACATGTGCATGTTTGTTATATAGCTAAACTTGTGTCATGGGGGGTTGTTATACAGATTATTTAGTTACCCAGCTATTAAGCCTACTACACATTAGTTACTTTTCCTGATCCTCTTCCTCCTCCCAACCTCCACTTTCTTATACCCTCCACTGTATGTTGTTCCCTTCTTTGTGTTAATGTGTTCTCATCATCTAGCTTCTGCTTAAATGTGAGAACATGTGGTATTTGGTTTTCTGTTCCTGAGTTAGTTTTCTAATGATAATGGCCTCCAGATCCATCCGCGTCCCTGCAAAGGACATAATGTCATTTTTTTTAAGTAGCTGCATAGTATTCCATAGTGCATATGTACATTTTCTTTATTTAGTCTGTCCCTGCAAAGGACATAATGTCATTTTTTTTAAGTAGCTGCATAGTATTCCATAGTGCATATGTACATTTTCTTTATTTAGTCTATCATTGATGGGATTTAGTTTGATAGCATGTCTTTGCTATTGTGGATATTGCTACAATGAACATACATGCGCATGTGTCTTTATGACAGAATAATTTATATTCCTCTGAGTACATACCCAGTAATGGGATTGTTGGGTCAACTGGTATTTCTGCTTTTAGGTTTTTGAGGAATCACCACACTGTCTTCCATAATGGTTGAACTAATTTATACTCCCACCAACAGTGTACAAGTGCTACCTTTACTCCAAAACCTTTCCAGCATATGTTATTTTTTGACTTTTTAACAGTAGCCATCTGACTGTGGTGAGATGGTTCTCATTGTGGTCTTCATTTACATTTCTCTAATAATCAGTGATATTGAGCTTTTTTTATTTCATATGCTGGTTGGCCAGATGTATGTCTTCTTTTGAAAAGTGTCTGTTCATGCCCTTTGCCCAGTTTTTAATGGGGTTGTTCATTTTTTTCTTGTAAATTTGTTTAATTTCCTTATAGATGCTAGATATATTTGTCAGATGCATAGTTTGCAAACATTTTGTATCATTCTATATGAAAAACTCCTCTGGGTATACCCAGTAATGGGATTTCTGGGTCAAATGTTTACTCTGTTGATAGTTTCCGTTGCTGTGCAAAAGCTCTTTAGTTTAATTAGTTCTCATTTGTCATTTTTTGCTTTCATTGCAATTGCTTTTGGTGTCTTTGTCATGAAGTCTTTACCCATTTCTATGCCCAGAATGCTATGGTATGGGTTGTCTTTCAGAGGTTTTATAGCTTTGGGTTTTACATTTAAGTCTTTAAACCATCCTAAGTTCATTTTTGTAGATGGTATAAAGGAAGGATTTAGTTTCAATTTTCTGCATATGGCTAGCCAGTTATCTCAGCACCATTCATTAAATAGGGAGTCCTTTCCCCATTGCTTGCTATTGTCAGCTTTGTCAAAGATGAGATACCGGTAGATTTGCAGCCTTATTTCTAGGCTTCTAGGCTATCTATTCTGTCCCACTGGTGTACATGTCTGTTTTTGTACCAGTATCATCCTGTTTTAGTTACTATATCCTTGTAGCATAGGTTGAAGTTGGGTAGCATGATGCCTCCAGCTTTGTTCTCTGTGCTTAGAATTGCCTTGGCTATTCATGTTCTTTTTTGATTCCATATGAATTTTAAAATAGTTTTTGTTATTCTGTACATAATATCAATGGTAATTTAATGGGAATAACATTGGCTCTATAACTTGCTCTAAACTGTATAATAATTTTAATGATATTGATTCTTCCTGTCTATGATCATGCTTTTTTTTCATTTATTGGTGTCATCTCTGATTCCTTTGAGCAGTGTTTTGTAGTTTTCCTTGTAGCAATCTTTCTCCTCCCTTGTTGGCTGTACTCCTAGGTATTTTTTCAACAGAAATAATTTATGTTCACTTTTTAAATTAGGTTATAAAGATTCTGGCTTCTGGCTTCTTCTTCTTCTTTTTCCTCTTTCTCTCTCTTCTCTGTTTCTCATCTCTTTTTCTAAGGGAAACCATGACACAGGCAGCCATTTGGAGAAACTCACTTGGCAAAGAACTGTAATCCTCAGCCAACAACCAGGTGAGTGAGCTTGGACACAGAACATCCAGCAACAGACAACTCTTCAGAGGCTGCAGTCCCAGCCAATAGCTTCACCACAATCTCATGAAAGACTATGAGCCAGAACCACCCAGCTAAGTGGCTCCCTGATTCCTGACCCACAAAAACTGTGAGACAGTAATTTTTTATTTGTTTTAGTTTGCTAAGTTTTGGGGTTAATTTATTGTACAGCAACAGATAGAAAACAGAAAATCTTACTTTTTACAACAGATTTATCATCATCTAATCATAAATTCTGTGACCAATCAACTTTATTTTTCAAAACAAGATCATACTTCCATCTGAGAAAGGGCCTGTAGGTTCTCTCATGTCTGTGCCTTTCTCTGACTTAGTATAATATCTTGATGTCACCTCAGTGTAAGAGCCTCTGACTTCAGGACAGAGGAGCCTGATGTTCACAAATGAGCAAGAGATAAATGCAGAATCTCAAAGAGTGACTGTTGTCCTCTGCATACTAACTCAACCTACAAAGTTATCTAGATATAGAAATGGCAAATATCTTAATGTTATACTGAATTCTGACTTTGAAAAAAATCTATACTTTTCAAGGAAAAAGAAAAAGTTCTAATATTTATTCTCAACATTGATATAAGTAATTATATTCCATTCAATTAAATTGTTGTAAGCTAGGTACTATTTCAGATATTTCAGATATATCAGACACCATCTGACAAAGGTTCCCTGCCAACAACATAGGCAAACTGACCTTGACAGAATCTGCTGATTTATGACAAGCAAAATTACCTTTCACTGATGTATTACTGAGTCTTAAAGACACCAGTAGCAAAAAAGTCAGACCAGCTGAAGTTTCTAAGTCTCTGATCATTATTCCACACTCATTACTGTCCTTCTCCTTTACAATAAAAGAAAACTTCCAAATTTTTGCCTGGCACATGCCAAAGAGAGTTACGATTACAGTGCCAACACTCCCTTACAGCAAGATGTATCCATGTGCATGCATTCTAGCTAAAGTAATACAAGTGAAGTGATACGTGTTAATCCAGAACATTTCCTTAAAGTAAAGAAATCTGTGGTATGAGAGAGTAGCAGCCTTGGTGTCTGATGATCATTGCCATGGTTTGAATATATCCCCTCCAAAATTCATGTTGAAATTTAATTGCCAATTTAAAGGTATTAAGAGATGCAGCCTTTAGGCTGTGATTAGGTCATGAGATTTCTGCCTTCATGCATGAATTAGTGCTTTTAAAAAAGGCTTAAGGGGGAAATTTGTTTAAAAAAGGCTTAAGGGGGAAATGGTCTCTTACACCATGTGAGCACATAGCTTATCCTCTTTGAAGGAAAAGCAGCAAGGCACCATCTTGAAAGCAGAGAGCCATCCTCACCAGACACTGAAACTGCTGGTATTTTTATGTCGAACTTCCCAGGCTCCAGAATTGTTAAGAAATAAATTTCTCTTGTTTATAAATTACCTAGTCTGTGGTATTTTTTTTGTAGCAGCAAAAGGCAGGGAGACAATCACGAACTCACCATACTAGTCTTGAGCAATATAGCTGTACTTTTAAACAAGGGAAAAATAAGTTTCCATACTGATTATGTCACTATTACCTGTGGACTTTATATCACTTGTAAACAAACTTAATGCTAAATAACACTCTTTCAGAATTAACCATCCTTGATCAAGAACTCCTCTGACCACAAATTTTCAGAATGTTTTTATGGGTGCCTAAGCAATTCCTCCTTGATGGCATTTAGAAAAATCGTACTTTAGTAAATAGATTTTTTAATTTAGAAACCACAGTAGTTATTCAAAATCATTAAATCAAACATGTTTATAAGAAAAAAATACATTTTGGACTAAAAATTATTTTTTATAAAGCAAAGCCAAAGAATAAATGTAGGCTAATACATTGAAAGATGTTATCAGTATAACAAAATTTAATATAAGTATAGCTAAAATCTTTGGAAAACAATATATGTTTCTACATTTTGAAATAATTCAAAACATTGAATTATCATATGTTGATAACTTATTATATATAAATATAAATAAGAATTACATATTGTGACATAATTTCAAGTAGACAACAAGATTATTCTTAAAATGTTGTGCAGTATACTACTTCCCTATGTTATGTTTACACTCATGGACTCAGATGCAATATATTTTTATGTTTTAAAGGCAGACATTCAGAAAGGAGTTTCATTTGTATTTGGTCTATATATGTATCAGTCTTCACAGAATTTCAATAAAAAGTTATAAATAATGCACTAGAAAGTTACTTTTATTTATTTCATTTTTATTTTTCTATAAATTACTGGGGTACAGGTGGTGTTTGGTTACATGAGTAAGTTCTTTAGTGGTGATTTGTGAGATTTTGTTGCACCCATCACCTGAGCAGTATACTTCGCACCCTATTTGCCGTCTTTTATCCCTTGCCTTCCTCCCACCCTTCCCCCCAAGTCCCCAGTGACCACTGTGTCATTCTTATGCCTTTGCATCCACATAGCTTAGCTCCCACATATCAGTGAGAGCATATGATATTTGAGTTTTCCATTCCTGGGTTACTTCAGTTAGAATAATAGTCTCCAATCTTATCCAGGTCACTGCAAATGATGTTAATTCATTCCTTTTTATGGCTTCACAGTATTCCATCATATATATATATATATCACATATATATATATCTCTCACATCATATATATATCTCTCACATCATATATATATCACATCATATACATATATATATCATATACATATATATATCACATCATATACATATATACATATATATATATATATATATATATATATATATATATATATATATATCAGTTTCTTTATCCACTCATTGATTGATGGGCATTTGGGTTAGTTCCACCATTTTGCTATTGTGAATTGTGCCGCTATAAACATGTGTGTGCAAGTATCTTTTTTGAATAATGACTTCTTCTCCTCTGGGTACATACCCAGTAGTGGGATTACTGGATAAAATGGTAGCTCTACTTTTAGTTGTTTTAGGAATCTCCACATTGTTTTTGTTTTTCTTTTTTAACGGAGTCTCGCTCTGTCGCACAGGCTGAAGGCAGTGGCGCGATCGCGGCTCACTGCAAGCTCCACCTCCTGGGTTCACACCATTCTCCTGCCTCAGCCTCCCGAGTAGCTGGGACTACAGGCGCCCGCCACCATGCCTGGCTAATTTTTTGTATTTTTAGTAGAGACGGAGTTTCACCATCCACACTGTTTTTCATAGTGACTGTACTAGTTTACATTCCCACCAGCAGTGTAGAAGTGTTCTCTGTTCACCGCATCTATGCCAACATCTACTGTTTTTTTAATTATGGCCATTCTTGCAGGAGTAAGGTAGTATTGCATTGTGGTTTTGATTTGCATTGCCCTGATCATTAGAGATGTTGAGCATATTTTCATATGTTTGTTGGCCATTTGTCTATCTTCTTTTGAGAATTGTCTATCATGTCCTTAGCCCACTTTTTGATGAGATTGTTTTTTGCATACTAATTTGAGTTTGTTGTAGATTCTGGGTATTAGTCCTTTGTCAGATGTACAGATTGTGAAGATTTTCTCTCACTCTGTGAGTTGTCCGTTTACTCTGCTGTTTCTTTTGCTGTGAAAAAGCACTTTAATTAGGTCCCAGCTATTTATCTTTGTTTTTATTACATTTGCTTTTGAGTTCTTCGTCATGAAATCCTTGACTAAGCCAATGTCTAGAAAGGTTTTTCCAATATTATTTTCTAGAAGTTTTATAGTTTCAAGTCTTAGGTTTAAGTCCTTAGTCCATCTTGAGTTTATTTTTTTATAATGTGAAAGATGAGGATTCAGTTTCATTCTCCTACGTGTGGCTTGCCAATCATCCCAGCACCATTTGTTGAAAAGGGTGTCCTTTTCCCACTTTATGTTTTTGTTTGTTTTGTCGGATATCAGTTGTCTGTAAATACTTGGGTTTATTTCTGGGTTCTCTATTCTGTTTTATTGGTCTATATGCCTATGTTTATACCAGTACCATGCTGTTTTGGTGACTCTGGCCTTAGAGTATAGTTATAAATCAGATTTGTTTCCTCCAGATTTGTTCTTTTTGCTTAGTCTTGCTTTGGCTGTACAGGCTCTTTTTTGGTCTCATATGAATTTTAGAATTGTTTTTTCTAATTCTCTGAAGAATGATGGTGGTATTTTGATGGGGATTCCGTTGAATTTGTAGATTTCTTTTGGAAGTATGGTCATTTTCACAATATTGATTCTACCCATTCATGAGCCTGGGTTGTGTTTCCATTTGTTTGTGTCGTCTATGATTCCCTTCAGCAGTGTTTTATAGTTTTCCTTGTAGAAGTCTTTCAACTCCTTGGTTAAGTATATTCCTAAGTATTTCAATTTTTTTGCAGCTATTGTAAAAGGAGTTGAGTTCTTAATTTGATTCTCTATTTGGATGCTGTTGGTGTATAGAAAAACTACTGATTTGTGTACATTAATCTTGTATCTGGAAACTTTGCTGAATTCATCAGTTCTGGAACTTTCTGGAGGAGTCCTCAGAGTTTTCAAGGTAAATGATAATATTGTCAGGAAACAGTGACAGTTTGACTTCCTCTTTACTGATTTGGATGTCCTTTATTTATTTCTCTTGTCTGACTGCTCTGGCTAGGAGTTTCAGTACTATGTTGAAGAGGAGTGGTGAGAGTCAGCATCCTTGTCTTGTTCCAGTTCTCAGAGGGAATGCTTTCAATTTTTCCCCATTCAGCATTATGTTGGCTGTGGGTTTGCCATAGATGGCTTTTACTACATTAAGGTGTGTCCCTTGTATGCCAATTTTGCTGAGAGTTTTAATCATAAAAGATGCTAGATTTTGTTGAATGCCTTTTCTGCATCTATTGAGATGATCATCTTTTTAAAAAATTCAGTTTATGCAGTGCATTACATTTATTGACTTGCATATGTTAAACCATCGCTGCATCCCTGGTATGAAACACACTTGATCATGATGGATTACATTTTGATATGTTGTTGGTTTCAGTTAGCTAGTATTTTGTTAAGAATTTTAGCATCAGTGTTCATCAAGGATATCGGACTGTAGCTTTTTTATGGGGGGGTGGATTGTGTCCTCTCCTGATTTGGGTATTAGGGTGATGCTGGCTTCATAAAATGAATTAGGGAGAGTTCTTTCTTTCTCTATCTTGTGGAAGTGTCAAAAGGACACTTATTCTTTTGGTACCAGTTGGTACCAATTCTTCTTTGACTATCTGGCAGAATTCTGCTGTGAATCCATCTAGTCCTGGACTTCTTTTTGTTGGTTATTCTTAAATTATTACTTCAGTCTCACTACTTATAATTGGTCTGTCAGGATATCTAATTCTTCCTGATTTAAGCTAAGTGGGTTGTATTTTTCCAGGAATTTATCCATCTCTTATAGGTTTTCTAGTTTATGTGCATAAAGGTGTTTATAGTAGCCTTGAATGATTTTTTGTATTCCAGTGATGTCAGTTGTAATATCTCTTGTTTCATTTCTTAGTAAGGTTATTTGGATTTTGTCTCTTCTTTTCTTGGTTAGTTTTATTAATGGTCTATCAATTTTATTTATCTTTTCAAAGAACCAGCTTTTGTTTAATTTATCTTTTGTATTTATTTTTTGTTTCCATTTCATTTAGTTCTGTTCTGCTGCCTTCAGTAGACTCACCTAACACATAAGGACTCACATAAACTTAAAGGGGTGGAAAAAGGCATTTCATGCAAATGGACACCAAAAACAAGCAGGGGTAGCTATTCTTATATCAGATGAGACAAATTTTAAAGCAACAGTAGTTAAAAGAGACAAAGAGGGACATTATATACTGGTAAAAGGCCTTGTCCAACAGGAAAATATCACAATCCTTAACATATATGCATCTAACACTGGAGCTCCCAAATTTATCAAACAATTACTAATAGACCCCAGAAATGAGACAGACAGCAACACAATAATACTGGGGGACTTCAATACTCCACTGACAGCACTAGACAGGTCATCAAGACAGAAAGCCAACAAAGAAACAATGGATTTAAACTATGCCTTGGAACAAATTGACCTAACAGATACATACAGAATATTCCATTCAACAGCTCATGGAACTTTCTCCAAGATATACCATATGATAGGCCATAAAACAAGCTTCAATAAATTTAAGAAAATTGAAATTATATCAAGCACTCTCTCAGACCACAGTGGAATAAAACTGGAAATCAACTCTATAAGGAGGCTCCAGACCCATGCAAATACATAGGCATCAAGTAACCTGCTCCTGAATGAGCGTTGGGTCAAAAAAGAAATCAAGATAGAAATTAGAAAATTCTTTGAACTGAATGACAATAATGACACAACCTGTCACAACCTCTGGGATCCAGCAAAAGCAGTGCTAAGAGTAAAGTTCATAGCCCTAAACACCTACATCAAAAAGACTGAAAGCACAGACATTCTAAGGTTACACCTCAAGGAACTAGAGAAACAAGAACAAACCAAACCAAAATCCAGCAGAAGAAAGGAAATTACTAGAAAGTTTTCATTCATGAATTAAACAAAAATAATTCATGAATTCTATTAATCCTCATAAATTTTAAACATTACATGACTATACTTCTGTAAGCCTGAGACACTAATCTACAACCTTGCCCAAATAGTGACCACAAGATTTAAATTAATTGAAAATTATCTCTACTACAATTATTTTTTTGAAATGGAGTTCTGTTCTTGTTGCCCAGGCTGGAGTGCAGTGGTGCAATCTCGGCTCACTGCAACCTCCACCTCCTGAGTTCAAGTGATTCTCCTGCCTCAGCCTCCCGAATAGCTGGGATTACAGGTGCGCACAAAAATTACATGGCTAATTTTTGTATTTTTAGTCAAGACAGGGTTTCACTATGTTGGCCAGGCTGGTCTCGAACTCTTGACCTCAGGTGAACCTCCTGCCTTGGCTCCCCAAAGTGCTGGAATTACAGGCATGAGCCTCCGCACCCAGCCTCTTTACTACAATTCTAAAAAATATTACAAATTTACAGTTATTTTTGAGTTTTACAAATAAGATACATTATATATAAACAAAGAGTATACCTTTCAACTTCTAATCCCACTCCTGATCTGAATTTCATAGTCCAACAAGTACAGACAGCCATAATTACACATTATTTAAGTGTATTGTATACTTATTAGTATATACTTGTATATTATATATATCATTATAATTGCTTCATATATTTACATAATGTTCTATACATCTTTTCAACTTTATTTTATTCAACTGTATACTTCTGTGTTCTATCTGTGTAGATCGAGATAAGTTCATTGTTTTAATCATTTTACAGTATTTTGATATGAATACACTACATGTTATTTATCCATCATATTAGTGAAACTTTAGGTTGCCTAAAATATTTTCTATATCAAAAGATGCCACAGTTAATGGTTTAAAATATCAAATTGTTCCAATCTTATGTATCTGAGTAATGGATAAGTACAGACTTCCCCAGTGGTTTGGAGCAGCTTACTCTTATTAGCATGAGCAAACTGAAAGACATATTTAGGAAATTAGAAAATTAAGGAGAGGTAATTCCTTCTCAGGTCTTTAAATAATGTAGTAAATCAAACCAGGTGGTAAATGTCTTGAAAATCTCTTTTAAATATGCTAGTGCTTTCAAAGTGAGTAACAAATTAACTTCAAACCCCAAATAGCTGCAATGAAACATGAGGAAGAAACGCAGCTTTCTGGAGTACTACAGTGTGCCTGGACATAGATGTAATATATCTCACTTCAAAGTTAAGGAGTTTATATTTAGAAGTGTTGTCATTTCTAGTAAGATTTTAAAATTTCAGATGTTTGGCAATGTGCACAGCTGCACTGAATTTTTCTCATTGATAAATGACTGAGGCAAAGGGACTGTACTGCAGAGTTTTAAAGATACTATTTATTTCTATTGTTTGGCAAGTGGGTCCTTTTGGTTGTCTGGAATGCTACCCAATCATGTCTCAGTAAAATCATGCAAATTTTCAGAAAATAAACATATAGTCCCATTTTCAAGTAAGAATATGATAAAAATTTAAAACCATATGTTCTACAATTTAAACACAAAAAATAAGTCATATGCTTCTCTAGATGCTTAAAAGTCAAACTTACCATTCCATTGTGGTCTCCTTTGCCTTATATATTTTATGATGGGATAAATATGGAATAAAGCAATTCCTTTAAATAAAGATTAGAAACATGAGCTATCAAAGAATTTAATTTTTCAAACCTTTCAGTAAGCACATATTGAATGTTTATCCTCAGTAACTACCATTTAAAATCCATTCCCTAAGCTGGACTTAAGTAATAACTGTCATTTTGTTAATAATATCGACACTAATGCTATTACTGTCTGGTTTCTAGGCTCCTTCAGCTCTTCTCCTGTCCACTATCATGGATCTCTATACAAAGTCTATATTTTAGTTCACCAACCAGGAGAATAATCAATTTAAATTGTATGTCCACATGCATATATCTATGTGTATATGTTTCTGTGCATACATATGTATGTCTATACATTTCACATATATGTGTGTTTCTAGGAATATTCCTGAATCCTTTCTAGCTTTTAGTATGAAATTATAACAAAATTAAAATACTGAATATAGGATGAGAAAAAATACCTGCAACTTTGAAAATAAAGTTAGCATTCAGAAGTTTTTTGCACTCCTACAAACCAATAAGATGAAGAAAGATAATGTGGTAAATTAGGCAAAACCTATAAATAAGTAATTTACAGAAGAGTAAAGTGAATGGAAAGAAAAACATAGGAAAAGATGTATAATATCACTACTTTGAGTAAAAATGTTAACAGGTGTTATGAACTCTTAACAGAGTCTAGGATATATTCCTGAATTTACCTTCCCCAAACACTGCTCTCCCAAATGTAAAGATCTAAAATAAGTGTGCAATGTTAACTGTTCAGTTGGTACCTGCTTATCCGAATGGTTTACTGTGAAATTCCTCTAAACAACTTGCCTCTGTGCTGGCAATGATGAAAGTTGACATCCTGGAACGACTAAATGCCAAGCAATGTATATGATATATACTAGGAATAGTAGGGGAATTTTCCACTTCAACTTCATTTTATACACCTGAGGCACTGGAGATCAGGTGGAAATGCACCTGGGATGTTGCCAGCCCTCTTGATACAAATATTGTTTGGCTAGGTGCTGTGTTGCCATTTTGTGCTGTTAAACCTAATAAAACTGATGTTGAGATCATATTGAGAGTATTTACATACTTATAAACCTAAAATAAAGTATATTGATTCAATGGGCTCACATGTAGCAAATCAGAGAAGAACATATTAAAACAACAATGAAGTACACTTTTAAAGAAAAGATAAATCAGTTACTTTCAGGTATTCTTATGAATCTGAGACTGAAAAAACTCATATATTGATGGCACAACCACTTTAAAGAGAAATGCCTAAAGAAGTTAAAAGAAAACCCACACAATTTCACTTCCAGGCATATATCTAAGTGTAGTAGTTTCCAAAGCTTACTGGTTTTTTGGACACCTAGGGAGTTATATAGAAATAAGTGTACATATACATATATACAGATCTGCTGCTTAGAGATGAATTTGGGTTCCAACTCTGGCAATCACATATTCTTTAAATTTCTTAGATGATTGTAATATATAGCAACAGTTGAAAAACTACTTCAATATAAATAATTTCCTATGTGCACAAGGAGAAAATTATGTCATTCACTGAGTAATGTTTGTAACGAACGGCCCCCCAAATGGAAAATATACCAAAGTCCATCTATAATTCAATATATAAATTCATCATGATATTCAAACCAAAAAAACACCTAATAGCAGGCAAAATTAATGAACTAATATATTGGTATCAACATGGATGAATCTCAGATTAACTTTGAATATTAAAGAAAAATAACTATAAATTCATTTGTATAAAAATTTGAGTAAAAAACCATATGCTAACTTTTGTGGCTACCTATAGAAAGTAAAAGAATAATATCATAAAATAATGCATATACTTCAAATTTCTGCTGGTAGTTGATTCAAAAGTAGTAGGAAAGGGGAAGTTCAAACAGGCAAATATAGTATAATTCAACTTTATCTGCTTTGTTTTATATTTGGAAAACAGATACAAGATAAATATGAAAAATATTTTATATGTGTATTATTCATAATAAATAGGTAGTTGGAATACAATTTTTTGATTTTTTTATGATTTAAAAATATTACTTGTGAAATATTTCTTACAGAAGAATTTTAGATAATATACATAATACTTTCCCCTCTAGGAGGGGCGCTTAATCCTTCCTTTTATCTTTTGAAGGTAGTCTAGGTTTTATTTCAAGGAATAAGCAGTACTAGGAATTGTAATTATTTTTTAGCAGAGAAACATGGCAAACACTGTATTATGCAAATGAAGATTAACATTACCTGTCACACTGAGAGGTGACAGCATGCTGGCGGTCCTCGCAGCCTTCCCTCGCTCTCCGTGCCTCCTCGGCCTCGGCGCCCATTCTGGCCGCGCTTGGGGGGCCCTTCAGCCCCCCGCTGCACCGTGGGGGCCCTTCTCTGGGCTGGCCGAAGCCGGAGCCGGCTCCCTCGGCTTGCTGGGGGTATGACGGGAGAGGCGCGGGCGGGAACTGGGACTGCGCGCGGCGCTTGCGGGCCAGCGCGAGTTCCGGGTGGCCGTGGGCTCGGCGGCCCCGCACTCAGAGCGGCCGGCCGACCCGGCCAGCCCGGCCAGCCCGCCGGCCCCGGGCAGTGAGGGGCTTAGCACCTGGGCCAGCAGCTGCTGTGCTCGATTTCTCGCTGGGCCTTAGCTGCCTCCCCGCGGGGCGGGGCTCGGAACCAGCAGCCCGCCATGCCTGAGCTTCCCCCGGCCGCCGTCGGCTCCTGCGCGGCCCCAGCGTCCCCGACGAGCACCGCCCCCTGCTCCACAGCACCTGGTCCCATCAACCGCCCAAGGGCTGAGGAGTGCGGGCACACCTGCGGGACTGGTAGGCAGCTCTGCCTACAGCCCCGGTGCAGGATCCACTGGGTGAGGCCAGCTGGGCTCCTGAGTCCAGTGGGTACTTGGAGAACCTTTGTGTCTAACTAAGAGATTGTGAGTGTACCAATCAGCACTCTGTGTCTAGCTCAAGGTTTGTAAATGCACCAATCATTACTCTGTGTCTCGCTCAGGGTTTGTAAATACACCAGTGGACACTCTGTATCTGGCTAATCTAGTGGGGAGGTAGAGAACTTTTGTGTCTAGCTCAGGGATTGTAAACGCACCAATCAGCACCCTGTCAAAACTGATCAATCAGCTCTCTGTAAAACAGACCAATCGGCTCTCTGTAAAATGGACCAATCAGCAGGATGTGGGTGGGGCCAGATAAGAGAATAAAAGCAGGCTGCCTGAACCAGCAGTGGCAACTCTCTAGGTACTGTTCCACAGTGTGGTAGCTTTGTTCTTTCACTCTTTGCAATAAATCTTGTTGCTGCTCACTCTTTCGGTTCACACTGCCTTTATGAGCTGTAACACTCACCACGAAGGCCTGCAGCTTCACTCCTGAAGTCAGCGAGACCACGAACCCACCGGGAGGAACGAACAGCTCCAGATGTGCCACCTTAAGAGCTGCAACACTCACCGTGAAGGTCCGCAGCTTCACTCCTCATCCAGCGAGACCACGAACCCACCAGAAGGAAGAAACTCCGAACACATCCAGATGTCAGAAAGAACAAACGCCTGACACGCTGTCTTTAAGAACTGTAACTCCTTCTCACGCGAGGGTCGGTGGCTTCATTTTTGAAGTCAATGAGACCAAGAACCCACCCATTCTGGACACAACATTATGTTGGTATCATATAATCTATGACATAAAGTGAGAAGAAGGGCACTTCAACTATTGGATATTCTCTCCCCAAATCCACGACTGCAGTCTAATTATGACAAAAACATCACAGAAGTCCAGATTAGAGAACATTCTATAGAGTACCTAACCATGACTCGTCAAGACTTCCATAACTATAAAAACTACAGTCCCCCGCCCGCACCACAACAAAGCGGTGTATTAGAGGCTTTTAGTGTGACTCAGCCACTTGGAAATAGTAAGAGTGTGCATAAATACAAACTATGTGAGCTTTAATCCAAAAAGGAAAATGGGAATCCACCAAAACCGAAATACATCCGAGACCCAAGGGAGGAGAATGCAGGCAAACAGTCCGCATGAAAGCATCCAGCCCCAGTATGTGAGAGAGGCACACAGACTCCATCTGTGACTCACTTTTCTATCAGGTAGTTGAGCAACCCTGGCTGAGGGAGAGTAGTTTGTTTCTCCTAAGCTCTGAAACCAAGTTGGGAAGAGGCTTGGAGACACAAAGAGAAAAAGACACTGGGAAAAGCTGCAGGCATTGTTCCAGACCCAAAACTAAGAGTAGGACACCATTTTTAATCCAAACGCATACAAAGTCAGTCATTCTTTGGTGACTCAGTAGCGTGGCCACGCAGACATTTTAGTCTTAGGCCAGATATTGGAGCACCTGTATGGATTTGGTTAGGTGCCTCCATAGCCAGAACTGTAAAAAATTCCTCAACAGCAGGAGCTAGAATTGTCCTTTCCCCTGTTGCAGGCCTGGGGCAGAGGAGAACTGCTACCACTGTGATTTCTCTTGGGCAATGAGACTTGCAGCAAGGGCCAGCTTAGCAACTCAGAACCAGCCTGTGTGTGTCAATGCTGGGTGCTCCAGCCTGCTCCCTTGAGATCATGGTGCAAG